>NC_000012.12:105944976-106248006 GCF_000001405.40 Homo sapiens | reverse complement strand
CTCCTTCCCCGGCCGCGCGTCCTCTCGCCGCTCCGACGCCAGCAGCGCCCGCGTGCCGCTCGCCCAGTCCCGGGGGAGCCCCTGCAAGTTTCCCGGGCCGCGCGCCGCGCTCGCTCGCCTCCCAGCCCGCGGCCCGAGCCGCCGCCGCGCCCGCCATGCCCTCGGCCAAACAAAGGGGCTCCAAGGGCGGCCACGGCGCCGCGAGCCCCTCGGAGAAGGGTGCCCACCCGTCGGGCGGCGCGGATGACGTGGCGAAGAAGCCGCCGCCGGCGCCGCAGCAGCCGCCGCCGCCGCCCGCGCCGCACCCGCAGCAGCACCCGCAGCAGCACCCGCAGAACCAGGCGCACGGCAAGGGCGGCCACCGCGGCGGCGGCGGCGGCGGCGGCAAGTCCTCCTCCTCCTCCTCCGCCTCCGCCGCCGCTGCCGCCGCCGCCGCCTCGTCCTCGGCGTCCTGCTCGCGCAGGCTCGGCAGGGCGCTCAACTTTCTCTTCTACCTCGCCCTGGTGGCGGCGGCCGCTTTCTCGGGCTGGTGCGTCCACCACGTCCTGGAGGAGGTCCAGCAGGTCCGGCGCAGCCACCAGGACTTCTCCCGGCAGAGGGAGGAGCTGGGCCAGGGCTTGCAGGGCGTCGAGCAGAAGGTGGGTACCCCCGGCCCCGCAACTGTCCCCATCGACTGCGGCCTCCGGACCCACGGCCGGGCTCCTTCGTGCTTCCCGACCGGCCCCTAGCGCTGCCTGCCCAGGCCCGGAGGCGGGAGCCGGCCGCTCCTCCTTGGCGGGCCCTGGCCTAGACATCCCACTCCACGCGGCCCCCTAGTTCCGAGGCAGTCCCCAGACCCCCTTTGTTAATGGCTGCGGAGGAATCGGCCCCGAGGGATGGGCCGCCGCGAGGATGCCCAGGCCCGCCTGGCAGGGTGGGCCAAGGGCCTGTCACAGGGCATTAGCGGTGACCTGTAAGGAAGCCGGCAGGCTCCGGGGAGCCCATTCTTTCTGCATTAGGAACCGCTGAATGGGCAGAGCTGTCTGAAAAGGAGGTTGGAAGGGAAGCCAGCGCATCCCTGGAAGCCTCAGGCAAGGCCCCACCTCAGCTCTGCCTGTGGGAGACATCCGAGCGGGGTTTTTAATAGACCCGGAGCTGGCATTCTTACTCATTTGCAGGTCCAAATGAAATACCATCTATCTTTAGGTCCCTTGTCCTGTATTGGACCAGCCTGCCCAGGTGGGCCTTTGACGTAGTCCTACTTCAGCTTTTTTGGGTTTTCTTTTGAGAGGGAGTCTGGCTCTGTCGCCCAGGCTGGAGTGCAGTGGTACGATCTCAGCTCACTGCAACCTCTGCCTCCCAGGTTCCAGCGATTCTCCTGCCTCAGCCTCCTGAGTAGCTGGGATTACAGACATGTGCCACCATACCCAGCTAATTTTTTATTAGTAGTAGAGACAAAGTTTCACCGTATTGGCCAGGCTGGTCTCGAACTTCTGACCTCAAGTGATCCGCCTGCCTCGGCCTCCCAAAGTGCTGGGATTACAGGCGTGAGCCACTGCGCCCGGCCCTACTTCCGCTTTAGGGGAAGAGGAGGGCCAAAAATACTAGATCATACTGGTGAATAATACTTCTAGCCACATTTATATGGTGTTTAGAATGCTTACTCACTCACATATTATCTAATTCTTATAACTACCCTGGGAGGGAGGACTAACAGTTTTGATTTCATTTCCCAGAGCAGAACATTGAGGTTTAGACAGAGGAATGAGTTGACAAAGTCCCCAGCTGGTGAGTGACAGACACACGAGAATGTCTAGGCCACTGCCCTGTTCGTCAAGGGTCCACAGGGGTCCATTTCAGGTATGGATGGACCCAACTCTCAAGGCGAAGGTGCTTAGCTTCCACCCTTCTGTGGTTTTTCCATACCAAGTACAGCCCCTTTGATCTTATTCGCCCTCCACTATGTCATTGCTCAATGAAAGTTGGTTGCAAGACTGAAACAAAAAATCCCGCCACTTCTGATCCCGGAGCCACTGCCTCCTTTTCCCAGCATGCTGTCTGTCCTGCCAAGTTGCTCTCTGCTTTTGTTGAGTGTGCAGGACCAGGAATTTCCTCTTAAGACTGGCAGAGCACGGCCGGGCGTGGTGGCTCACGCCTGTAATCCCGGCACTGTAGGAGGCCGAGGCGGGCGGATCACCTGAGGTCAGAAGTTTGAGAGCAGCCTGGCCAACATGGTGAAACCCTGTGTCTACTAAAAATACAAAAATTAGCGGGGTGTGGTGGCACATGCCTGTAGTCCCAGCTACTCAGGAGGTTGAGGCAGGAGAATTGCTTGAACCCGGGAGGTGGAGGTTGCAGTGAGCGGAAATCCTGCCAGTGCACCCCAGCCGGGGCAACAGAGTGAGACTCCGTCTCAAAAAAAAAAAAAAAAAAAAAAAAGACTGGCAGAGCAACTGGAATGAGTCAGCCTGCTAAACGCTGCAGGCCAAGGGAGGTGACTTTTCTAAGGGAATTAAGTAGGCAGTGCTGCTTTGCCTATCCTGAATGTCAAACCATTCTTAAAAAATAGACATACTGCTGGAGTATAATGACTAGCCTCTGTTTCTTCTCTTTCATCCTCCTACTTACTAGTCAATCATAATATTTATTAAAGTCTGACAGTTGCATGGCTCTGTGTAGGCTTTGTGGGAGGGTATGAAGGAGCAAAAGACACGAATCACTTGTGCAGCGCATAAGGAGGTGTCAGTTGAGGGTAACTCCTGTGAAAGTTCAGAAGAGGGAGGGTGTGGAATTTCGCCTGTATCCCGGTGGCCAGGGTAGTGCCAGCCATCTAGCTGGTGATCGATAAATGTTGAGAGAAGGACTGTGATGAACACCGTGGCAGGGGCACTATTTTGAGCATGTTTGAGAGAGAGGAGGTGGCTACCCTGCCAATGGCAGAGTCACATGTAGGAAATTGTGAGAGAGGGTGGGTTGGAAGTTGAGGCCAAAATAGGGAAGGTCTTGAATCCAGGTTAATTCTCTGTGCTTCTCCCTGCCCCTCACTTAGTCCCTTCTTTTTGCTTCTCACCCCTTCTCCATCACAGCTATGTATATAGATCACTTTCTTCTTTGGGGCTCAGTTTTCCCACCCACACAATGAGAAGAGGGCTCCATCCAGACTTTTAAGAATCCTCATGGCTCTAAAATAATTGAAATAGTGACTTCTCTGTTTTTTATTTCATATTTTATATTTCGTAGAGACAGGGTCTCACTCTGTCACCAGGCTGGAGCGTAGTGGTGTGATCATAGCTCACTGCAGCCTTGAACTCCTGGCCTCAAGTGTTCCTCTTGCCTCAGCCTCACAAGTAGCTGGGACCACAGGCATGCACAAGCACGTCCAGCTATTTATTTATTTTTAAAATTTTTGGTAGAGACAGGGTCTTGCTGTGTTGCTCAGGCTGGTCTCAAACTCCTGGGCTCAAGCAGTCCTCCTGCCTTGGCCTCTCAAAGTGCTGGGATTACAGATGTGAGCCACTGCGCCTGGCTGACCACTTTTCTTTTAATTTAGTAGTGTAATCAAACTATAATTTAATGTGTCATATTTATGGTGCACTTATTACGTGCCAGGCACTATGCAAAGCATTTGAAAATGCATCATCTGCTGACTCTCACAACAACCCCAAGAGGTAAGTACTATTATCAGCCCTCTTTGACAGATGAGAAAAGTGAGAGGCTAAGTAACTGAGCGGTGATATAGCTAGTTAGTGGCTGGGCTAGGATCCAAACTGTTGTCTAACTCCTGGAACACTATTAACCACTCCACTATTTAGCCTAGTACATAGTAGGTGCCCAATAAATGTTCCATTGACTTGAGACTCAGAACATGGCCAGAACAGTGTTAGATTTGCCATAGAATGTGGCCACTCTGTCTGTATCTTTGGGGTGGCCAGTAAATAAATTATTTTGCATTGAGGAACCAGTTGTGTTTGGTTCTCTGACAGCCTAAGTTTGAACCCTTTTATAACTCTTGGTTACTTGTTGGGGGGTGGAGTTTGGTTCATAGCAGGGAAGTATACTTACAGTATTCATAATTACTGTTCACTATGGGTCAGCCATGCTATTAAATGCTTTATAGCCATGATTTCTGTTCTCCCAGCCACCCTCTGAGGCAGGTATCATTTAGTAGTACCATTTTGCAGATGGGGCAGCTGAGGACTGGCTGTGTAACTCATTCAAGGTCACACACAGACCATAAGTTGTGTAGCTGGAGTTGGGTGCCCACCTGTCTCTTGTTCTCCAGATGTTCTTGTTATTGGAGAATGGCTCAAATCTTCTGAATGACTGTAGCACAGGCAGAGAGGCAGGCCTGTCCTTACCCAGAGGATTCAGCAGGCACAAGTGGGTCCTGGGCTTCAGAAAGTGTTGGCAGTTCATCTCTAGGCCCTCTGAAGAGCCTGTGTTGCCCTGGCAGATCCAGCGTGATATAAAGCAATGGTAGGAGTAGGCTTAGGCCTGGTAGGGACAGTTTAATGAGACTAGGACCTATTTGTGGAAGAGTGAGCTCCCTGGTCATATTTCTTTGTTTTCTTGTCTAGATTCTCTGGCTAAGGAGTCAGGGCTTCAGGAGTTGGCAGTCTCTCTTCCAGGTACTCAGGGCACTTTGAAGTCAGTGCCCCTGCCTGAGCATATCACATACTGGTTGAGAGCTCAGGTTCTGAAATCAAGCATTTTGGGATTTTAACGTTTGAGCCTACCACTTACCAGTTTCCTCATTAGTAAAATGGAGATCACTGGGAGATACCAACTCATGAGATTATGGTGAGGGTGTAATGAGATGATGTGTCTGAAGTCCTTTGTATAGTTATTGGTCCATCACAAGTGTCCGGTTGAATGTCAACCACTGCTAACACCCAGTCCCCCCACCCTAGGGTGTAACCTTGAGGGCAAGGATCCTAGCCATTATTTCATCTCTGGCATCTTGCCTGTTGCCTACCACTTAGTGGGCATCCCACATTTGTTGGGGGAACAGATATTTCCAATGCATATTGATGATAATGAATTATTTGCACATAAAGATGCACAACTCATAGTCCCCTCAGTAGGGGAACACCATGTTCTTTTTTATAGTGTTGGGGGTTGGATATAATTTCTGTTCTAGTCTCCTTCCTAACCATTTGTGAAGAGCCAGCGCAGGTCAGGGCTGACAGGGATCAGAGGAGACATGGACCAGCTCATCAGGCTTTGCTTGAATTCCCTCATTATGTGATTCCATCAAAAAACACTGGATGAAAGCCTGCCATGTTGAAGGTACTGTGCTCACCTGCTCACACCTCTGTTCTGAGTGCTATGCTTAGAACAGGCAGACAGTGTGATTTAATAACGTAGTTTCAGAGATGGGCTCTCTCCAGTACCTTCACAGAGTGTCCTTTAAGACTCAGGTTGTATTTGGTTGGGCAGGGAAATTGTCTAGTATTCTGGAGCCCCTGAGAACCTTATTCTAATCTGCCTTAAAACAGACTGATGGAGCTAGACAGCACTTTAGAGACCTATTTGCTATTGGATGAGGAGCCTGGGACTCGGAAAGTGAATGTGACTCTTCATGCTTACAGAGCTGGCTACTGGTGGGGCTGGCACGAGAGCTGAGGGATGTTGTTCACATCCCACTTCAGTTTATCCTCCTGCCTTTTGGCATGGGTTGAGGATATTTCTAGGAATCTGCAGACTTACCAGGTGCTTCAGAAGAAATGGGAAATAATCACGATGATAATAGCTGCCATGTATTGAGTGTTCACTATGTGCTGGGCACAGTTTAAGTACTTGATATATTATTAATTCACTTAATCTTCATACAGACAATCATATGAGTCCGGTACTGTTTTCCCATCCTTCAGCTGAGGAAACCAAGGTACAGATAGGCTAAATAACTTCCCCAAGATCACACTGCTGGAAAGTGTTAAAGTTATGATTTGAACCTAGGCAGTCTGGCTCCAGAGACCGTGCTGTTTTATTTTTTAACTTTTTATCATGGCAGTGTTCAAGTGTAAACAAAAAAAGAATATAATGAACCTCAGTTTCAAGAATTACTGATGTTTTGCCATTCTTTTTTCATTCCATCGGCACTCTTCCCCTCTGCCACTTTTTTTTTTTGGCTGGAGTTAGAAGTCTGACTGTGAACCACTCTCTTGCCCTATGCGTGCCCAGCCTGGTCTCCCTTCTTCTCCAGATGCTGTTGGTGTTGCATGGCCATAGCACAGGCAGAGAGGTTGTCCTGTCCTGAAGCCAGAAAATTTACTAGGCAGAAGTGGGTCCAGGGCTTCAGAAAATGTTGGCAGTTCAGCTTTAGGGCCTCTAAAGAGCCTGTGTTGTCCTGGCAGATCCAGGGGATAGTGAATTAGGAATTAGTTTTAAAATGAGGCCAGGCGCGGTGGCTCACGCCTGTAATCCCAGCACTTTGGGAGGCCGAGGCGGGCGGATCACGAGGTCAGGAGATCGAGACCATCCCGGCTAAAACGGTGAAACCCCGTCTCTACTAAAAAATACAAAAAATTAGCCGGGCGTAGTGGCGGGCGCCTGTAGTCCCAGCTACTCGGGAGGCTGAGGCAGGAGAATGGCGTGAACCCGGGAGGCGGAGCTTGCAGTGAGCCGAGATCCCGCCACTGCACTCCAGCCTGGGCGACAGAGCGAGACTCCGTCTCAAAAAAAAAAAAAAAAAAAGAATCCCTGGCTGACATTTTTAGTTTACCCAAAGCATTTTAGGATTTATTTCCAACTGATAAGCGTTCCTTTCCTTTCCTTCCCTTTGTACTCCTTTCCCTGTTTGTTTTAACAGAACACAGCATATCATACCTAACAAAGATTACAGTATTACTTGAATGTCATCTGACACCCAGTCCAGAATCACAGTTCTTGATTATTTCAAAAATGGCTTTAAAAATTTTATTTATTTTTTAATTTTTTTGTTGTTTTAGAGACAGAACCTCACTCTGTTGCCCAGGCTCAAGGCACTCCTGGGCTCAAGGCAACCTGTCACCTTAGCTTCCCAAGTAGTTGGGACTTCAGGTGGACACCACCAGGCCCAGCTCAAAGATGTCTTTTTAACAGCTGGTTTGTTCAAATCAGGATCTATAGAAGATCCACACATTATATTTGATTGAAAAATTTCCTAAATTTCTTTCAGTCTGTAAGTTTCCTGCTTTTCCTTCTTTTAAAATGCCACTTAGTTGTTGAAGATCCTGGTTCTTTGTCCTGTAGAATTTTCCACATTGTGGGTTTGGCTGATTGCATCCTCACGACATGTCTCTTCTGCATGATGGGGACTTGATAGAGTCAGGTTCTTGTTTTCTGTCTTTTCCCTTTTTTTTTCTTTTTTTTTTTTTTGCAACAAAGCATTAAAGGTGGCACCATGTGCCACCTTTAATGGTTATTAATCCATTTATTTCCAGGTTATTAATCATTGTGCTGTGCAGCCTGATTAGTCAGGCCTGGGTTATAAATCATCCCTGGAGCACTAGGAGGGGACCCTAGGATTGGTCCTTAAAACCATATGGACTATATGTGGAAGGATGTTTCTCCAAAGGAAAATTGTGGTGACATTCTGGAAAAAAACAGGACCTGGAGGCTGGGCAGACAAAAAAAG
Organism: Homo sapiens; assembly: GCF_000001405.40. NCBI lineage: Eukaryota > Metazoa > Chordata > Mammalia > Primates > Hominidae > Homo > Homo sapiens. Next base: position 106,240,409 of record NC_000012.12, on the reverse strand, counting down.
TTGTATCATGTGAAACTCATCAGCTCTTCTCAGCAATTAACGTCTGGATTTTGATTACAGGTGCAGTCTTTGCAAGCCACATTTGGAACTTTTGAGTCCATCTTGAGAAGCTCCCAACATAAACAAGACCTCACAGAGAAAGCTGTGAAGCAAGGGGAGAGTGAGGTCAGCCGGATCAGCGAAGTGCTGCAGAAACTCCAGAATGAGATTCTCAAAGACCTCTCGGATGGGATCCATGTGGTGAAGGACGCCCGGGAGCGGGACTTCACGTCCCTGGAGAACACGGTGGAGGAGCGGCTGACGGAGCTCACCAAATCCATCAACGACAACATCGCCATCTTCACAGAAGTCCAGAAGAGGAGCCAGAAGGAGATCAATGACATGAAGGCAAAGGTTGCCTCCCTGGAAGAATCTGAGGGGAACAAGCAGGATTTGAAAGCCTTAAAGGAAGCTGTGAAGGAGATACAGACCTCAGCCAAGTCCAGAGAGTGGGACATGGAGGCCCTGAGAAGTACCCTTCAGACTATGGAGTCTGACATCTACACCGAGGTCCGCGAGCTGGTGAGCCTCAAGCAGGAGCAGCAGGCTTTCAAGGAGGCGGCCGACACGGAGCGGCTCGCCCTGCAGGCCCTCACGGAGAAGCTTCTCAGGTCTGAGGAGTCCGTCTCCCGCCTCCCGGAGGAGATCCGGAGACTGGAGGAAGAGCTCCGCCAGCTGAAGTCCGATTCCCACGGGCCGAAGGAGGACGGAGGCTTCAGACACTCGGAAGCCTTTGAGGCACTCCAGCAAAAGAGTCAGGGACTGGACTCCAGGCTCCAGCACGTGGAGGATGGGGTGCTCTCCATGCAGGTGGCTTCTGCGCGCCAGACCGAGAGCCTGGAGTCCCTCCTGTCCAAGAGCCAGGAGCACGAGCAGCGCCTGGCCGCCCTGCAGGGGCGCCTGGAAGGCCTCGGGTCCTCAGAGGCAGACCAGGATGGCCTGGCCAGCACGGTGAGGAGCCTGGGCGAGACCCAGCTGGTGCTCTACGGTGACGTGGAGGAGCTGAAGAGGAGTGTGGGCGAGCTCCCCAGCACCGTGGAATCACTCCAGAAGGTGCAGGAGCAGGTGCACACGCTGCTCAGTCAGGACCAAGCCCAGGCCGCCCGTCTGCCTCCTCAGGACTTCCTGGACAGACTTTCTTCTCTAGACAACCTGAAAGCCTCAGTCAGCCAAGTGGAGGCGGACTTGAAAATGCTCAGGACTGCTGTGGACAGTTTGGTTGCATACTCGGTCAAAATAGAAACCAACGAGAACAATCTGGAATCAGCCAAGGGTTTACTAGATGACCTGAGGAATGATCTGGATAGGTTGTTTGTGAAAGTGGAGAAGATTCACGAAAAGGTCTAAATGAATTGCGTGTGCAGGGCGCGGATTTAAAGTCCAATTTCTCATGACCAAAAAATGTGTGGTTTTTTCCCATGTGTCCCCTACCCCCCAATTTCTTGTCCCCTCTTAAAGAGCAGTTGTCACCACCTGAACACCAAGGCATTGTATTTTCATGCCCAGTTAACTTATTTACAATATTTAAGTTCTCTGCTTCTGCATTTGGTTGGTTTCCTGAAGCGCAGCCCCTGTGAATAACAGGTGGCTTTTCATGGATGTCTCTAGTCAGAGAAAAATGATAAAGGCTTAAATTGAGGATTAACAGAAGCAGATTAACCTCAGAAATCCTGTCTGGCTGGCAGATTTCAAGTAAAAAAAAAAAAAAGGTGGGTTGGGGGGACCCTTTTCTTTCTAGTTGTCTTTAAGGAAAATTAATTTTACTTTTTTTTTTGTTCTGGCCGAAATTTTTATGAGATATCTCTCACTTGTCTTCCACTTTGAACCGGTTAAAGCTCATAGCTGTCAGCTCTGAATGAGGAGGGGAGAAGCCCCTGGGTCTTTCTTTGAAAGGAATCCGCTGCTTGAGGGCTGCCTCCCTCATGGTGTGCGTGTCGTTTCTCTTCCTGACGCATCTTGTGATATCAGAGGTAACTATGCAAAGCATCCAGGCGGTTCTGAATGTGAAGCACTACACCCAGCAGAGTCCCGGTGCCCTCTGTCCCCACTGCCGGCCCATGTTCTCTCTCCGGAGGTCACCAAGGAATGCACAGGTTTCGACTACCAGAAAGGGGAGTCCTTGGGTTCTTTCAAAAAATTCGTGAGGAGAGCTGTCTACAGTGGAATAGGGGGTCTCCCTGGGGAATGCAGGCCAAGTCCTTTTATTTTAACATGATGTCCATGAAGAGGTTTGCCGTCTGGGCAGCCCTGTCGGCAAGGAGCGTGCATACTGCGTTTGTGTAATTGTTTGCTGTATCTCCCTTCCCTCTGAGCTGTATTGTTCTTTAATGGCTGTCTTGCCCTTCCAAAAAAAATTGAAAAAAAAAAAAAAAAAAAAACCCGAAAAGTAAAAAAAAAAAAAAAAAGTTTTGTTTAGTTTACTGTGAAATGAACTGTATGGCTTATTTACAGTATTTTTAATTCTTAATAAACACTTGAGCTTTGTTATGACTTTTCCAGAGTGGTTACATTCTGAGAATTTCGTAATTATGATGTGTTTTATTAGCACATGGTATAAACGATTAGCAAATAGGTAAGTTTACTATTTTAAGGCTGTTTTTTCTTTTAATTCTGAAACCGAGATGGCCTCACTCTTGGGCCGGGGACCTCCTTTGATGGACTGTTAGCAAGTGTGTTCAATGATTACTTGTCTCCAGCTCTGTTAGCTTCAAGCACAGGATCTCAACCCTCACTACCTATTAGAATCTTCCTAGGAGCTTTTAAAAAATGCCTGGGCCCTGCCCGCACAGATGCTGATTGAATAGGCATAAAGAGGCTGGCACTGTTTTTTTTTTTTTTTTTTTTGAGACAGAGTCTCGCTCTGTCACCCAGGCTGGAGTGCAGTAGCAGGATCTTGGCTCACTGCAAGCTCCGCCTCCCGGGTTCTGGCCATTCTCTTGCCTCAGCCTCCTGGGTAGCTGGGACTACAGGCGCTTGCCACCACGCCCGGCTAATTTTTTGTATTTTTAGTAGAGACAGGGTTTCACCGTATTAGCCAGGATGGTCTCAATCTCCTGACCTCGTGATCTGCCCGCCTCGACCTCCCAAAGTGCTGGGATTACAGGTGTGAGCCGCCATGCCTGGCCAGCACTGGTATTTTAAAGGCTCCCTCTCTGATTTTAATGTCCAGTCAGGGTTGAGAACCAGTGTCTCAGACCATCTGAGTGACCTTCAGCCCTAGTGCACACCTGGGCTTGTTTCCTTCTCTGGATTGCCTTCCACCCTCCACCCAATAAAAACCACATGCTGTTTATTGAGTACCTGTGTGCCAGGTCTTGTGCTCAGCATGCATAATAACCTGTTATTCCTTCTTACAGTCCCCCGAGGTAGGCAGTATCATTTCCCATTTCACAGAGGAACAGCAGGCTGAGAAGCTTCATACAAGGTCATTCATTACGAAGTGGCAGGGCTAAGCTTTGGACCTCATCCTTGCTCTAACTGGGACAGCATCCTCTACCGTCCACTGACACCAGTGCAGGTCCATTTGGCCTGTGGAATATCTGTCCTGTTCCAGAGCCCAAGGCTGCAAGAGATTTCTTCTTTCCCACCTAGGGAGTAGAGGGTGGCTAGGACCTGAGGTCCTGTGGCTTGATGTCCCCCTTTCTGGCTGAAAGGCCCCTCATCTCTGAATTGCTGTCAGTCACTCTGGGTCCCTCAAAGCTTCACAACTCAGAGCTGGAAGTTTTTTCCAAAGCAGTTAGCAAATCAGGACAGGCTCTGTAAATAATTTCTATTTTTATTTCAAAACCATTTTACTTTTTATTTTAAAGTCTTAAGTATTGACATGTATGCTTTAAATGGCTACTTTCACCCACTTGGGGAGGGTGCGGAACAGCATAAAGTCGCAGGCATGGAAAAAATTAAATTCATTTCCTTTTCAGGCCAATTGGTTGCATTGAGTATGTTCTTGCTGTTTCTCCTGTCATTTCTGCAGTTGCTCATCTCTGACTATGGAGTGGTTTAATAGATTCTCATTAATATTATAAAAGAAAATATTGACAAGTGTCTGATAAATATAAATTCAAGTGGTGAAAATAAAAGGAATATATTAGGAATTCACATATTTCTGATGGTGGGGCAGTTAGAGTTCTTACACCAAATAATGCAGCTCAGTCTTGTTTCTTCATTCAATATAGTGTTCATTCATTCAATAAACATTTATTGGGCTGATAGCCAGCCATTTTGCTAAGTATCAGTGAATTAAAATGTACAGGACTAGCCCAGTGGGAATGACAGTCATGTAAAGTGGTAGGTATTAGAAATACAGGTGCCATACTTGGGTGTATTGGGCCAAGAGGAAGGAGTGACCATTGTGCCATGGTTGGTCTAGAGGTGGTTAGAACAGGTTTTTGAAGGGCTGGGGGAAGTCCCTTGGAATGCTTTCATGAGTAATGGGAAGCTTCGGGAAACAGGTTGTTTTGCCCTTTGAACAAACAATATACACAAATTACTGAACATGTTGGTTAAATTGCAGATCCAGCACCAGGATAAGAGGCTGCAGTGAAACTTCTCAGGCAGGACTGACAGCACCCTGGTGAGGAGACTACTACACCACTGACCATGTGGCCTTGGGCAAGTCACTTAGAATGGTGATGGTGTTGATAATAGAGATGATGGTGGAGATGGAGATGATGATGGTGGTGATGAAGATGATGTGATGGTACAGGGTGGTTGTCAGGACTGAATGAGCGTGTTGAGGGGTTAGCACAGAATCTGGCACATCATAAGTGCTTCAGTGATCATGCGTGCATGGATCATACCAGAGGTTAAAATGTTGAAATACTGTTGTCCTAGTTGGTGAATAGCTTCTGCCCTGAACCCCCTGCATGTCCTCTCTCTGGACCACTATACCTCTTTACAATCCAGCAACTAATAGGTTAATATTCTAGTATAGCAGAGACCACAAGACTCTGCTCCAGCCCCAGGGCCTGCATTTGTTCTGATGGGTGGGTGCCCATCAGATTAAATATTTTGAAGTTATCCTTCCTTGTGAGCTCAATAATTTGTGTGTGGGTAAGATTTGTTTCAAAGAAGTGACTATATAATGAGGTGGTAAAACTTGAACCCAGTTCTAAAAGATAGGTAGGGTTGTCAGGTACCAGGCAAAAGGTACTGGGTTTGAAGTAGTCAGGAGAGTTGAGAGGCTGAGCACAGTTCTTGCAGTTGGAATAGAGAAAGCACAGGTGGGGAGTCGGGTGGAGATGGGGTAGGAGGGCTAATGGGGCCAGGACCTGGAGGCCTTGCATGTCATCCCTGAGAGTTTGGATCTGAACTATGAGGAATAAACAAAAGGGTTTAAGTGGGGCAGGGGAAGTAACCATGGTCAGAACTGGGTTCTAGAGTGCCCCCGCATTGGCAGGATTGGAGGAGAGCAAGGGGAGGGCAGGTGGACATTGGGAAGTCGTGGTCCAGGCTGGGTCCGATGTGCCCTGAGGATGAGGGTTGTAGATGGATGTCAGAGATGTGCCAGGTTAGATGCTGCTGAATGCATGTGGGGTGAGGAAGGGAGAGGCCTCTAAGACAACAGCCCTCCCAGATTGGGAGAGGATATAAGAAGGTGACTTGCGCTCACGTTGCCTGTACAAACAGAGCCCATGGGCTGGCCAGGTCTGGAGCTCGGTTGAGAGGCCTGCTTTCAGAATTACTCATCCATACTTACTATGAAATTAAGGAAGTGGATAGGATTGCTTAGATAATTTAAAGGAGATGTGAAAGAAAGGAACCCATGAAAAAATGATCAGAGAGGAAGGAGAAAAATGAATGGGGAGTAATGGAAAGGAAAGGCCCAGGAGGCCAGTCAGCAGCCACAGCCCCATGGCTTGAATAGTTAACCATGCCTCACTAGATCACAATTCTGTATGCTGAAATTCCCCTAATTAAATTACTTAATTTCTGTTTCCTTACGGGACCATAACTCATACAGAAGGCCTCCAATGGGTGAAACATTATTTGATAAAGAAAATGTACTTTCTTTCATGGTTTCCAGCAATGCCCATGCCTTACTTCTGAGACTGACACAGTGCCCTGCTTTCAGCAGACACTTAAGAAATTGAGTGATTTGAGATGGCTTTGCAGGGGCAACCCCTTGAAGACATTTCTTCCTGATATCACCACTGCAACGGAGATAGCTGCCTCTGTTTAGGCTGTGTAGCTTGATCTTAGTCTTTCTTCAGATGTCTGGATTATGTCCTGTTATGGCCAATGTGTGATGCTGTGTCCGGAATTGGTGGGTTCTTGGTCTCTCTGACTTCAAGGATGAAGCCGCCAACCCTCGCGGTGAGTGTTACAGTTCCTAAAGGCCGCGTGTCTGGAGTTTGTGCCTTCCCATGTTCGGATGTGTTCGGAGTTTCTTCCTTCTGGTGGGCTCGTGGTCGCGCTGGCTTCAGGAACAAAGCTGTAGACCTTTGCAGTCAGTGTTACAGCTCATAAAGGCAGTGTGGACCCTAAGACTGAGCAGCAGCAAGATTTATTGCAAAGAGTCAAAAAACAAACGTTCCACAGTGTGGAACACGACCGAGTGGGTTGTCACTGCTATCGCGGGAAGCCTGCATTTATTCCCTTATCTGGCCCCACCCACATCCTGCTGATTGGTCCATTTTACAGAGAGCCGATTGGTCTGTTTTACAGAGAGCTGATTGGTCCCTTTTGACAGGGTGCTGATTGGTGCATTTACAAACCTTGAGCTAGACACAAAAGTTCTCCAAGACCCCACTAGATTAGCTAGACACAGAGCACTGATTGGTGCATTTACAAACCTTGAGCTAGACACAGGATGCTGATTGGTGCATTTACAATCCCTTAGCTAGACATAAAGGTTCTCCAAGTCCCCACTAGACTCAGGAGCCCAACTGGCTTCACCCAGTGGATCCCGCACCAGGGGCTGCAGGTGGAGCTCCCTGCCAGTCCCGCTGGGTGTGCCCGCACTCCTCAGCCCTTGGGTGGTCGATGGGACTGGGTGCCATGGAGCACATGGAGCAGGGGGCGGTGCTCGTCGGGGAGGCTCGGGCTGCAGGAGCCCACGGAGGTGGGGGAGATGGGGGCGGAGGCTCAGACATGGCGGGCTGCAGGTCCCGAGCCCTGCCCGGTCAGGAGGCAGCTAAGGCCCAGTGAGTAATCGAGTGCAGCGTGGGTGGGCCAGCACTGCTGGGGGACCCGGCGCACCCTCTGCAGCTGCTGGCGTGGGTGCTAAGCCCCTCACTGCCCAGGCCGCCGGCTGCTCCGAGTGCGGGGTCCGCCAAGCCCATGCCCACCCGGAACTCTAGCTGGCGCATGCAGCCCTGGTTCCCGCCCGTGCCTCTCCCTCCGCACCTCCCGGCAGGCTGTTTGAGCCAGCTCCGGCCTCGGCCATCCCAGGAAGGGGCTCCCACAGTGCAGCAGTGGGCTGAAGGGCTCCTCAAGCGCCGCCAGAGTGGGCGCTGAGGACGAGGAGGTGCCAAGAGCGAGCGAGGGCTGCGAGGGCTGCCAGCACGCTCTCACCTCTCAATGTCAGGCAAGTACATCTTTTAATTTCTCTGTATCTCATGTTCCTCATCTGCAAAATGATGGCATTGGGCCAGACTAGTGGCTCTCACATTGTAACATGCATCAGAGTCACCTTGAAACCTTGTGAAAACACTGGGCCGGGTGTGGTGGCTCATGCCTGTAATCCCAGCACTTTGGGAGGCCGAGGCGGGTGGATCACGAGGTCAGGAGATCGGGACCATCCTGGCTAACATGGTGAAACCCCGTCTCTACAAAAAAAATACAAAAAATTAGCTGGGCGTGGTGACACGCGCCTGTGTTCCCAGCTGCTTGGGAGGCTGAGGCAGGAGAATTGCTTGAACCTGGGAGGCAGAGGTTGCAGTGAGCCAAGATCACACCACTTGCCCTCCAGCCTGGGCGACAGAGTAAGATTCCGTCTCCAAAAAAAAACAAAAAACAAAAAACAAAAAAAACAAAAAACCGCACACACACACCCACACAAAAACACTGATTGCAGGTCCCAGAATTTCCAAGTCAGGATGTCTGGGGAGGGACCCAAGAATTTGCATCTTTAACAAGCTCCAGATAATTCTGATGCTGCTGGTGAGGGGATTACACTTTTGAGAACCACTAGGGCAGAATTAGAGAGTAAGACTAAAATTCTATGGTGGCAGGTGTATTTATTTCTACCTAGAGGAAAAAGATGAAGGAGCCGGAAGCTATAGCCCAAAAAGAAATATAAAAAGTATATTTATGAGTGCCATCTCAATTTTTTTCATAACAAGGCTGGGCATGAATGAATTCATTAAATCATTTTTTATTTCAACATAGGTGCCAGAACGACACAGTCATTTTCTAGACTTTTTCTTGTATATGCATTCATGTAATTTGCCACCTAGATAATAATAATTCCTAAATCCCTATGCCTAGCTGAGACCATACCTCTGAGCTACTAATCTGTTTTTCCAATAATATCTGGACACCTTGCTGCCCCCTAACACCCTCGGAAATCTCCCTCGGATCCAAACTGAAGTCATTTCCCCTCGAAGTAAATGGCACAGCTGGCCCCTTCACTGCTTAAGCTAGAAGCTCAGGAGTCACCCGTTGTCTCCCTGTTTCTCCCCTTTCCCCTCCCTCCACTTCTCCTAGGGTTGAGGCCTTGACACATCCACCTCTGTCCCCTCCTCCCAGCCTTTTGGGTTCCAGCAGCAGCCGCTCCCCACGATGCTCTCTGCTGGTCAACTGAGATCAGAAACGTGGTCCATGCACTCAGTATCCATTCAACAATATTCAGAGAGCGCACACTCTTTGCCAGACTAAGGAGATTACTTTATAGATATGGTTCCTGCCTTCATGGTGCTCATGATGCAGCTGGGAGGAGACATACAGGACAATGTATTATACACACTGCAGTATATGCTTGAGGGACAGGTACAGCCTCCTAACTGGCCTCCCTGTCTCTAGCCTGGCTCCCATTCAGGGAATCAATCCTCCATGGGTGACCATCGTTCTCTTTCTCAAAAGTAAATCTGCCTGTGTCCCCTCCCTGCGAAATCCCTAGGCTCTCCCCTTGGCCTCAGGAGCAGCCTGGCTCTGGGTCGTGGCCAAGAAGGAGCTTTCCGATTGCTCTGTCTTCCTGCCCTCCAGCCTCCTCTTCTGTGAACTCTGTTTGTAGCCGCCCTGATTAGCATAACTACCCCTCATGTGGCCCCTGGTTCTGTCACTCTTGGTGCCTTTGCACGTTCCCTGGATCCTTCAACCCAAACCACAGGCTGAATTTGGGAGCTCCTCCCACGAGAGCCCACACTCCAGGCTTCTTGTCTTCAAAGTGCTCCTCTGTCTGTATCATGACCGCTTGCTTCTGGTGTGTTCCACATGAGAATAAGGCTCTGTCTTTCATCTCTGCATCCACAGAGATCATTGTGCTTGGCCCACATCAATAATAACAGAAATAACTAAAATTTATTGAGCATTTACTATGTGCCAGACACTGCTCTAAAGGTTTTACGAGGATTATCTCATTCAATCATTATAATAGTCCTAAGGGTAGGTACTATTGGCCTCTCCATTTTACTGATGGGGAAACTGAGGTACAGAGCGATTCAGTAACTTGGACAAAGTACTTCCTAGTCATAGCTAGCAAGTGGGGTAGCCAGGTTTAGAACCCAATAGCTTGAGTTATTAGGTTGGTTCAAAAGTAATCGTGTTTTTTGCCATTAAAAGTAATGGCAAACCATTACATTTTAATGGTAAACCATTAAAATTTTGTACTGCTCTAGAACTGGTTTCTTTTCTTCACTTAAAAAGACATCACTGTTTGGGATTACTTTTTGTTGAGGTGCAACTTTGGTGCTTTAAGGCACACACATCTGAAATATATGGCTGAATGAATTTCTGCACACGATATCTCCATGTACTCACTACCAGATCAAGATATGCAACTTTTCCAGCACACCAGGGGCTCCCCGTGCTCCTCAGTCAATACCCTCTAACCTAACCACTATTCTGCTATCACCATAGAATATTTTGCCCATTTTTGAATTTTGTAGAGATGAAATCATACCATATAAGACTTGGTATTTCTTTTAAAAAATGACAGCTTTACTGAGATAAAATTCACATACCATAAAGTTCACCCTATTAAAGTGTACAGTTGTTTTCAGCATATTCACAGAAGGCTGGAAACATTCCTATCTGGATGAATCTTGCCCAGCCATATATTAAAAAAAAGTGTGAGACATAGTAGGTGTTCAATAAAGGGCAGCTGTTTGAGAACATACTGACTTCTGAACTGGACACTGCATTTGTCCTGATGGTCAGTAACTCAGAGAGAAAAAGAGAGGGTGAGGTGTAGTGGACGTTTTCTTCGTCATACCCCTCTGACTGGGTTCACAGAGGGAGGACCTAAAACCTCAGAGGCAGAGGGTTGAATTGCCCTTCCCCGTCTTCAGGATGTGTTTGGTCAAGGGATTGATTCCACCTACTGTCATTTATTATAAACTGGGTGCTGAGCTGCATTTGCTCAGCGGAGATGAGATGAAAGATGAAGTCTTCCTCTTTGAGAGGCTCCCAGCCAAACAGGGGACACAGACATGTAAATGGCACCATAATCACATGCAGGGTGACCTGTGCAGCGGTCAAGGGACCACATGAGGACTGCTGGGTCCTGGACATGTGTTGTTGCCTGCCCAGCATCCAGTCCTCCTTCATTTGGTGACCACTTCTCTGTTTTCTGTTAGGGAATCACCCCTTCCCCACTCTCAGTCCATTTGGCTTTGATGAGACTGACTGGGCTGAGTGCATGACCCAGGTTTGGCCAATCAGAAATCTGGTTTGACTTGTGCAGGAGGAATACAGGTCGCCATCCAGTCCATTGACTACTGCTGGAACTTTCTGGAAAGGGATGCTTTCTGCCCACCGGGACTGCCAAGCTGGATAAATGCCCAGGGCTGCTAAAGGCCACCACATGTGCAGAGTCCACTGAGAATGAGGCCAGCATAGAAGAAAACAGAACCAAGAGTCGGCAAAACACAGGTTCCTGAGGACATAGTTTGAACACCCAGGTCACTTGTGCTAGAGGCCATGTGTGTCTCCACAGAGCCCCTGAACACCACTGTGTCCCCTTTCCTGCGCACAAGGCGACATGCAGCCGTGGAGAGAATGGGCACAGCAGCGCCGCTTACGAAGAAAGAAAAGTGGAAACACCGAGAAAGTAGCTACAAGATCAGTAAATCCACTATCACTTGTTCATACAATAGACCTCAAAACGACAACAAAAAGGAAGAAATCCTAATCTCATATATCGTGGGGATGAATCTCACAACTAAAATGCTGAGTGAAAAAATAAGCTGCAGACAAAATACACAGTGTGACACTTCAGAAATTCCTTAATTCTTAAAACTAAGACATTTTACCGTGTAAAATAATACTATACATTGTAGTGAAAGTACCAAGAAATGACTAGGAGACCGAATATCCAAATTCAGATCATTTGATTTCTTAGGCTGAGTGGAGGCTACCTAAGTATTCATGATATCACTCATAATACATTTTTTCTCCTTTCAATATTTTATTATGAAAATTCAAACAGCAAAGTTGAAAGAATTGTCCAGCGGACACTCATATATCTACTACTTAGATACTATAATGAACACTTTGCTATGTTTGTGTATCACATATATATCCATCTCCCCATTTTTACAATTTTTTTGAACAGTGTCTTGCTCTGTTCAGAAAAATAAAAAAATATGGGGAGATGGTATATATATATGTGATATATATACGTCCAGGCTGCAGTGCGGTGGCCGATCTTGGCTCACTGTAGCCTCTACCTCCCCAGCTCAAGTGATTCTCCCACCGCAGCCTCCCAAGTAGTAGCCGGGACTAACAGGCGTGCACCACCACACCCGGCTAATTTTTGTGTTTTTGTAGAGACAAGTTCTTGCCTTGTTGCTCACTCTGTTCTTGAATTCCTGGACTTAAGTGATCACCTGCCTTGGCCTCCCAAAGTGCTGGGATTACAGGTGTCAGCCACCATGCCTGGCCTCCCCATATTCCTGATATCTTTTCATAGGTCAGAAATATTTTGTAATTAAACTTTTTTTTTTTAAAGGGGAAGAAACACATAGAGAAAAGCTTATACTTTTAATAGTTAAACTAGTACAGGTCAGAAAACAAATGACGCCTACATATATTACGTGAAGTGCTGCATTTACGCATGATTACTTTTCATAGTAATGATAGCTAAGTAGCCATGTGACAGGCCTTAGAAAGCTAAGGCTGAGAGAAGGCTCTAATCTAATTCTGTTGTTTTACAGATGGGGAGGCTGAGTCTCAGAGAAGTTGTTCACCCAAGCTCATACACTAACTGGCTAAGAAGACAGGGCCTAATTTCTTCTCTTATCCCCCACAATTTGTTTTGGCTCCAGGCCTAAGCACAGATGCAAAATGCTCAGAAGTAAGCGAAGAATCAGGGCAGTTGAGTTGCTGCAGGCAGCAAAACCCACTCTTGGCAGGAAGGGGTGTGGCAGCCTGGCCTTGCTGTGCAAGCCCCCGCGTGTGGCAGCGAACACTCAGGAGCAATACCTGTTGGGTAATGGGGCTGTGGGGAAATCCCGGCCTGTGTTCAAATAGCTGGTGATGTTGTGTTGAAAGAGGCATTACCAACTGGGTGTGGCTGCTGGTGTGAGGACACATCCTGTCCCACAGAGTCCTTCATGGAAACTCAGAAGGCTAGGTCTTTTTGTTTTCTTCCATTCACGGGTATGATCTTGGTTTGCACTCCAGGACGGAGTTCTCACATGGTGTGACAAGAACAGCAGGGATGGGGGAAGTCACCTGGAATCAGGACTCTGGTCCGAATGCTGGCCTGCCGGGCTGTGCTGCCTAGGATAATTCACTTTCCTTCTCTGGGCCTCCATCTGTTTTCCCATCTGAAAAGTGAGGGGAGATAAAGTAATCTTCATGTTCTCTTCCAGATCCAACTTTCCTTGACTTTAACCATTGCACAAGAGTCTTTTGGAGCCTCGGGTGGGCAGGAGGAGGCCTAAGGGAAAAAGGACTAGACAGTGAGCAGATCTCTAGGGGCCAGGGTGGCTTCTGTCTTAACCAAGGGTCTGTTTGTAGCTCCCATGGGGGCCGGCACACACTGGGTCACAATTAATGTTTTCTCATTTATTGGGGTGAAATGGGGAATGTTGGCCGGGCCGGGCTGACATCTTGGATAACCTCATGTGAAGACTATTCACTTTCAGAAGATGCCGGGATGCACCAGTAAAAAATCCAGAGCGGCTCAAGCCCCTGAACTTTCAGCTGGGGAATAGCCCCAAATCAGCTGACTGTGGCAGTAGGAACCCAGAGAACATAATTGAAGTGAGAATTTATTGCCATCTAGTGTCAGAGTCAGGGATCACAGGAATGATTTCTTCATTTTTCGCTCTTGTTCCAGAAAGGGGATAAAATCCAATTGTACCATTAAAAATACCAGAGAAATCCACTATTTAAAAGACCTATGTGTGTATTTCTCTGTGACATGAATGCTTTTGTAATGTGTATACTATCCTACTAATTAGCCCCTTTTGAAAACTTAGGTAATAAAGGGTTTTGTTTAATATGAATCTTTTGTTAGTAGAAGTTTAGATACCGAAAGACCTTTATCGTTCCTATGTCAAGCTAGTTAAGAAGTGCGCAGTGGCTCACGCCTGTAATCCTAGCACTTTGGGAGGTCAAGGTGGGCGGATCACGAGGTCCGGAGATCGAGACCATCCTGGCTAACACGGTGAAACCCCATCTCTACTAAAAACACAAAAAATTAGCTGGGCGTGGTGGCACGTGCCTGTCATCCCAGCTACTCGGGAGGCTGAGGCAGGAGAATCGCTTGAACCTGGGAGGCGGAGGTTGCTGTGAGCTGAGATCACAGCACTGCACTCCGGCCTGGGCAACAGAGTGAGACTCTGTTTCAAAAAGGACAAAAAAAAAAAAAAGTGCAAGTGGCGCCCTTTAAATAAGGCAAGTCAAATGTTGGATGCTTAGTCCTTCACTTAAGTAATAGTCACCCATAATTGTGTTTTGTGTTTGATGTCATGCTTTAGGTGGAACACATTTATCATCTCGCTTACCCTGACGATTATCCCAGGGAGTAAAAGTGGTTGTCTCTGATTTACTGATCAGACACTAAGAAATGGTCATTAATTTGCTCTGGGAGCACGCAGTCTGTGGTAGCAGCAGGACTCGGACTCTGTTTGTCTCTAATAAGGCCTGCTTTTTGTCTGTTAAACCATACTCCCTTTCCCATAGTAATAAAATCAGCTTCCCATAATGTCCCAGGATACAACTATGTACTTGTACTGTGTGTATAGTACTGGTGGTTAAGACACTGGGTTCTGGCCAGGTGCAGTGGCTTGTGCCTGTAATCCCAGCACTTTGGGAGGACAAGGCAGGCAGATTGCTTGAGCCCAGGAGTTCGAGACCAGCCTGGGCAACATGGCGGAAAACCCCATGTCTACAAAAAATATAAAAATTAGCCGGGTGTGGTGATGCATGTCTGTAGACCCAGCTATTCAGGAGGCTGAGGTGGGAGGATTGCTTGAGCCTGGGAAGTCAAGGCTGCAGTGACCCATGACGGCAGCACTGCCCTCTAGCCCAAGTGAGACCCTGTCTCAAAAAAAAAAAAAAAAAAAAAGATAAGAAATTGGATAAGTTGAGTTTTTGAGCCTTACTATTTGAGTTCCCAGCCATGGCATATTCTATCTGTCTGACATCGGGACAGTTACTTAAGTGCTCCGTGCCTCAGTCTCCCCACCTATAAATGCAAATGATGCTAATGATAGTGCCTACTTCATAGGGTTGTTGTGAGGCTTACTCCATCTGAGGTGCTTAGAACAGTGGCCATGACAGTGAAGTGCTCAATAAATAGTACTTAGAAATTGACTAAATGCAGGGAATTTGAAATGCCAGGCTTGTGAAATGAGCCCTTCTATTGTTGGCCTGCAAAATGTGAGTTTAGAATTTTTTTTTTGACAGGGTCTTACTCCATTGCCCAGGCTGGAGTGCAGTGGCATGATCATAGCTCACTTGCAGCCTTGACCCTCCGGGCTCAAGCGATCCTCCCGCTTAATCCTCTCTTGTAGCTGGAACCACAGGTGCACACCGCTACACCTGGCTCGTGTTTTGATCTTTTCATAGAGACAGGGGTCTCACTATGTTGCCTAGGCTGGTATCAAACTCCTCAGATCAAGTAATCCTTGCACCTCGGCCTGCTGAAGTGTTGGGATTACAGGCATGAGCCACTGTGCCCCGTTGAGTTTGGAATTTTGATTATGAGTGCCTTCAGGTGGGCCTGTGTTTGATTGTGAGTGCCTTCAAGTGGGCCTGTGTTTGATTGTGAGTGCCTTCAGGTGGGCCTGTGTTTGATTGTGAGTGCCTTCAGGTGGGCCTGTGTTTGATTGTGAGTGCCTTCAGGTGGGCCTGTGTTTGATTGTGAGTGCCTTCAGGTGGGCCTGTGTTTGATTGTGAGGTCTTCAGGTGGGCCTGTGGCCTCTAGATTCTCACATTTCCCACCACTCACTTGTGTCTGCTTCTCCATTCATTTAGGCCTCCTGTCTGGCTCCTGGAAGCATTTGGTGTTTTGATCCTTGCAGTGAGTGAGATGAATTACATGGACATTGTCAACCTGATGGAAACTTTGGGCTCTTTGTCGACCTCTTTTAAGGGCTGTGACTTCATGGCTTTGTACATCAAAGAAGATCTTTGGGTTTTCTTGTGCAATTTGGCTTCTCCTGCCGAGAACAGAGGCTCTTCTAGCCAAGAACTAAAGCCCACCATGGCAGTCCCTCCCCAGATTCTTCTGCAGATGGCTACTTTCCTCCTAGCCTTCACGGGAAGGAACCGGGGCTTGCTGAGGTAAGGAGGGGCACAGGAGAGAGGGAGTAAAATCTGCAGAGAGGCAGCCCACACACTCAACCCCTAGAGCCCCTCTGCAGAGAAAGTCTATGCTGAGGAGATGTCAGAGCCACAGGACAGTCCTGAAAATCAGGTGCCACTCAGAGGCAATTGCCATCCACTACCAGAAGAGGGCACTGTAGTGCAGCGGCCCGGGAGGGAGCAGCTGCAGCCGATGAAGGTTCTAGGCCAGACTGCATGGAAGTAGCTGGGACCTGCCGTTAAGAAGCTTGGCCCAATTTTTCCTGATGGCCCCTTCTAGCTCTGACATTCTGCAATCCCATCAGGAGAGAACTGGAATGAATCAGCCAAGAATTCCAAGTGGGTTATAGAAGGAAGAAACCAGAAGCAAGGGCTGGGGGAGGAGGTGGGTGTGGCTGGAAAGTTTCTTTTGTTGGGGGCTAAAATCTGTCTAAGTGAATCCAGCAGGAGGAAAAAAAAGCCTTAAAACAGCTCCCCTGGGGTCACATGCTCAGGTTGGGCAGCCTGTCAAACCACCCCAAGTCGACTGGAATCCAACATGACATTATAGCTCACTCCTGCCCTTGTTGGAGGAGTGCTTAATCCCAAAGAAACAATTAAAGTTACAGATAGCACACACTGGTGGTTTGCCCATCTCTGCATTTTGTAAAAGCAGAGCCTATTTTCTTTCTTGATGGAACTGCCTTCCAGAAATGGCTTGCTGCAGAGTCTGTGGTGGCCTTGGGTGCTCCTTGGCAGAGATGAAAAGTGAAGTCAGCAGGCGAACCCTTTCTGGCTTGGCTCAGGCGGCCACCGAACATGCCTTGTTATGCTTCAGAAACCCCATTGGCAGTCCCCTCACCTCCCAGCCTCTGACTCTGGGCAGAGTCTCTTTCCATTGGAGTCATTTCAGTGGGTGCTCTGGAAGACTAAGGGCTTGTCATTAAGAGACAAATGGGTATTTTCGATGGTTCTGGGTATTTGTTTCTCCACTGGCCTCTGATCCTGCCAGAATCACCTAGCACCACAAAGCCAGCACCAGAAGTGTGAGCGCTGGATAGGGTGGGTGAGACTTGTTCAGGGCCCTCCTACCTCACTTCCCATTTTCCAGACTATTCCTGCATCCGTGGCTGTGGCCCTCTTACCCGCTGTCCTGGTATTACCCTTGGACTTGTTTCTGGAGCTGGTGGGGGCAGGATAGCCTCGTGGCTAGAAACTTAGGCTCTGCAGCTAGACCACCTGGGTGTGTGACTTGGGGCAAAGCACTTAAACTTATTGCCTCAGTTCCTCACCTGGAAAATGAGGTGATTATAATAGTACCTACCTCATAGAGTATTCGTGAGAAGTAAATCTATAAAGTGCTTACAGCATTATTATCAGGTACCTAACAAAGATTTGTTGAATATATACATGCATGTCTATATTACACAGATTGATGTATCCTGATAAAAAAAAATCTCAGAAGAAAATACATAAAAAAAAAATCTCTTGCTTTCTGTTTCTGGCCAGGTAGAGTAACAGGGACTGGATTTATCAACCTGTCTGAAACAACTAAATCATAAGCACATAATAAGTGCTCATTAAATGTTTACCATTATTATTTTCATGCTTTAACTCATCCCTCACAAGTGTGTGAAGCAGGTTGTATTATTAGTTCCATTTACAGCTGAGGAAATTGAGTTTCATATGGCTTATGTGACTTGACCAGGTCACTTAGTAAGAGGCAGAGTCAAGATGCAGACATTCCAGAGGCTATGTACTTTTTATTTTTGAGACAGAGTCTCACTCTGTCACCCAGGCTGGAGTGCAGTAGTGCGATCTTGGCTCACGGCAACCTCTGCCTCCTGGGTTCAAGTGATTCTCCTGCCTCAGCCTCCCGAGTAGGTGGAATTACAGGCATGTGCCACCACGCCCAGCTAATTTTTGTATTTTTAGTAGAGATGGGGTTTCACCATGTTGGGCAGGCTGGTCTTAAACTCCTGACTTCAGGTGATCCGCCTGCCTCAGCCTCCCAAAGTGCTGGGATTACAGGCGAGAGCCACCGTGCCTGGCCCAGAGACTGTGCTCTGAACCACTGTGCTATCATGCCCAAGCATGTAGCTAAGGGTTCAGTGATATTTGTTGAATGAATGGCCCCAACCACCCAGAAGGAGATACTCTCGATCCTCTTCCTCCTCTCCTGTCTCTTCAACCTCTCCTTTCCTGGCTTTATCCAGTCCAGTCTTAAACATGTTTGCCTCTCTCCTATTCATGAAAACAAAAAAGCAAAAAAACAAAAAAAACAACAAAAAAAGAAAAGCTCCAGTGCCATCTCACCCCTTACCTTCCCTCCACAGACAAACCTTCCAAGGAGTCACCTGTCCTTGTCTGCTTGTCTTCACTCTTCAATCCCCTGTATCATGAACTCTGCTCTTTGTCATCAAGATGGTTCTTGCTGAAGTCACCGATAGTTTTCAAGATCTGAGTTCTTCCTGTTCCCATCTCCCTTAGCCTCTCATCCGTGTTCACTGCAGGTGCCCACTCCCTCCCTTGGTGTGCATGCAACTTCATGCTCCTGGTTTTCTTCTTACTTTCTTGACCACTTCCTCTTGCTAGCTGTGCAGGCTTCTCTTCCTCCACCAGACCTAAGGGCTTGGATGTGAGCTGTTCTCTCTCCTTGCTCTATGTTTTCCTCCTGGGTGATGCCATCTGTGCCTACATTATGCAGGCCACCTACACAGGCTGAGGACCCTAAAGTTTTATCTCTAGTCCAGACCTTTCTTCTGAGTTCCAGCTCAGCACTGGTCAAATGCTTACTTGTCATTTCTACCCGGATGTTCCAAGATCCTTCAGCAGATCTCTGTCATTAAACCGCCCCCATCTATTTGGGGGAAAGGGCTCAGATATCCTCTCTTCTAGTTCTCAGCCAATTACGTGCTCTCAGACTAGAACTTCTAGTCTTTGTGGGGCAGAGATGATCAGAGGTTATTTATACTGAAACTGAAGACATTGAGGGTCCAGGGTTGAGGTGGCAAATGTCCTGGTGTGGTGATGCCACTAGTAGCATCCACAACAGACTGTTTTCACCTGAACTTTGCCTACCTCCTGCCTGAATAATTTAAGCACCTGAATCTCTGGCCTTTCTGATGACCACTTCCTCTTGGGAGCTGTGCAGGCTTCTTTTCCTCCACCAGTCCTAAGGGCTTGGTCGTGAGCCACTGGATATCCTTCCAAGGCTTGCTTAAAGATCTTTCAGTGGACTCTCCATCATTAAAACACCCTTTCTATTTTAGGGAGGGGGCACAGATGTTATCTCTTCTAGTTCTTAGCCAATTACATACTCTCAGACTAGAGCTCTGAATCTTTGTGGCACATAGGTGCACATGTACCCTAAAACTAGGTTTTCTATGTAGAAAGATAATAAAACTATACTTGAGTCTCCAAAAAAAAAAGAATTATTTACACTGAAACTGAAGAAACTGAGCATTCAGGGTTGAGGTGGCAAATGTTCAGGAGTGTTTTGTGTTGATTGCAACAAAAACCCATGAGTGGTACAAACTTATTACATTCACTGTGCTCCAAATGAGCTCATTGACCACTCCTCTGAAACCTCCTCCTTCTCCATTGAACCATATCGGAGTAAATGGCTTTTCCATCTATCTAATTTCTCATGTCAGAAGCATGAGTCCTTGTGCCTCCCTCTCCCTTAGTGTCCACAGCTGGTCATCGTATTGATGCATCTCTATAAATATCTCCCGGGAACTTTTCCTGATTTCCACTGCCATGACTCTTGTCCAAACCATCATTCTGTCTTTCCCAGACTCTCGTAATTGCCTCTTAACCAGTGTCTGTGCTTCTCCCAGTCCACCCGTCACACAGAAGCCGGAGTGATGTTTCAACAGGACAAATTTACTTACGGTCATTTGCCACTTAATGACATTTCAGTCTGTGATGAACTGCATATACGATGTTGATCCTGCAGGATTATAATACCATATTTTTACTGTCCCTTTTCTATGTTTACATATGTTGATACAGAAATACTTCCCATTCTGTTACAATTGCCTACAGTATTCAGGACAGTCCCATGCTGTATAGGTTGCAGTCTAGGAGCAATGGGCCATAACATATAGCCTGGGTGTGTAGTAGGCTATGCTGTCTAGGTTTGTGTATGAACTCTGTGATATTCTCACAATGACAAAATCACCTAACCACACATCACATTTCTCAGGATTTGTCTCCATTGTTAAGTGATACACGACTGTGTATCATTCCTTTGTTTACAGTCTGGCTTGTGTTGCTCTGACGGTAAAGTTAAAAATCACATTGCAGTCCCTCAGTTTTCACTAGAAGCACTTTCAGTTCCCCACCAATGCAAAACTGCTTACCACCTTGGCATCTTGGCACAACCTAGTCCCTCTGCCTAGAATGCCCTTCCTATTACCCACCTTCACTTGGCTAACACCAGGTCATCTTTTTGATCTCAGCTGAAATGCTGCATGTGAATAAGGCTTCCTTGCCTCTCCAGGCTAAGTCAGGTTTTTCTAATACGTGGCCTGCTGGCATTCTGGATTTCTCTATCTCAGCTCTCATCAAAATTGCAATTAATTATTACTATATTTCCTTGACTTTCTGATATGTGTATATGTTTCTAAACACCTAACATCTCTGAAGTTGGGATGCATCTTATAATTGAAGGCATCTCAGAAGTATCATTGGTAGTGTTTTTTTTAGTGGCATATAAACTAATGGTGCAATTTATGAGCAATGGCATCTTAGATTTGATGAACTGTGGTAATTATATAGTTACGTGTTTGCCTAGTTCATCTACTAGGCTGTAAGTTGTGTCTGTCTTGATGAGAGCTCTATCCCCAGCACTACTATAGTGCCTTGCACATAGCAAGCACCCAGTAAAGATTTGTGTGTGTATATATACATATATATACATTATATATATGTAACACAGACGAGTGTATGCCAGAAAATTCCCTAAGAAAATAAATGAAAAACTCATATTTTGACTTCTACTTCTGGCCAAGGTGGAATAACAGCAGGGGATTTACCCACTCTTCTGAAAAAAGTAAGAAATTGGATCAAATATATGAAACAATGATTCTCAAGATACTGATCACTAGGCAATGAAGGACAGCGATCTTTGAGAGAAGAGAAGCAAATGAAATGAGTGCTATAGCTGCCCTAGCTTGTTGCCTGGAGAGGAATATGTTGCCCAACTGAGGAGAGTTGGGCAACCCAGGCTGTGGTGCAGGGAGGGAGATCCCAGGTGGATTCTGGCAGTCTCCCTGAGTTGAAGAGGCAAAGCCAGGAGCCTGGTGAGGCCAACATGGCTAGAGGTTACAGGACAGAGAACTGCAGAGGAGATAGAACTCTGAGATCTGCAGATGGTCTCCCTCCAATCTTCAATAGAGTACCCATCAGCACATGTGTTTTAGAAAACTATCCAAGGCTGGAGAAAGAATGACTTAAAAGGATGAGAGTCTGGGCGCAGTGGCTCACGCCTGTAATCCCAGCACTTTGGGAGGCTGAGGTGGGCAGATCACTTGAAGTGAGGAGTTCAAGACCAGCCTGGCCAACATGGTGAGACCCTGTCTCTACTAAAAATACAAAAATTAGCCAGGCATGATGGCATGCACCTGTAATCCCAGCTACTCGAGAGGCTGAGGCAAGAGAATCACCTGAATGCGGGAGGCAGAGGTTGCAGTGAGCCAAGATCGCACTGCTGCACTCCAGCCTGGGTGATAGAGTGAAACTCTATCTCAAAAACAAACAAACAAACAAACAAAGAACGAAAGGCCATAATTCTCAGAGCTCACATAGGGTTAGGATTCTGTTCCCACCAGTAAAAGTGAAAACCTCAAAACCTCATACTTCACAGTACATTAGGCAGAGGACTCAGATGTAGGGAAAATTAGCCTCAAACAAAACTGCTCTGGTCCTGCTCAATAAAGTTTAACAGCAAGACTTGAAAACATCATACTGTCTCCGGGTAACTTCACACTGTCCAAGAACAAAGTTCGAGAATATTTATAATAATACAAAAACTGTACAAAATTTTACCCAAAAAGGTAAATTTCACAATGTTAGGCTGATGCAAAACATCAGCAAAATGCAACCCATAATGAAGAGAAAATTCAATCAATTAGAACTGACCTAGGAGTGACACAGATGTTAAGAGCTATAGGCAAGGATGTTAAAATAATTATTATAAATGTATTCCATGTGTTCTAGAAGCTAGAGGAAATATTGAACATGGTAAGTAGAGATATGGAAGTTATAAAAATGACCCAAGTCAAACTTCTAGAGGTGAAAACAATGATGTTCAAGATGGTACTAATGGCAGGTTAAACATTTGAGAAAAAAGATTAATAAACTTGAAGACATAACAGTGGAAATTACTGGAAATGAAACATTGAAAAAAACCCAGAACGAACAGCATTAGTGAGCTGTGGCAAAACTGCAAGTAGCCAAATATACATGTAATTGGAATCTCTGAAGCAGAGGGGAGAGCAGGAAAATATTTGAAGAAATAATGGCAGACATTTTTCAAATGTGATGAAAGATATAAACCCACAGATCCAAGATGCTTGCTAATCCCAAGAAACATGAAGAAAATTACACTAAGATACATCATGATTCAATTGCTTAAAACAGGTCACAAGTAGAGAATATTAAAAGCAACCAGAGGGAGAAAAACACATTTTCTACCAAAGAGAAGACGGCAGATATCTTGTTGGAAATGATGTAAGGTAGAAGAAAATTGGGCAATATATCTAAAATATTGACAGAAAAACCGTCAACTCATTTCAAAAATGAAGGCAAAATAAAGCTGAAAGAATTTATTAATATCACCAGCCAATTTGTACTAAGAAATATTAGGCTGGGTGTACTGGCTCACACACTTGTAATCCCGGTGTTTTGGGATGCAAAGGCAGGAGGATGGCTTGAGCCCAGGAGTTCAAGACCAGCCTCAGCAAGATGGCGAAACCCCATCTCTAAAAACAAAACAAAACAAAACAAAAAAACAAAAATTACTCAGGCATGGTGGCATGCACCTGTGGTCTCAGCTACTTGGGAGGCTGAGGTGGGAGGATCTTGAGCCCAGGAGGTAGAGGCTGTAGTGAGCCATGATCACAGCACTGTACTCCAGCCTGGGCAATAGAGTGAGACCCTGCTTCAAAAAAAAAAAAAAAAGAAAGAAAAAGAAAAAGAAATATTAAAGGAAGTCTTCCAGACAGAAGCAAAATGCTACTAGGTAGACATTTGAATCTATGTAAGAGAATGAAGAGCCTCAGAATTGTTAATTATGTTGAGTAAAAATTCTCATTATTTAAATTCTGTAAACTATAATTGACTTTAAATTTACAAAGTAACAAACTATTGTGGAGCTTATAACATGTATAGAAATAAAATATATGAGAACGAGAACACAGAAAGGGAGGAATTGCAAAATAGGATAGTTGTACAATTCTTAGATGTGAAGCAGCATTATATACTTGAAGGTAGACTGTGAGTTAAAGATGTATGTTATACATCACACACCAGGGCCTGTCGGGGGGTTGGGGGCAAGGGGAGGGAGAGCACTAGGAGAAATACCTAATGTAGATGACGGGTTGATGGGTGCAGCAAACCATCATGGCACGTGTATACCTTTGTAACAAACCTGCATGCTCTGCACATGTACCCCAGAACTTAAAGTATAATAGTAAAAAAGATGTATGTTATGAACCCTAGAAAATCCACCAAAATTGCAAACCAAAGTTATAGCTAATAAACCACCATGGAAGATAAAATGCAAAGGGGTGGAAAGGAGGGATTCCAAGAGAGTAGGAGAAAATTTTCGGGAGAGACAGACATGGTCATTGTATTATTGTGGTGCTGATTTCATGGGTGTAGACATATGTCAGAACTGACTAAATTCTACACCTGAAACATACGCCCTTTATTGTCTGCCAGTTGTACTTGAGGAAAGCTGTTAACAAAAATATTTCTTGATGGGAGGATTATGCATCACTTTTATTTTTGCTATCCTTTTCTGTGTTTTCTAGCATGAAAATGAGAAAGATAAAGCCAATCAGTCTGTTTTCATAAAGCCACTACTTCTAACCCTTCCTTTTGTCATTCTTTTCCTTTCATTATAGAAAAACCACAAAATTCTCCTGTTTTTCACACTTTTTCCTCTTCTCTGTCTCTAATCCACTCAGCCAAAGATTACCAGCTTCATTATTCTAACATGTTCCTTTCCTGCATCTCTCCCTGGCTACCTGTCACCTACCATGTAGCTGAGGTCTCAGACCCTTAGCGGGGTATATAACACTCTCAGTCTGGCAGCTTCCTCCATGTGGTCTGGTTAGCCTACTCCAGTGGGCACATTTTGGTGCTTAGAGGCTTGCTTGGGACTTGGGTTTTACTTCTCCAGGGTACCATTTGCCTGGGCCTCTGTTCATTAGGAGGGGGCTGCAGAAGGAAAGAAAAAGCAAGAGGCTAGGGAGCAGCTCCTCACTGTCCTGAATCCAGCAGTCTTTCCACTGAGCCTGGGGGACTCAGCCATGGAGGGTGAGCTAGGAAGAGGGAGACCCCCGCATCTTAAGTGTCCCAGAAAAGAGAAGACCTTGAGCTGAAGTGAGCTACACACAACACTGATCTCTCAGGATTTGTCAGCATTTAAGGGGTGTGTGTGTGTGTGTGTGTGTGTGTGCGCGCGCGCGCCTGCGCGCGCGTGTATCTTTCTCCCAGCCATAAATTCTAAACAATAATATGTATACCCCCAACACTAATAGTTTCTTTCTCAACCTCCCCTCCTCTCCCCTCCCCTCCCCTCCTCTCCTGTCCTCTCCTTTCTCTCCATTCTTCTTTTTCCATCTCCACTGGCTTCCACCAACCCACCCTCCCTTCTCCTTGCACAAGTCTCTCCCCCTTTTATTATCACTATATCTTGGGCTGCGTTTTCACAGCACATGGTCTTGAAAAGTGCCCAGCTGACTTGAGGGCTCCCTTGTGATGCTGTTTCCAACAGGTGTGTCCTATTAAGCTTTGCCCCAGCCCCAGCCTTAGCCCCTGGCTCCCATCTCTGCCCTGGCCACCTGCAATGGCCCACTTCCCCACCTAACCTCAGCTTTTGCAGAGCACGGGAGAGGGCTACCTTTAGCAGGTGTGCTCCTGGCTACACGTCTGGCTGCCAAAATCAATGCTCCTCATGCCAGGCAAGAGCTCTCCGCATGGTAGAATGTTTATGGAACTTTTCCGCAGAAAAATCTGGAGCCAAGCAGTTTGAAACAACAGGGAGGGATCCCGAAAAACATTTTTTTTTGCACTTTCTCCAAGGAACTTTCTCAGAAAGCAAAGGCAAATTGCATTGTTTATGGGGGAAAAAAACACAAGACACCAACAATAACACAGGGTAATTACAGACGATGGAGCGAAATGCTGTCAGCGACCACTGGAAGAAGGCTGGCTTTTTTTTCCTTAGTATTCTTCATGTTGGATGCAAAATAGCCACGGCTGTGCTAAATTCCTGCGGATGGTGCGTTTCTGCCAGGATGGATCTGGTTGGGACAAAATCTTTGGTTCTGAGTAAGGGTGGAAAGCATAATAAGTGTTTGTTGGAAAGATTGGAAATTCCTTGACCTTCTCCAGGCTCTGGATCTCCCAGGGAGCTGTGAATGGGAAGCTCCCAGTTTAGTTTCTGTGACAGCTGGGTCTCGTCTAATGAAGTTTCAGGGACCCTTGACCTCTGGGTAGTGAAGTCTTGGGTTTACACTGCTCCCCTCTGCTAGAGCATGGACTACCAGCTGACCTGCCGAGTCACTCACCTTAAATGTTAGCAGTAGCTATGGGGTGTGTGTGTGTGTGTGAGAGAGAGAGAGAGAAAGCAAGCAGGCAGAGTGTGACTTTTTTTTTTTTTGAGACAGAGTCTCTGTTACCCAGGCTAAAGTGCAGTGGCATGATCTTGGCTCACTGCAACCTCTGCCTCCTGGGTTCAAGCAATTCTCCTGCCTGTCAGCCTCCCATGTAGCTGGGATTATGGGCGCCCACCACCATGCCTGGCTAATTTTTGTATTTTTAGTAAAGATGAGGTTTCATTATGTTAGCCAGCGTGGTCTCGAACTCCTGACCTCAAGTCATTTGCCCGCCTCGGCCTCCCAAAGTGCTGGGATTACAGGTGTGAGCCACTGCTCCCGGCCAGAGAGTGACTTTTTTTTTTTTTGGAGACGGAGTCTTGCTCTGTCACCCAGGCTGGAGTGCAGTGGCATGATCTCTGCTCACTGCAACCTCTGCCTCCCAGCTTCAAGCAATTCTCCTGCCTCAGCCCCCTGAGTAGCTGGGATTACAGGCCGCGCACCCGGCCACGCCTGGCTAATTTTTGTATTTATAGTAGAGATGGGGTTTCACTATGTTGGTAAGGCTGGTCTGGAACTCCTGACCTTGAGATCTGCCCACCTCGGCCTCCTAAAGTGCTGGGATTACAGGGGTGAACCACCGCACCCGGCTGAGAGTGACTTTTAAAGACCTTTCACAGAACAGCCTTGTATCAGTTTCCTCTGGCTGCTGTGACTAATTATCACAAACTTAGTGCCTTACATCAACACAAATTTTATTCTCTCACAGTTCTGGAAGTCAGAGTTCAAGATCGTCTCACTGGGCTGAAATCAAGGCGTTGGTAGGGCTGCATTCCTTCTGGAGGCTCTAGTGGAGAATCTGTTTCCTTGTGTTTTCCAGCTCCTAGAGTCACCCGCATTCCTTGGCCCCCCTCAGAGCTGGCAGTGCAGTATCTTCAGATCAACCTGGAGTCCCTCTGACACTTTGCTTTTCTCTTTGAAAATCCCTTTCTGACTCTTTTAAGGACCCTCATGAGGATCCTTGGACCCTTGGGCCCACCTGGATAACCCAGAATAATGTCCCCTTCTCAAGACTTTAACTTAATCACACATGCAAAGTCCTCTTTGCCATGTAAGGCAACATATTCACAGGCTTCAGGGATCAGGATGTGTACATCTTGCAGCGTGAGAGGGCCATTATTTTGTCTACTATTGGCTTCTTTGAAAGGCAGTTCTTTCAGTCATGTGGTGAGAACAGAGGGGACTTGCTTTAAATGGAAAAGACAGTGGCTGAGATGGGATTTGAATCCTAGCTTAGGACCCCCTGTTTTTCCACTGCACTAGGATTTGAAGGTGAACTTTTGAGGGATTCTTGCAATGCACATCATAGCCTTTTTGGAGAGGAAGCAATGAGATAAAATTCTAAGCCCAGAGGGTGTTGGAAGGACCAAATGAAAAATTGTAGAAACCATATATTGAGTTTGCTTTATGCAAAGACTATGGTTAAGTGGTAAAAGGCCTTACTTCACGGAATCATTCCCGGAACACAATACAGTGGGGGCAATTCTTAGCTCGTTTTTACAACTAAGAAGACCAAGACTAAGGGAGATTAAATAATTTGCCCAAGAAAGCAGTGAAACCAGGGTGCAAAATGAGGTCTGTCTGATGTCAAAGCCCACGTTCTTCATGACTGTGGTAAAGGGGGAGGACTCATAACACACTTTTCTGATAGGAGAAAATTCTACTGTTCCTTTTGATTTACCTGCAAGGCTAAGTTAATTCAATAACATTCAGAGGGGATTCAAGATGGCTGAATAGGAACAGCACCGGTCTGCAGCTCCCAGTGAGATGGACGCAGAAGGTGGGTGATTTCTGCATTTCCAACTGAGGTACGTGCTTCATTTCACTGGGACTGGTTGGACAGTGGGTGCAGCCCATGGAGGGTGAGCTGAAGCAGGGTGGGGCATTGCCTCACCTGGGAAGTGCAAAGGGTCGGGGAATTTTCTCCCCTACCCAAGGGAAGCCGTGAGGGTCTGAGCCTGAGGATCTCTGAGCCTGAGGATCTCTGGCACAGATACTGCACTTGTCCCACGGTCTTCACAACCACAAATCAGGAGATTCCCCTCCGGTGCCTACCCCACCAGGACCCTGGGTTTCAAGCACAAAACTGGGTGGCCAATTGGGCAGACACCGAACTAGCTGCAGGAGCTCTTTTTTTCCATGCCCCAGTGGCACCTGGAATGCCAGTAAGACAGAACTGTTCACTCCCCTGGAAAGGGGTACTGAAGCAAGGGAGCCAAGTGGTCTGGCTCGGTGGGTCCCACCCCCATGGAGCCCAGGAAACTAAGATCCACTGGCTTGAAATTCTCACTGCCAGCACAGAAGCAATCTGAGATCCACCTGGGACTTTTGAGCTTGGTGGGGGGAGCGGCATGCGCCATTGCTGAGGCTTGAGTAGGTGGTTTTACGGTCACAGTGTAAACAAAGCCGCTGGGAAGTTCGAACTGGGCAGAGCCCACGGCAGCTCAGCAAGACAGCTGTGGCCAGCCAGCCAGATTTCTCCTGTCTGGACAGGGCATTGCTGTAAAGAAGGCAGCAGCCCCAGTCAGGGGCTTATAGCAGATTTAAACATCCCTGCCTAACAGCTCTGAAGGGAGCAGTGGACCTCCCAGCACAGCGTTCAAGCTCTGCCAAGGGTCAGTCTGCCTCCTCAAGTGGGTCCCTGACCCCTGTGTATACTGACTGGGAGACACCTCACAGTAGGGGCCAACAGACACCTCATACAGGAGAGCTCTGATTGGCATCTGGCAGGTGCCCCTCTGGGTCGAAACTTCCAGAGGAAAGAACAGGCAGCAATCTTTGCTGCTCTGCAGCCTCCGCTGGTGATACTCAGGCAAACAGGGCCAGGAGTGGACCTCCAGCAAACTCCAGCAGACTGGCAGCAGAGGGGCATGACTGTTAGAAGGAAAAGAAACAAACAGAAAGGATTAGCAAGTCCACTCAAATACCCCATCCTAAGGTCACCAACATCAAAGACCAAAGGTAGAGAAATCCACAAAGATGGGGAAACACCAGCGCAAGAAGGCTGAAAATTCCCAAAACCAGAACACCTGTCCTCCTCCAAACGATCACAACTCCTCACCAGCAAGGGAACAAAACTGGATGGGGAATGAGTTTGATGAACTGACAGAAGTAGGCTTCAGCAGGTGGGTAAGAACAAACTCCTCGGAGCTAAAGGAGCATGTTTTAACCCAATGCAAGGAAGCTAAGAACCTTGAAAAAAGGATAGTTAAATTGCTAACTAGAATAACCGATGTAGAGAAGAACAAAAATGACCTGATGGAGTTGACAAACACAGCATGAGAACTTTGTGAAGAATACACAAGTATCAATAGCTGAATCAATCAAGTGGAAGAAAGGATATCAGAGATTGATGATCAACTTAATGAAATAGAGAAAACAAGATTAGAGAAAAAAGAATAAAAAGGAATGAACAAAGCCTCCAAGAAATATGGGACTATGTGAATAGACCAAATCTACATTTGATTGGTGTACCTGAAAGTGACAGGGAAAATGGAACCAAGTTGGAAAACACTCTTCAGGATATTATCCAGGAGAACTTCCCCGACCTAGCAAGACAGGCGAACATTCAAATTCAGGAAATACAGAGAACACCACAAAGATACTCCTCAAGAAGGGCAACCCCAAGACACGTAATCATCAGATTCACCAAAGTTGAAATGAAGGAAAAAGTGTTAAGGGCAGCCAAAGAGAAGGTCAGGTTACCCACAAAGGGAAGCCCATCAGACTAACAGTGGATCTCTCTGCAGAAACCTTGCAAGCCAGAAGAGAGTGGGGGCCAATATTCAACGTTCTCAAAGAAAAGAATTTTCAACCCAGAATTTCATAGCAAGCCAAACTAAGCTTCATAAGCGAAGGAGAAATAAAATCCTTTACAGACAAGCAAATGCTGAGGGATTTTGTCACCACCAGACCTGCCTTACGAGAGCTCTTGAAGGAACCACCAAACATGGAAAGGAACAACCAATACCAGCCACTGCAAAAACATACCAAATTGTAAAGAACATCGACACTATGAAGAAACCGCATTAACTAATGGGCAAAACAACCAGCTAGCATCATAATGACAGGATCAAATTCACACATAACAATATTAACCTTAAATGTAAATGGGCTAAATGCCCCAATTAAAAGACACAGACTGACAAATCGGATAAAGAGTGAAGCCCCATCAGTATTCAGGAGACCCATCTCACGTGCAGAGACACACATAGGGTCAAAATAAAGGGATGGAGGAATATTTGCCAAGCAATTGGAAAGAAAAAAAAAGCAGGAGTCGCAATCCTAATCTCTGATAAAACAGACTTTAAACCAACAAAGATCAAAAGAGACAAGGGCATTACATAATGGTAAAGGGATCAATACAGCAAGAAGAGATAACTATCCTAAATACATATGCACCCAATACAAGAGTACCCAGATTCATAAAGCAAGTTCTTAGAGACCTGCAGAGACTTAGACTCCCACACAGTAATAGTGGGAGACTTTAACACCCCACTGTCAATATTAGACAGATCAATGAGACAGAAAATTAACAAGCATATTCAGGGCTTGAACTCAGCTCTGGACCAAGCGGACCTTATAGACATCTACAGAACTCTCCACCCCAAATCAACAGAATATACATTCTTTTCAGCCCCTCATCACACTTATTCTAAAATTGACCACATAATTGGAAGTAGAATACTCCTCAGCAAATGCAAATTGACACCCTAACATCACAATTAAAAGAACTAGGGAAGCAACAGCAAACAAATTCAAAAGCTAGCAGAAGACATGAAATAACTAAGATCAGAGCAGAACTGAAGGAGACAGAGACACAAAAAACCCTTCAAAAAAAATCAATGCATCCAGGAGGTGGTTGTTTGAAAAGATTAACGGATAGACCAGTAGCCAGGCTAATAAAGAAGAAAAGAGAAGAATCAATTAGATGCAATAAAAAATGATGTAGGGGATATCATCACTGATTCCACAGAAATACAAACTACCATCAGAGAATACTATAAACACCTCTATGCAAATAAACTAGAAAATCTAGAGAAATGGATAAATTCCTGGACACATACACCCTCCCAAGTCTAAGCCAGGAAGAAATCGAATCCCTGAATAAACCAATAACAAGTTCTGAAATTGAGGCAGTAATTAATAGCCTATCAACCAAAAAAAAGTCCAGGACCAGACGGATTCACAGCTGAATTCTACCAGAGGTACAAAGAGGCGTTGATACCATTCTTTCTGAAACTATTGCAAACAATAGAAAAAGAGGGAATCCTCCCTAACTCATTTTATGAGGCCAGCATCATCCTGATACCAAAGCCTGGCAGAGGCAAAACAAAAAAAGAAAATTTCAGGCCAATATCCCTGATGAATATTGATGCAAAAATCCTCAATAAAATACTGGCAAACCGAATCCAGCAGCACATCAAAAATCTTATCCACCGTGATCAAGTTGGCTTCATACTTGTGATGCAAGGCTGGTTCAACATATGCAAATCAATAAACGTAATCCATCACATAAACAGAACCAATGACAAAAACCACATGATTATCTCAATAGATCCAGAAAAGGCCTTTGAAAAATTCAACACCCCATCATGCTAAAAATTCTCAATAAACTAGGTATTGATGGAATGTATCTCAAAATAATAAGAGCTATTTATGACAAACCCACAGCCAATATCATACTGAATGGGCAAAAACTAGAAGCATTCCCTTTGAAAATTAGCACAAGACAAGGATGCCCTCTCTCACCACTCCTATTCAACATAGTATTGGAAGTTCTGGCCAGGGCAATCAGGCAAGAGAAAGCAATAATGGGTATTCATATAGGAAGAGAGGAAGTCAAATTGTCTCTGTTTGCAGATGACATGATTGTATATTTAGAAAACCCCATTGTCTCAGCCCAAAAGCTCCTTAAGCTGATAAGCAACTTCAGAAAGTCTTAGGATACAAAATCAATGTGCAAAAATCACAAGCATTCCTACACACAAATAACAGACAAGCAGAGAGCCAAATCATGAGTGAACTCCCATTCATAATTGCTACTAAGAGAATAAAATACCTAGGAATACAACTTTCAAGGGATGTGAAGGCCCTTTTCAAGGAGAACTGCAAACCACTGCTCAAGGAAATAAGAGAGGACACAAACAAATGGAAGAACATTCCATGCTCATGGATAGGAAGAATCAATATCATGAAAATGGCCATACTGCCCAAAGTAATTGATAGATTCAATGCTATCCCCATCAAGCTACCACTGACTTTCTTCACAGAATTGGAAAAAACTAAAGTTCATATGGAACCAAAGAAGAGCCTGCATAGCCAAGACAATCCTGGGCAAGAAGAATAAAGCTGGAGGCATCACACTACCTGACTTCTAGCTATACTACAAGGCTATAGTAACCAAAACAGCATGGCACTAGTACCAAAACAGATGTATAGACCAATGGAACAGAACAGAGGCCTCAGAAATAACACCACACATCTACCACCACCTGATCTTTGACAAACCTGACACACACAAGCAATGGGGAAAAGATTCCCTATTTAATAAATGGTGTTGGGGAAACTGGCTAGCCATATGCAGAAAACTGACACTGGACCTCTTCCTTACACCTTATACAAAGATCAACTCAAGATGGATCAAAGACTTAAACGTAGGACCATAAAAATCCTGGAAGAAAACCTGGGCAATACCATTCAGGACATAGGCATGGGCAAAGACTTCATGTCTAAAACACCAAAAGCAATTGCAACAAAAGCCAAAATTGACAAATGGGATCTAATGAAACTAAAGAGCTTCTGCACAGCAAAAGAAATTATGATCAGAGTGAACAGGCAGCCTACAGAATGGGAGAAAATTTTTGCAATCTATCCATCTGACAAAGGGTTAATATGCAGAATCTACAAAGTTAAATAAATTTACAAGAAAAAACAACCCCATCAAAAAATGGGCAAAGGATATGAACAGACACTTCTCAAAAGAAGACATTTAGGCAGCCTACAGACACATGAAAAAACGCTCATCATCACTGGTCATTAGAGAAATGCAAATCAAAACCACAATGAGGTAGCATCTCACACTAGTTAGAATGGCAATCATTAAAAAGTCAGGAAACGAGATGCTGGAGAGGCTGTGGAAAAATAGGAATGGCTTTTACATTGTTGATGGGAGTGTAAATTCATTCAACCATTGTGGAAGACAGTGTGGTGATTCCTCAAGGATCTAGAACTAGAAATATCATTTGACCCAGCAATCCCATTACTGGGCATTTACCCAAAGGATTATAAATCATTCTGCGATAAAGACACATACACGTATGTTTCTTTCAGCACTATTCACAATAGCAAAGACTTGGAACCAACCCAAATATCCATCAATGATAGACTGGATTAAGAAAATGTGGCACATATACACCATGGAATACTATGCAGCCACAAAAAAGGATGAGTTCATATCCTTTGCAGGGACATGGATGAAACTGGAAATCATCATTCTCAGCAAACGATCAGAAAACCAAACACCACATGTTCTCACTCATAAGTGGGAGTTGAACAGTGAGAACACATGGACACAGGGAGGGGAACATCACACATTGGGGCCTGTCGGGGTGGGGGTTAGGGGAGGAATAACATTAGGAGAAATACCTAATGTAGTTGACGGGTTGATGGGTGCAGCAAACCACCATGGCATGTGTATACCTGTGTAACAAAACTGCACGTTCTGCACATGTAACCCAGAACTTAAAAGTATAATAAAAAAAAGAAAAAAATAACATTCAGAGGATGGAACAGAAATGTATGGAGAATTTCTAGGCACAGAGAGGTTGAATAATTTATCCAATGTCACACAGCCAGGCAGAAGCAAGGCCAAGAACAGATGCCTGAAGCAAATCAATTTTTGGGACCTTTGTGTTAAGGGTCTCAACCATAAAGATGGTGCATGTAAAGGATGCTAGGAGAAGTGGCCCCTCCATTCCTCAACACCCTCTGGAGGATAGAGAAGGACACACATGGAGGTATCATGTGAATTGAAGATAGTAGGACAAAGTCCAGTGCTCTGTGGCCAGCAAAGCCCTCCATGATTCCCTGATCCTGCCTTGTAAGCACATCTCCTGCCTCTCTCCTTCAACTTGCTATGCCCCTGCCACAGTGGTCTTTCTGTTTTGCCAACACTCCAAATTACTTCCTAGCTTAGGGCCTTTGCATTTCTTACCTGCTCTGTCCTGGTTCTTGCATGGCTGGTAACCTCTTGCCATTCAGGCCAGTCACCTCCTCAGGAGACCCTCCCTGAATACCCAATTGCTTTCCACTCTCTGTCATATAGCGCTGTTATTTTTTGTTTCCCTGAATTTACTACTATTTGATTTTCTTATTCATTTACTTTTTTAAAATTATTTGTCTCTACCCTGCACCCCCTTTAAGCCTCATTGAATGCGGGAGGGCCAGGTTTGATTATTTACAGCTGTGTCTCCCAGAGCCTGGAGCATGGTATGCCTTGAACACATTTGTTGAATGAATGAGTTGACTAGGTAAACAAAGATGGAGGGACAATATTCTAGGACTCTTGGTGGAGGAAACAGCCTTTACAAAGCCATGGAGTTTTGAGAGAACAATGGGCAGCAAGGGTGGCCAGCCATCTGGTGTGGCCGCAGGATCAGTGCCTACATGCAGAGTGGAGCTGAGCTGTTGAGATGGGCAGGGCCAGCTCCCACAGGGTCTTGAGGGCCAACGCAAAGAGCTTGGAGTTTATCCTGACAGATTGAAAGCTGCCAAAGGATTTTGAGTGGGGGTGTGTCATTGTCAGATTCATATGATTTATGGATCATTTTGATTGAGTATGAGGAATAGATTAGATCAGGGGAAGGCTGGAGGCAGGGGTAATAGGTAGGAGGGTGTTACATAGTCCAGATAACGGGTAAGAACTTGAATCATTTGTTTAGCCTGAAGATGGCAGCAGATGCTGCCAGTGCCCTGCCCTTCCCGCTTCATGCCTGAGGCGCCCTGTGGCAGGGACAGGCACCTGGAGCGCTGCCTGCTGGCCTGTTCTTGGCTGCCCAAGGGCAGGTCTGAAGTGCCTGGATATTAACACTTGGGAGCAGCCTCAGCCAATAGCCAATGCTGAAGGATAAAGCCTCAGCCTCCTCAGACCCCAGGGGACAACTCTGAAGCATATTCTGTGCCATCTCTCTGATGTCCTCAGGACACTGAGCCTCAGTTGCCCATAGTGGTAACCTGGTCATTGCAGAACCCTTCCTATAGCAGTTTCCTCCCCTTCCATTCTCACTTTCTCACTCTCTTCTCAGTGTATCTGGGATCACCTACCAAAATAAGCCACTTATATTCAAATTCTTGTCTTGGGGTCTACTTCTGGAGGATTCTAGCTTAAGACATTGAGTGCATTCAGGCTGCTGTAACAGAATACCATAGACTGGGAAGCTGATAAACAACAGAAATTTATTTCTCACAGTTCTAGAGGCTGGGAAGTCCAAGATCAAGGTGCTGGCTGATCCAGTGTCTGATGATTGCCCACATTCCTGTTCATAGATGATGTCTTCTCTCTATGTCTTCACCTGGTAGAAAGGGCCAAAACATTCCCTTGGGTCTATTTTATAAGACACGGATCCCATTCATGAAGACTCTGACCTCATAACTTAATCACCTCCCAGAGGCCCTGCCTCCTAATACCATCACATTTTGGTGGTTAGGATTTCAACATGTGAATTTTGGGAGGGACACAAACATTCAGATCACAGCAAATGCTGCTTCTCAAATACACCATACACATTCCTGTTTTAGGACCTTTGTGTTTGCTGTCTCTGGGTCGTTCTTCCCCTAGGTTTCCAGAAGATTCACTCTTTTATCTCTTCAGATCTTTACCGAGCTATCACCTTGATTATCATCAGGTTGGGTTGGGTTGTGTTATGCTGAAGTAACAAGCCCTTAATTTCATTGGCTTAACTACAAAAGATGTATTTGTCTTCATGCTGCATGCCCTTTGTGGTATGCAGGGCTGCTCTGCTCCACAGAGTCACTTGGGACTGAAGCTGATGGAAGCTCCATTGCATCACAGATTCCACAATCACCACAGCATAATAGGGACCATGGAGAAGTGATACTCATCACTTGTGCTTATATAGGCCAGAGCATGTCAGTGGCTGCACCTGGTAGGCAGCAGAGAAGTGCAATCCTACCTTAAGAACAGGAGGCAGCGAGCTGGAAATATTTGGGCAACAACCCCAGTGACAGTTCCCACATCACAGGAGAGTTTGTTCTGATACTCTGTTGAAAAATGGAACCTCATAGGTGCTGGTTGTGCTGAGTGCCTTGAAATGGGTGCTGGTTACATGGGTATTAGTCCATTTTAACACTGCTATAAAGAACTACCCAAGACTAGGTAATTTATACAGAAAAGAGGTTTAATTGACTCACAGTTCTACATGGCTAGGGAGGCCTCAGGAAACTTACCGTCATGGCAGAAGGCAGAGGGGAAGCAACGTGGCAGCAGGCAAGGGAGAGACAGAGAGCAAGGGGGGAACTGCCAAACTTTATTTTATTTTATTTGAATATTATTATACTTTAAGTTTTAGGGTACATGTGTACAATGTACAGGTTTGTTATATATGTATACATGTGCCATGTTGGTGTGCTGCACCCATTAACTCGTCATTTAGCATTAGATATATCTCCAAATGCTATCCCTCCCCCCTCCCCCCACCCCACAACAGTCCCCGGAGTGTGATGTTCCCCTTCCTGTGTCCATGTGTTCTCATTGTTCAATTCCCACCTATGAGTGAGAACATGCGGTGTTTAGTTTTTTGTCCTTGCGATAGTTTGCTGAGAATGATGGTTTCCAGTTTCATCCATGTCCCTACAAAGGACATGAACTCATCATTTTTTATGGCTGCATAGTATTCCATGGCGTATATGTGCCACATTTTCTTAATCTAGTCTATCGTTGTTGGACATTTGGGTTGGTTCCAAGTCTTTGCTATTGTGAATAGTGCCACAATAAACATACATGTGCATGTGTCTTTATAGCAGCATGATTTATAATCCTTTGAGTATATACCCAATAATGGGATGGCTGGGTCAAATGGTATTTCTAGTTTTAGATCCCTGAGGAATCGCCACACTGACTTCCACAATGGTTGAACTAGTTTACAGTCCCACCAACAGTGTAAAATTGTTCCTGTTTCTCCACATCCTCTCCAGCACCTGTTGTTTCCTGACTTTTTAATGATCGCCCTTCTAACTGGTGTGAGATGGTATCTCATTGTGGTTTTGATTTGCATTTCTCTGATGGCCAGTGATGATGAGCATTTTTTCATGTGTTTTTTGGCTGCATAAATGGCTTCTTTTGAGAAGTGTCTGTTCATATCCTTCGCCCACTTTTTGATGGGGTCATTTGTTTTTTTCTTGTAAATTTGTTTGAGTTCATTGTAGATTCTGGATACTAGCCCTTTGTCAGATGAGTAGGTTGTGAAAATTTTCTCCCATTTTGTAGGTTGCCTGTTCACTCTGATGGTAGTTTATTTTGCTGTGCAGAAGCTCTTTAATTTAATTAGATCCCATTTGTCAATTTTGGCTTTTGTTGCCGTTGCTTTTGGTGTTTTAGACATGAAGTCCTTGCCCATGCCTATGTCCTGAATGGTATTGCCTAGGTTTTCTTCTAGGGTTTTTATGGTTTTAAGTCTAACATTTAAGTCTTTAATCCATCTTGAATTACTTTTTGTATAAGGTGTAAGGAAGGGATCCAGTTTCAGCTTTCTGCATATGACTGCCAAACTTTTTTAAAGCATCAAATTTCATGAGAACTCACTCATTATCATGAGAACAGCATGGGGGAAATGGTCCCCATGATCCAATCATCTCCCACTAAGTCCCTGCCTTGACATGTGGGGATTACAATTCTAGATGAGATTTGGGTGGGGACACAGAGCCAAACCATACCAGGTATGTTCACTTTGAGAAAATCTGTTACACTTATGGTTTGATCACTTTTCCTTACATGTAGATACTTCAATGAAAAGTTTAAAAAGTGCATTCCTGTACTTACTATGCCTTTTCCTACCTTATTTTTCTCCATAGCACTTATCGCCATTGAAGCTACCATGTATTGTACTCTATTCTGCTTGTCTTTTCCATTGGAATGTAAGCTCTATGAAGAGAAGACATTTTCAAGGTGGTTTTTTTTTTTCCATCCAGTCTTTCCCTGCTGTTTGACCAGCATCTGGCGTAGAGGAGGCAGTCAATATATATGTATTAAATAAATGAATACTTGGAACCAGATGTGATATTCAAAGTATTTCATAACTAGAAGGTACAGGCATGATCCAGTTGGGATGGATGCTCATTGTAAACAACTGGTACAGCCTTTTGGGCAAACCGGTTGAATATTAGCCCTGGCTGAGACACTAAGTGCAGCAGCTGGAAATCTTATACTCTCCCTTTAACAGTGTATTAAGCATGTTCGGGGAACAGGCATTGCCAAAGTGAAGGTCTCGATTACTGTAGCTATAATTTGCAGAAGGAAGGGGAACTCACACCTCCTGAGCATTTAATCTTGTGCCAAGTCTTGGGCTGGCCCTTTTATGACTATTATTTAATTTAACTTCATGGCTGATGTTGTTTTATTTCAAAATAAACCCAAATTGCCTACACCAGCATTCTTTTTCCTCTGGGCCTCTCCTTCCCTCTCTATGTGCCCACTTTAGCCATGCACCTGGCAGGTAAAAAGGCACTCCTGAGACCTCAGTTGTTGATTAAAACCAGGTTAGGAAAAGTGGCTTCCATGTGCATCTGACTGGGACCAGACCTCCAGCAAAACCATGAAAGGTCACACCAAGACAGCCAAAGAGCACTCTTTTTCTATCTGTTTCCACACCTCATCTTTTCCTGTCACATGTGACACCTAGAAGGCTTTACACTGAAGCCGCCTGGTTGGCCCAGGGGTTCATAAATAATGGCCTAGAAGCAGTTATTCTTTCAACTCATTATTATTGTTTTATTGAAGTAGTGGCTCGAGAGTGCTAACTCTGCTTTTTATGAATTTTGGCTTGCTTCGAGACCAGGCCTCTGGGTCTGGCTTGGAAAATAACTAGAGTTAACCTCACACACTACCCACTCAGTCTCTTTTTAATTCATTCACTGGACTCCCCATGAAACTTGAGGAGTCAGTCCAAGAACTCTGTGGGACTTGGGGTCTGTTATCCTTTAAAAAATGGTTCTTGGTGGTGATGGCCCCAGAAAAGAATAGAGTCTTCAGGATCAATAAGTTGTAATAACTCTTACCTGGGGAAGATGATTTCATTTTTGTATTCTTGCCCCATCTTTGCAGGGTGTTAGAGCTGAAAATAAATTGATTATTTAATTCAGTCAGTCAATTGACAAATTATTATTGAACATCTCTCCCTGTACCAGGCACTGGATCTGGAGCTAGGGATGCAGCAGCAGACATGGAGATGATGCCTTTATTCCATCATTCATCCAGCAATTATTTACTTAGCACATACTGAAGGCTAGACCCTGTGCTGGGTGCAGAGAAAGCAGAGAATGATATGGTATAATCTCTGTCTTATAATCTAGTGGTTAAGAACGTGAGCCCGAGAGTCAGATGTGGGTTCAAATCCCAGATCTGCCCACTAGTAGCTGGGTGACCTTGGGCAAGTTAATCCAACTCTTGGAGTTTTAGTTTCCATATCTGTAAAACAGAGATAATAGTAGTACCTATCTTATGGAGCTATTGTCTTTGGAATAGTATTAGTAAATGTTCAGTAAATGATAGCTAGTTATTATTATTAATAATACTATGAGTAATCTAGTCAGATAGACAAATAGGCCAAATTTCACAATATGATAAAATCTATAATGCATGAAGCATCATGGAAACATAGAGAACAATACAGTCTTCTGATGGAACAAGGAAAGGTGACTAGGTGCAGTGGCTCATGCCTGTAATCTGAGCACTTTGGAAGGCTGAGGCGGATGGATTACTTGAGGTCAGGAGACCAGCCTGGCCAGCATGGTGAAACCCCATCTCTACTAAAAATACAAAAATTATCTAGGCATGGTGGTGGGTCCTTGTAATCTCAGCTGCTAGGGAGGCTGAGGCAGGAGAGTTGCTTGAGCCCAGGAGGCTGAGGCTGCAGTGAGCTGAGATTGTGCCATTGCACTCCAGCCTGGGTGACAGAGCAAGACTCCATCTCAAAAAAAAAAAAAAAAAAAAAAGAAAAGCCTTCACAGAAAAGGGATTTTCAGGGCTGGCGGTGGGGGGTAGGTAGGAGGAACTGGGGAAGGACAGCCAGCAAAAGGGAACAAGATGAGCAAAGACACACATGTTTAGAAACCCAATGTGTGATTGAAAAGACCAAGAAACCTTGAGGAGGAGTGACAGGAGGTGAGAATGTACCAGTGTAAGGCACATAACATGGATTCTGATCAAATCCTGGTTGGGCCACTTATCACCTCTGATGCCTTCTGTTAAGTTTCTGAACCTCTCTGGGTTTCCTGTAAAGGGCAACTGATAATTACACCCATGTCATACAAACAATTCATGTTTTCCAAGCCATCTCAACTTGGGAGAAAAATGGTGTCACTGAACTGTCAGAAAAGAATATCTTACCATTCTTTTTGTTTTTGGGGCTCTACAGACCAGTTCACAGTTATCCCCAACCGTTTCTCAAGCCTGTGTGCATAGAGTCCTGTCAGCTGCCTGGAGATGTTCGCCCCATTCTCCCCTTCTCTGTGGCTCCTGCTGAGTTGTTTCAGTTGTGTCAATGCCACTTTGGGCTCTCTGGTCAGACAGTTTGGGAACAGAATCCCATGCTCAGAATCATCCTGCTCCTCTGTTACACTGACCCGTTTCCCTGGACCTTATGGGCTTTCACTCTCTCTTCCAGTGCTCTTAAGCTGTGTGTGTGTGTGTAAATGTGTGTGTACCTGTGTGAATGTGTATATATACATGTAACAATGAATACATTTGGCAGTTTGGAAAAGCCTGTAAAAATCTCTTCCCATTGTCAAAGTCACAGATGCCACTAATACTACTGTGGTTTGCTGCCTAGATTCTAAATGAAAAAAACAAAGCCATATTTTGGTTATAGAGTAGTGAAAATAAAGATGTAATTTTTTCCTCTCTAAATTTATGGGCTTCCTGAATTCTATCCATCAGCACTTTGTAATATGTGGACTCCAGATATTCCGGATATATCTTATGAAGCATAATAAATGACCCCAACACTTAATGGCTTAAAACAACAGCATTTTATTCTATCTCACAAATTTGTGCACAGGAATTTGGGCAGGGCTCGGCTGGACAATTCTGCTGTTGTACATGGTGTTGCCTGGAATTGCTTAGTGGCATTTGTTTGATAGGTGGTCTGATCTGGACCCTCCAACAGACCAAAGAAGATGCTATAAATCCTCTTAAAAGACTAGACCCAGAATTGGCATAGCGTCACTTCTATCATACTCTATTTGTCATGGCAGTCACAGGCCAGCTCAGATTCAGGGGAAATGAAATAGATCCCACCTCTCAATGGATGGGATATTGAATTTATAGTCATCTTTAATCTGCCACACCAGGCTAAGAATCTTTGCTCCCTTAAGATGGCTCATTTCCTAGGTCTGTGGTCCCTCATGCAAAGACATACACCATCAATTCCAGAACATTCTTTTGGTAATACACATCAGCCCTATTCAATGTGGAAGGGGACTACACAAAGGAGTGAATCTCAGAAGGTGAGGATCATCGGGGACTATCGTGGAGGCTGGTTACTACGATACACTCTTTAGCACATAGAAGGTACTCATAAGATATTTCATGTCTTTGGAATGGAATTGATGGAAATGATAGCTTTTTGAATTGGATATAGAAGTCTGGACAATATTTTAATAGTTAGAAAAGACAGGATATCTAAACCAGTCATTTCTCTCATTCGCCCTCTGGAAATCCAGTTTCTATGGCGGCCTAAACAAGGAGTGTCTTGGTTCCTTACCAG
Source organism: Homo sapiens (assembly GCF_000001405.40). Taxonomy (NCBI): domain Eukaryota; kingdom Metazoa; phylum Chordata; class Mammalia; order Primates; family Hominidae; genus Homo; species Homo sapiens. The sequence continues at coordinate 106,198,576 of NC_000012.12, read as the reverse complement.
AGGAATGTGAGGGATGAATCCTATAAACTATGGGCTGGCCCCAAATGTCCTTGTTGTACATTCTCTTGCCACCCTGAATTTGTAATTTCTTATGTAACGGGATGTTAAATTTGACTTTTGGTGTTTTGGCAAAGTATCCAAGGGTTGAGACCATCTGTGCAGTACATGCTAAGAGATTGTGAAATCAGTTCTTGTTTTAAAAAGTTTTTAGGTTGTCATCCACATGGAGGACATTAATGGGAGAGGCCAGGGGACAGATTGAGAGAGAGCGGAGAGCAGGTGAGTAGTTCTGCTGTGAAAGTTGTCGCAGCATTGTGTGCGTGTGTGTTTGTGTGTGCGTTTGTGTGTGTGTGTGTGTGCTTCCCTTTCCCACCTCATGGGGGAAGAGAGGGGTGTATTTCTCTGCCCTTCCTCCAAGCCAGATGAGGAAGGCTTCTGAGAATCATTTGGAAAAATGCCTGGCACTGAAGTGCTTAGTGACTGGTGCACGACTCATGCCTGAAGGATCTGAAGGAGAGAGACTGAAAATTCTCCTGGCAGCCTTGCGCTTTCTCAGGCAGACACTTTATGGGGGGCTAAGATCATCCTAGGACTCAGCCTTGAGCTGTTAGAAACTATGTTGGTGTTTAAGCCTTTTAATGTGGGTGGGGGGAAAGAGGGGTGTCCAAAATCATTTGTGCTGAGAATCTGTAGTTCAATGGGCCAAGGCTGAGGTCTAATTGAAGAGAGGATTCAGAGGAGCTTGGTTAAAGTTTGGCCAAGGAGGGAATCTTCGTTGAGGGGCAAGGTGACCCCAACAGTGTCTAGGACAGACTGCTGGGTCTCTTCCTGGCCTTCTGGCTGAGATCAAGTGTAGGATAGAATGCTGGAAGGGAGGGGCTAGGTCAGCTGGAGGAGGCATGGCCTATGTCAGGGAATCGCAGGTGGCCAATTTCATCAATGGCAGAAGGGAGTGGAGAGGAAGCCTTCATGGGAGAGAGAACCAGCACATTGACAACTTCCATGACTGGGGACATTCAGTGAGTACAGATGGCCCTGGCTCTGTATAACTTCTCACCTTCTTTACCTCTCCAATCACTCCTTTCTGCTCCTTGGGCCTCTTGCCCTGGGCCCAGAGGAGCCTAAAGAAACACAGTAAATGAGGGAGGAGGATAAGAACCGGTAAAGAAACCCACGCAATCCCCTTCTCCCCTGCAGCTTCTGAGCAAGAGCCAGTCCCAAGCTAAAAAGTGGGGAAGACGTTTTAATTGGTTGAGATTGCAGCCTTACCATTAGAATGAATGAGACTTTATACATTATCCAAAACTGAGGCATTCTTTAATGCCTGAGTGACCACAATAGCTATAGGATCCATCTAAGATATGTAAGATATGTGGGGAATAGAAAGAGAGAGAAGATTTGAAGGAGCAGTGATGAGAAAATACAATTGCTTTCGCTGATCCCAGTTCATTCAGTAAGCTGGTTACAGTCTTTAAAATGTTCTTCTTTTCTGCTGGACTTTAAGCTCTATGAGGGTAAGAAACCATGATTCTCAGCACCAAGCACCGTGTGTAGCTCATAGTAGCTGCTCAATAGATATTTGTTTAATTGCACTGAGTTGAGTTGAAGGGTTTGGGCAAGAATTGGGTGAATGCGATGCCATGTCTAGCAATTTAGTGTGAGAGAGAGAGAAACCACACCTTTACCCCATTTAGGATTCCAGTGGAAGATGCATGATCCGATGGCGAGAGCACCACACAGCAAGCCCCAGGTTCTAGTCCAGGCTCTGCTGCCAATAGGCTGGTTACGTTGGGCACGTTAATAGAATTGCCTGTGCTTCAGTGTTTTGGTCTGGAAAACTGAAGAGGTCAGTTGGATTGGTAAGTGGATTCCAAACAGAGCTGTATATGAGAATCATATGGGAAACTCTGTAAACACCGATTCCTGGGCGTACTCCCATCCATCTGATTCAGTGTCTAGAGTAGGTCCCAAAATCTGTAGTATTTAGGGTTTCCTAGATAAATCTGATGCACAAGTCAGGTGAGGAACCACTGGTTAAGATGCTTGCTAAGGGCTGCTCAAACTTTGAAGGGTCCAAATTGCTTTCCTTGTCTGAAAAATGAGAATAGTGTTAGTATCTGCCCCATAGGGTTAGTGTCAGGATTAGGTTTGGAAGATGCTTGTGAAGGGTTGAGGGCAGCTTCTGGCACCTGCTACCCACTCAGGAAATAATATCCCATAAATTATAGAAATAAATGTTTGCCAATAGAGTAGAACTGTCAACTTTAAAATTGGTTTTAAACCCACAAATAGAATGTCAAATCTTTTCTTATTTTTGTTTTATTTTTTTACACATTTCTAGTCTGGGCCATGCTCTTTTTCCTTCTCATGTGTTTGTAATTATTTTCTTTCAAATGTTTTCTTGTCTCATTCCACCCACATCCCACGCTTGCAGTTGTGTTTCCCCTTATATTAAAATCATGAACATTTCTTACCAATTTTCTAGTTCTTGGGGCAAACTTCCACAAGTACCCGTGCCCCAATGTCCCTGAAATGAAGTGTCTTAGAAAGTCCCTGGCATGCAAGACAAACTTTCTGTAAGTTGCACAGCAAGTCAAACAAGGACTTGGGGCAGTGGGTAACTGTGCTTCCGTGGTCAAGGCCTTCTGGACAGAGGGGTGGCTGTTGTCCTGGTGATTGTTGATCTTGGTCATGCTGCGCTTCTCGGCTGGTTTGCATTGCATCTTGACTTGGCCAAAGCCACACATTTTGTGCTGGGCCAGCAGTTGTGAAATCCTCGGCAGATCCAAGTGATATTGTATGTCTATTTTTAGCTGTGTGTCCTTGGGCCCACAGAGAATGGGGGTTCTGTGGTATTTCGCTGCCTCTCTCAGGCATTGCTGTCAGGGAGCTGACCTCATTTTTCACTCACCATCAGTAATTGACTACAGAGCCATCTCTGGACTTCTCTAGAACCATCTCAGACTTTCTGCCCACACCCTCCCGTTAAGGAGCAGCAAGTACATTGCCTGGCTTCTTGGAGGGGAGAGGAAATTGATTCTGGCCTAAGGCACTGCTCCAGTACATTTCTCTGTAGTGCAAAGCATATGCCAAAGACTAGTATATCTGAAATCCCTGCAGGTCCCTGCTTTTGATGAGCTGCTAAGCAAGGGGAAAATTAGAATAGGAGAGTGGGGTTGGGAGGCTTATTGCAAGTCTTTCAAACTCAGCACAAGGCAAGTTATGGAAAATGTGTCTGTCACTCACTTTCTCTGTTCTCACCTGTCCCATTGTAGCACTTAGCAGACTGAACTGTTAGTTGCATGTGAATTTTGTTTGCATTTCCTAGCAGATTATAAATGACTATGGCCCAGGCACATGGTGGTAACTCAGACAATACTTATTGAGTGAATTTTGAATAAGCTGCACGAGGGCTGGGTCTTGTTCAGCATTTATCTCCAGTTTCACATGAGACTTGGTGATGGTAGGTGCTCTGTAATATTTGTGAATGAGTGAATTTCAGCATCTGTGGCTTTGGATGTGGTCTGGCAGATGTTGTTTGAAATGCTGGCTCGACAGTTGTACACCCAAAATTGATCTGAGCCTCACTTGCATCATCTGCGTAATGGAAATAATAGATAATAGTATCTATCACGTAGTGCTATCTTTAGCATTGGAGGAGCTAATGTGCTAGGTAATGAAGCAATTAGGTAAACAGAGACTTTTAGAGAATCAATGGTGACTGGGGAGAAAGGATAACAGAGACATAGGAACAGAGGCAAAGATATAATGAAGGCCAGTGAAGAGAATATAATTTATCCACTTCCCTCAACTAGTAGCTGGTAGCCTAGCGCATCCTCTCTTCTGGATCAGAGATATAGCAGTCCAGCTGGGAAGACTGGAGAAGGTTCCTACCTGGTTCCAATATTCAGCATGGGGCACATAGGGTCCCCTTAACTCTGTTAAGAGAGCTTTTGCTAAAAGTGGTTCTGGGATGGGATGCAGGTCACTGAGTCCAGTGGAAACTCAGAATGTTGAGAAGCTGAGCACAGATCCAGATGCCCTGCCCCCATCAGTTCTGCTTGCACCAAGGTAAATGGGTTGTTTAGACAGTGACCGCTCCAAAATTCTTAGCATTTATAATCAGTTTACACACTTAGTGTTTGAAATATGTTATATAAAATATTTTATCAAAAGGGGTAGAGGGTGGAGAGAAACACGTAACTTGAGAAATATTTTTTACAAATGTCCACTTACCCAGGAAAATGTGTATAATAAAGATGACATATGTATCAAAACTCTCAGTGTCTCATTCCTTATAGATATTCAATAGCCATTACTTTTTCTTCTCTGTGGGCTTAAAAGCTGGTAGAAACATAACAAGACAAATCAGAATGAAAGAAAAGAGCCCCAAATTCCCAATTCCAAATCCAAATCAATAAATCTAAAAAATTGCAGTATTGTAATTTCTTATGCTTGCTTCCAAGGCTCTGTTCAATCACCCGGAACCAAATTTCTCTTAAGACTGGTGCCTGAAGAGAAACAAGCTCAAATAATGATTCTGGAGAACTTTCGCTTTTGCCCTGACCATCAGCCAGCTCTCTGTGCTAGGAAACATATTGCTCGAGTGAACTGAAGAGGACAAACAGAGGACAACCGTGAACAATCTTTCCTTACTTGCCAAAGTGAAACTGTAGGGGAGCAGCCTGGGGTGCAGGGAAGAACCCTGGACTGGGAGGCAGGAGACCTAGGTCCTTGCCTTTGCTCTGCCACTGGCAACCCCATGTGATTGTGAGCAATTTACTTAACTCATCCTGGCCTCAGTTTTCCCATCTGTCAAATGAGATGCTTGAAGCAAATAACTTCTAAAGCCTTGGCAGTGGATCATATTATTGTTTCCAGTTAGCCACTACCCTTCTCGTAAGAGGATTGTGCATTACTGCCCATGGCCACATAACTTTCAGTGCTTCCCATTGATGTTGGGTTTGGCCATGGACTTGCTTTCGTCAGTGGACTGTGGGCAGATGTGACAGAGCCACCATTCAGCAGAAGCTTTAAGAGCCATTGTGTGGTTCCGATACTGTTCCGTTACTTTCTGCCATGAGACTAAGATAGGAGCTGCTCTCCAGCCTGGATCCTGGAATGCAATAGACATCCGGAGTGGAGTCGCAGAGCCAGACCCAACCTGCAGCCAACATGCAATGTGAGCGAAAAATAAGCCTTTGTTGTTGTAAGCCATTGGAAGCTTGGGACTGTTCATTACTGCAGCCTTACCTAAGGAAAATGGACTTGTACAGTCTCCAGATTTGAAGTTCTGGGTCTTCCTGCTTCTACTGCAGGATATCCCTGATCATTCCTCTCCCAGCAGATGGCATGCTCTTTCTAAAACCAGATGTGATTGGCCCCAGTCCAGCGGTGATCTGGCCTAGCTGTATCTGGAGGTGCAGTAGCATCAGGACCCCATCTTTCTTCATCTCTTGACTCTGCTATGTTTGATTTCATTCTCAGCCTTTATATGGTAGCAAGATAGCTACTTTCTCTAGGCTTAAGCCCTCCTAGGTACAATCCAGCCTAAAAAAACCATCTTTTCATCAATAGTGCCCACACAAATCCCAAGATTTACTCTGGTTGAACCAGCTTGAGTGAATATCTATCCTGGAAGCACTCCCTATAGTCAGAGAATAGAATTATTCTGATGGATTTACTTCTAAGCCAATCACTGTGGCTTCAGGAATTCTGTGCTCTGATTGGCCGGCTCTACGTCACATGTCCCTCCTTCCTACCTCTAATTGTTGTAGAAAGGTAGTTCTCCAAAAGAAATCTGCACTACTATTGCCAGAAGAAAGGGAGTGGAAATGAGCAGTTTGGGTAGGGAAATCAGCAAATGAGCCCTACACTGATTATATCATTTGGGTACAAACTTAAAACACACACACACAATTTTCAAGATGGAATCCTGACTCTTGTTTACTTTGCTGACTCAAGTCTTTCCCCACCTCCAGTAAATCTTTCCCTCTTGGCCAAGTTTACTCCCTTAGAAGTCAAAAGATGCCTGGGCTAGTGGTTCCCTGAGGAACAATGAGGGCATGCCAACATAGGGTTAGGAAAATTGTGGCATAAATGTTTTGGTTAACTAACACTTTTTAGCACACACATTAAAAGTTCAGTGTTTATATCATCTCATTTGATGATTAGGGTCCGGTCTGAATCTGGGGCCCTCTGTGATGGCGAGGCCCAGGCTGAATGGGCTTCCACCCACACTCCCAAGCCCCTCAACTCCCTTCAGCTTAAGAGGCTCTCAGCAGCCACAACAATTACAGTGTCTGCAAAGCCTGTGCTTTTACAAATGCTATTCCCTAGCCTGAAATGCCATCCTCTTACCCCTTTCCTTTGCCTGGTTTATTTCATGCCCTTTAAACTCAAGCAAACAGTCATTCAAAAGACTGTGCTTGGATCCCCTAGTTCATAGGCCTTTAATCTTTTTATGTCTTGAACTATATTGTAACAAAATTGAATTAGTGGTATAGTAATACATATGCTTCATTATTAATGCATTATATAACAATATCCAGCAGCAGGTCTAATAACTGCCATGGTTTTCATGTAATAATGCACTTCAATGTTATTTCAAGGTTTCTGCCACCAATGAAATACGATATGACAATATCTGTGATTACAGTTTATGGCAAAGTCACAGGTACTGTTAATACCACTGAGGTTTGTTGCCTACATTCATAATAGAAGAGTGTGTTTCATTTCACTTAAAGGTTAGCAAACATTAAGACAATCTTTTTCTCTTCTATGTTCAAGGAGCCCCTAAATTCTATCTACAGGCTGTAGGTTAATAACTCTGCTCTAGTATGACTCAGATAGACATCCTTGATCTAGGACCTGGGAGCATTCTGCGTATGTCTCTGTATCGTAACTCTACGCTCCATTCTCTCAAAGCTGGACTGAGGCAAACAGGCACCCTAAGCCAGTGGATAACCTACCTCTCCATCATCCACCTGCAGGAAGTGTTGGGGTGATTGGAGGAGAATGGAAAGGAGTTTAAATCTCCTGGCAACCCTGAGCCTCAGCTCCACTCTCAGCTCAGTTCAGTGCTAGCCCAAACCGACATACTTCACCCAATAAAATACCCCACCCTCCTTAGAAGCAATCCAGTCTTTCTAAATGGCACTTTCCTAAGCTTAATCCTTGGAGGTCCAGTATTAGAGAAAGAGTTAGAAGCTTCTTTCTTCTGAAGCACTCTCTCAGTATTCAAAAAAATCTTCCCTTAGAAACCCAGTGCCCACTTTTCCTTCCTGATTAGAGGACTGGACTGGGGAGGGAGAATAACATGCAAAAACCTGTCATGATTTTTCCTCATTGTCTTTGTTACAAATGTTTTATCACCTAGAACAATTGCTTAGCGGGGTCTCTCCCTTAATCTGGCGTAACAGCAATCACCGATGTATTCACTAGTTCTCTGACTGGATGCATGTGGCGTGGACCATAGACCCCCAAATGAACACCTGCTGCCTGTATTTTTTAGGTGAAAGGATGCATATTCCGTCAACCAGAGGAGAACTAATAAATACTACCAGTTCTCCTAGAGCTCCAGGCCCATGTTAAATACTCAATATTTTGGGAAGAAAAACCTTTATGAAAAAGCAATGGTTAATGAAAGTGAAGATCTGAAGAATGAAAACCTAAAATACTTGATTCTTGCTCAGGCATAAGGCTTTCTCATTCAAGCATTTCATTTCGTCGAATCAGTCTTTCCTCTTATGCCCTCTCCTGCTCTGTCACTCAATACTATGTCCTAATGAAGTGGTTTTGTTTTATAATCTGGAACCAGGAAATGACACGGACCATAGACTCCCCAAATGAACACCTGCTGCCTATATTTTTTTCAGGTGAAAGGATTGACCCAGACTCTGTGAAGAGATGGAGAAAAAATTCATTTCACAACCTCAGAGTGAAGAGAATACAGGTTTTCATATATTTTCTTTTTATCACCACAAACTTAAAAAAGAAAAAGGCTGTGCAGCTTGTTTATGCTTTTATCCATGGGCCCTTCTACTCAGGCACTGGGATCCTCCAGCCCAATTATGTAGCAATTTGGTTCAGATTTAATTTGGCAGCTTTTTTGATGTGCCATTTTTGTTCCAGGCGGTCCATTGGTTTCTTTTTGGAGCCACCTGGCTCATCTGGCAATATGACTTTAATTATGGACTTTGGTTTATTGAGGTTTGAGGAGCTGCAGATTGTGGGGTAAACCAGATGTCCTAGCAGATGCCTGGTTTTTTCCGTAAGGTACTTAAAAATTTGGGAATAAGAGGCCTACTTTAAAATGTTAGGAGATTTTTATGTAAAAAAAAATATATATATGAATTTCCAGCCTCTTGGAAGGCCTGGCGATGCTGGGTCCACTATCGTACACCCCAGCGCCTGGCTCGTGTTGCACGGCCACTGCAGCCTTCAGGTGGGCTGTGGTTCTCCACCAGCCACCCTCTGGCCTCTATGCTTAAAACTTTTCAGGCTTCTTTTTGCTTTTAGGATAAAGACCAGATTCTTTCCACGGCCCACAAAGCCTGCACAATCTGACTTCTGCCTACTTCTTCGACCTCATCTTGGGCCAGCAATTGTAACAACAAACACACGTCCAGTGCTAAACATGTGCTGGGCTATTTCAATCATCAGAGCAAGCCTGGGAGGGAGGTACTATCATTATCCTCATTTGACAGGGGGAGACAGTGAGGTACAGAGAAGTCACGTAACTTATCCAAGGGCCCTCAGCTTGGAAGAGCCAGGGCTGGGATTCAAACCCAGGCAGCCAGCCCTGGGGAGCCTGGGCACTGAAGCACTCCACTCTCTCTCTCTCTTCATTCCAGTTGCAGGGGAGCCCTGCTACCGCTGGCCTTTATGGGTACTGTTTCTCCTGCCTACAGGGCTTTCCTGCCCTTCCCCAACCTTCCTCTACTTGATTTCCCTATCCTTCAGTTCTGGCTCCAATGCCATTTCCTCAGGGGAGCCTCTAAGTGTCTGAGTCCCCAGGGCTCCTAGTTTTGATTCCTTTCCTCTTGAGCAACACCCTCTAGTGGAAGCGTCGGCCATGATGGAAATGCTCTCTGTTTGCGCTGTCCAGTATGCAGCCACCAGCCACATGGGTTGCTGGGCACTTGGTTGGTGTGATGGAAGACTTGGATTATTCATTTGTTTAATTTCAATTAATTCAAAGTCAGTTCATAAGCCCCCTGTGGCAAGTGGCTTCCATATTGGATGGCACAGCTTTAGAGCATTCCCTTCACGTAGGAATGACGCTTCCTCACTCCTGTAAGCTTCTCAGTGTAGACACGGCATCTGTTGCCCCCCACTACACCCCGGACCCCTGAGACAGTGCCTGGCACAGCCCGGATACTGGCTGAATGGACAAACCCTGTAGCTTTTGTCTCTACCAGAGGAGAATGTGCTGGAGAGTGGCCGCCTGGAACCCCAGGGCAGAGGGTGCTGTGGTGAAGGCACAGACTTGGGGGTCAGAGCTGCGTTTGAACCCAGACCCCCAAATGTAGGAGCTCTGTGAGCCTCAGTTTCCTCATCAGGAAATAGAACATTTTCTACCTCAGAGCATTGTGGTGAGGAATAAGGGAATTTTTTTGGTAATAATAGCTGAGATTTATTGTGAGTTTCTCTTGTTTTCTAAGTTTTCCACACATTGTTTCATCCCATTCTCTCAGCAAGCTGAGGTGTGGAGGGGCTTGGTGGCTGGCACCCACGCAGGTTGGCACTGTGAGGGAGCTGTGTTTGAGCTGGGCAGTTTCTTTCCTCAGTGCTTGCCCTTCATCGTAAAGAGTCCAACTGGTGGCAGAAATCCCAGCGGTTGCCCACCCCCCTCTCGGTTCCCCCTCCCCCCTCTGGCTCTTCTCTGAGTCCAGATGCAGGAATGAGGCCCCCCGCCGACGTGTGTGAGCCCCTTCTAGGGGCAGCTCTGGGCAACCAGGGCCTCTGTGGTGTCCAAAGGGCTACGCCCAGCGGAGCAGGAGGACTTCGTCCTCACAATAGCCCTGGGGGCCCTGAGGGTCAGAGATGGGCAGGACGCCAGGTGGCCATGAATGGGCTGGTGACCCGGCCAATTTCTCAGGTGACCCCACTGCTGGCCCGACCTTGCATGCCTCAGTTGGTCACTGTGAGCCTGGTCCAGCTGTGTGAGGTCGGCCTCTCTCCCCTCAGGCAGGGCGGCTTCCATTTACACTCCTTGGGGACTCTTCTTTGAGGGACTCTGAGGCTGAGAAGGGAGGGTGTGGGGAGTGGAGAGGAGTGTGGAGGAGGGGCAAGAGAAGCCGGGAGAGAATGAGCTCTGTGGGTGAGGGGTCATCTCTGCTCAGGAACCAGGACATTTGGGGATTTCTAACCTCTTAGGCAGCACTGAGCCACAAGCTAAGGTTAATAATAATAACATTTATCAAGCACTTAGAATGTGCCAGCCACTGTTTTAATCACTGTACTCTTCAAATTAAATTCTGTGATTTAACCCCATTTGAGAGATAAGTGAAGTAAAGAACAGAGAGGTTAAGTAACTTGCCTACGGTCACACAGTGAGTGGTAGAGCCAGGATTTCAACCCAAGCAGTTAGACTTCAGAACCTAAATCCCTATGAAATTGCAAATCCAGATTATGTCATCATTTATGTGCTTGCTGGGAAGCCCAAAAGTTAGCTATCTGGTATACCCCTTTCTAGCTGGTACATCAGAATTTTAGGGAGCAGGAGTTTTGAGGATTTGCTCAAGGACATACCCGTGACTGAGATGGAGCTGGGTAAGAACCCAGTTTCTGACTCCTACTCTGGTCACACACTGAAGAAAAAATCAGGACTTGATTACACTAAGACAACCAGAATTCCACCTCCACTGTGATTGCTCCTAGAGACTCCAATTAAGTGTTTCCGGAAGCATGTCTATGGGATGGTCTGGGAAAGAAAGGTCCGGAGGGAGAGGAAGTCTGGACGATGTTGAGAGATTCATGGTGCTTATTTGCTGACCAAGGCACACTCTCTACATCAGTGTAATCACAACATTTTGGTAAAAGTGCTTGATTCAATAGAACTTAAAGACAGAGTAGCTACAGCTTAGCTTCAGAAGAAGGGGGTGGAAATTAGACACAATTGAGAGGGAGATGGTATGGGGGGAAATGCTGCAGACTTCAGAATTGGTAAACTCGGCTATAGACCTGCTGCTGTCCTGCCTGTGTGAGGTTGAGCTACTCCTTAGAGACTGTTTCCTCATATGGACAACAATGGCTCCAGTGTATGTGTGAGCACAGATGAGGTTGTTGAAATACCTAAAGCACAGGGTCGTCTTGACCAGTGATAGCTACAAATATTCTTAAAATAATTAGCAACAGTTCCAAAAGTGTTTTAAAGTCATGCGAATTCCTTGGAAATTAATGGGTACTACTTGACAAAAGCTTCTGTGGTCAAATAAGCTTAGAAAAAGCTTAGTTAAGCAAAGGGACACAGATTTCTTTTTGCAGAACTCACTGCCTTTAGGTTCTGGATTCATATTCAACTCCATTTCCAGTTATGTTTCTTACGATTCCCAATTCTGATATTTTAAAAGAGAAAACGTTGCTTTTCTATTTATGTTTTGAGAAATATTTCCCCCTTTCTTTTCCCTAAGTCTTAAAGTACTTGTAATCTTTTGTGGCACTTTGAATGATAACTAGTAAGGTATCCCGAGCTACAGCAATGATATGTGTATCACACATGGTGTCACGGGGACAAAGCCAGTATTTATTGAGTGCTTACTATATGCTGGTTACTTAACATACATAATCTTATTTACTTAATGCAAAAAATAGTAATTTTGTTATTCCCATCTTCTCATTTTATAGCCCGGGAAACCAAGGCTCTAGGAGCTCAAATATCCAAGGCAACTATGGAAGTTTATGGCCCTGCTGGGCTTAAAACCAAACTTTAGGCTGATTCCAAAGTGTGTGCTCCTGGGGTGGTGGACAAAACATGGAATTGAGGGATACTAGAAAATGAAAAGTAACCATATAGAGAAATGAACAGCTCCTTGGGCAATGAAATGCAAACAGAGGAGCCCCAGGAAAAAAAAAAATGAGTTAGCGGGGCCATATGCTTTCCCCTGGCTAGAGTGCTGGGGCTGGAGAGATGACTGAATAAATGAAGAACAGGGTCAAGTTGTCTAAAGGTTGACAAGCCAGTAAAATGACAGACTGCATCTGGATTAAGAGATGGAAAATGTGCATAATTGCAATAAATTGACCATTTCTACCTCCTTTGGCTGAGCCCTGGACCTTCCATGTCTTCACTTTGGATTAATTGTGATTTTCCTGCCTCGTTTCTATGTTATTTTTTCTAATTTCTGAAAAATAACTTTGAAGTCAGTTTCTGAGAAGTGGCTTTTTTTTTTCCATTTTACATTTTACATGGTGCTGTTTTAATGACAATATTACTTTTGCTAGCTGTGTGATGTCTCTGTGCTGTAAAAAAGTATCCCAGGGATCTGACAGACAATTAGGTCTGGGAATTCCCACTGCCAATCAATTCTCAGGCATTTTTCCCCCCTCTAAAATGACTCCAAAGCAGTTATTTTGTAATCTGTCAAACTGAAACAATAAAACTTACAGTATTGTAGTGTGGATTAAATGAGATAATATGGGCACAGTGCCCATACATCATCAATGCCCAGTGAGAACATAATTGTGTTACTGGAAAAGGGGTCTTGATCCAAGAGAGGGTTCTTGGATCTTACACAGGAAGGAATTCAAGGTGAGTCGCAGAGTGCAGTGAGAAGAGGTAGTTCATGGAAAGCTATTCTGTTACAGAGTAGGGCATCCTCAGAAAGCAAGTGGAGGAACGCACTGTCTTTAAATTTTTCTCATATGGGGTCTTGTCTATGTAAAGACTAAACTAAGCTCTGTCTACGTGTGGTGAGCAGACAGCATGACAAAATTGATTGTTCTATTGATTTAAAGAAAACTATTCTTGACATGTTAGTGTGTACATAGATTGAAGCGTAACTGTAATTATCCTAAAAGCACAACTTGTTATGGGTATTGGGACATCTGGACTTTCTGTAGTTGCAGGAGTGTGTCCTTGGAGGCATCTTTAAGCTGTTTCCTCAATTGTAACTATCTTATGACCATATGACTGGCAAAGAATGTGCCTGCTAGTTTTAAGATGGAGGTGATTTTTAAAACGGTATCACTCTGGCTTTCCTAGGTTCCTGTTTCCCTAACAGTAGCATGAGGTAGGTGCTCAATAAATGCCTGTCTGTTTACTCCATGTGTGTCACTGTGGCCACCCACTCCTGCCTAGCCCCAGGCCCTTTCTGCACCATACCCTGATAAAAAACATTCTTCTCCCTTGCAAATGTCCCTGGTGTCCACTCTGCTGTCTCCTGTGAGCCCTTGACCCAGAGCAGCTGCCCCTTGCCTGGCACCTACTTGCTGGACTGGCTGTTTGGCTGGGCCACTTTTCTCAGTATGCTCCAGTTCCGTGTCTTCATTGTCTGAGACTGGAATTCTGAAAAGTCAGGTTTTCTTTTAAATATATTGTTTCCTTTTTATTATAAAATGATCCACACTTACAACTGAAAGTATGGAAAATAGGAAAGAAGAAAAAATTAAATCTTCATTGGTCTAACAGCCAAATACAGTGACTGTAAATTCTTATGTCACATTTTCTTGCATTTTTTGTCCACACGAAATGTGTTTGTTTGAACATAATTGGGATCATATAATACATAAATTGTGCACCTTGCTTTTTCCTATAATATTATAGCAAGCCCTTAAGATATGATCACAAACTCTTCTTTAGTGCGCTTGATAAAGGGCATCAAATACTCCGAGTAACCGGAGATATACTTTACCTCCTTCAACAGTTAAAGCCCATCATTTCTTTATTTCCTTTTTCTTCATCTGAAAGGTGTTTGTTGAAGGGCCCACACTGGGCCAGGCAGTATTAGATGACATAAAATATGACAATATGACGTAAAGCTTCTCTAATAGTATACACAGTCCTGGGGTGAATTTTGTACATAATGAAACTTTTTCCAAGTTTGAGGTATCTTCCTAGGCTGATATCTCGAGGTTCCCAGGAGTTGGTGGCAGTTGACTGTGGTTATTAGTAGGAAGATCTTAGGTCTCTAAGTTAGACAACCAGGTCCTGACCCTGGACAAGCCACATGTACTCTCTGAGCTTCAGTTGCTCATTTCTAAAATACTGGTTAGAAAGCCTCCCTCCCAGGGTTCTCGTAAGGATCAAATGGTCCATGCTGGAATAATGCCTGGTAGGTAGTTACCATTTAACAGCACACACAGCGACAAAATATCTCATTAGGTTTGAGGGTATGACAATTTTACTCTGTAGGCTTTCTATCAATAAGGGATCGAGGCATCTCTTGGCCACCCTCCTTGAATATCACCTCCCTTCAGCTCACATGGGTGTGAGAGGTTAACTATCCTCTTTCCTCTCCTCATTTGCCCAGGAACAAATCTCTGTGAGGCCATAGGGAAGGAAGTGGGCTCTGAGGTATTATCTAAAAAGAACCAAATTAACTGCTCACCCTAAGCCATCTCCCCGACTGGCTTCCACGGTGCCCAAGATCACCATTAGGTAGACTTCTCCGGCTTGAGGCAGTGGGCATGGCCTAGAGGCAAGAGCTCTGGATTATTCCCAAAGGGTAAAGTCTGAAATCAATCTTGGCTCTGGAAGAGGCTTGGACAGAACCTCTCAAATCATTTCCTTTGCCTGGAGGAGCCAATGTGCTCTTTCCCCAAAGCTGAGAGAAATCACAGGCGTGGGAAGGCCCCTGGCCCATATGGTGTCAGTTGAGTGTGACTGGGCTTGGCTGCAGGATCACTGCACCTCACTCAGGAACAGTCTTCCACTCAGGTATGGCCAATTTCTGCCCTATAGGACTCTTCCCAAGTACTGCCAGATCTTTTGATTTTTTTAAGATAAGGACAAACATCTGGATTTAAAAACAAAATAACCTCCCAAGTTTTAAATGTTAACAAATTCTTCCCTTTCCTTCCAGATTCTTTCTAGTTATCCCCTCTTCTGGGGAGTCTTCCCTTATCCCCCAGCCACCACTGTGCCCACACACCCTCTGCCTTGCTCCATCATTGCACCTCATCACCTTGTAGGACCTCTCATGGGCTGCTTACCTGCCCATCACTCAGGTTTGTCCATGAGTTATGTGAGGGCAGCCTCCTGGCCTGACTTATTCGGTGTCCTTGGGCCTAGCGCAGGGCCTGGAAAGTAGAGGTGCCCAATACACATCTGTAGAATGAATCAATCATCTATGACTGATGAAGAGCTAACCAAAGAGCCAAAGCAGGAAGATATTCTGTTATGATGGGGAGCTTGCAAACTTAAAAACCAAGCTGGTCAAAAAAATAACAACAATCCCTGAAGCTGACTAGACTTGAGGCTGTAGGTGTCAAACTGTTTGTATGTGAGTGATCTCATTTCTGTCTCATTCCCTGGGCAGCTCCTCTGCCATCCTTGCATATTACAATTTTTTTTTTTTTTGAGACGGGGTCTTGCTTTGTCACCCAGGCTGGAATGCAGAGGAGCAATCACGTCTCACTGCAGCGTCAACCTCCTGGGCTCAAGCAATCCTCCCACCTCAGCCTCCTGAATAGCTGGGACTACAGCACACATCACCATGCCTGGCTAATTATTGTGTTTTTTGTAGAGATGAGGTTTTGTCATAATTGCCCAGGCCGGTCTCAAATTCCTGGCCTCAAGAGATCCACCCGCCTTGGCCTCCCAATGGGTTGGGATTGCGGGTGTGAGCCACTGTACCCGGCCACCCTGGCATATTCCTAAATGGAAATGGATTATACATTATACTCTGTAGTGACTTTACCCATGTATAAAGACAAGAAAAAGAAACAGGATACAAGTTTATACCAATTATTAGGGTGGTCAGGATATTGATGAAGTTCTTTCCATAAAAAAATGCATTACTGTTATGACCATTAATAATTTGTTTAGTTGGAAATGATTTTGATATTGGAAAAATGCCAAAAGGTACAGAGAATATCAGAACAAACATCCACGTACTCACTGCCTTGAATTGCTGTTAACATTTTATTTTACTTGCTTCAACTATTTTTACACCCCTGAAATTTAAAAATTTGAAGATAAAGTTGAAGTCCTCTTTTCCTGTCTTTCTCAGTCTACTCCTCTCTCCTTCCTCTCTCTACCTTACCTACCTTACACACCACATGCACCTGTGACATGCATATAATATGTGGGTTTCCTTCCCCTCTTTTACACTTGACAATGTCATTTCAAACAATAGATAAAGTGAGAAAACAAAATAATTTTACTTCTTAAACCAAATTCCTGTCCTGTTAGATGCCGGAATGAGGGGCCTAAAATCTCAGTTTTAGGGACTAGAATTTTCCAGTAGGCATCGCTAGCAAGAGAGTATTCCTTGCCGGGTAGTGTTATATATGTTAATTGGGATTACCCATGTTGAGTACTACCAAAGAAACGACAAACTTATTTAAAGTTTATAATAACATAGTCCCCTTTAAGTACATAATCTCATGTAATCTTTCCGGAAGCCCATGAGGAAGGCATTTCACTCCCATTTTACAGATGAGGAAACTGAGGCTTAGGCGAAGTGACCTCTGCAGTTATTCAGCCAATATCAAGCATGGCTGGATTTGAACTGAGGTCTGTCAGGCTCCAGTGCTCATGAGAGGAGAGACAGCTGAGTGACACAGGCTGGAAGTGACTTAGCCTTGCTGGTTGAGGTTCTTGTTCTCATTAAATAAGACTTCTATTTGGTGCTCTGTTTTCTTTCACTTGCTCATAATTTTCCTGAAAATTTCTCTCCTTAAGGCAACATTTTTCATCACAGAAGGTGATTTGTTTTGGAAAAGTTGGAGTAAAAACAGCTCTGTATTTCTTCATTTTCAGAGAATGGAAAAACACGTGTTATTCTGTTGTGTTTTTAATAGCTACTTGAAGAAATTACACAAGACACATTAATTATTCTTCCCCGTGAATCACCCCAAATGCCATCCAAGTTTTCCAAAGAATCATATGGAACGTGAGTTAAGAAAATGACTAATTTCTCAACATATTTATTCTCTATATGAAATCTATGTCCTCTGCTTTAGAAAAGTAAATGTGCTTGCTTTTTTTTTTTTTTTTAATAATTTGGAGTTATTTAACATTGTCCAAGGAACGCTGACGTCCAGGTGCTTTTGGGGCATTCAAGTAGACATGGTTCCTATCTATGGGATTTTCAACTTTAAAATCTCATAAGAGGCTGGGTGTGGTGGCTCACGCCTGTAATCCTAGCATTTTGGGAGGCTGAGGAGGGTGGATCACCTGAGGTCAGGAGTTCGAAACCAGCCTGACCCACATGGTGAAACCCCATCTCTACTAAATATAAAAAAATTAGCTGGGTGTGGTGTTGCACAGCTGTAATCCCAGCTACTTGGGAGGCTGAGGCAGGAGAATCATTTGAACCCAGGAGGTGGAGGTTGCAGTGAGCCAAGATTGTGCCACTGCACTCCAGCCTGGGCAACAGAGCAAGACTCCATCTCAGAAAAAAAAAAAAATCTCGTAAAATGGGCAAAGATATACAAAGCTGTATGAACTCATAATAATGGCTAGTATTTATGGTGTTTTGCAATTTAAACAGCTCATTCACATGGAGTATTTCATCCAATAACCCTGTGAGATGGAAGAGGGGACACTAATCTCTGTTGTACAGAACAGGCAAGCAGAGTGCTCTGTGATTGAGGGACTGGATTAGGGCACCTGGCTGGTGAGTGAAGAACTGCTCCTCCAACAAAAGTCTTCTGACTCCCAGATCTGTGTCCATTCCACAGGAAGGCTGATTAGGGTTTCAATCCTGACCCTGATGCTGGCCAGCTGTGTGCCCTTAACCAGACACTTAACCACTCTGAGCCTCATGTCTTCATCTGTGGAAGGAGCAGCTAGGATGCTTGTATCAGATGGGATATGAGAAGAATCCGTGAGCCTAGGAGAGATCCAAAAGAACAGATGTCTTAGATCAGACTTAGCAGAAAGTGGGGCTTATTGGGAGGATCCTGGTGTGGCTTATGAAAACTAAGGGTGCACGTGCATGCTCTCTTTCCTCCTTCCCCACTTCTCCCCCAGACCCTGTGGCCTCTTATCTCCGCTCCTCATTCTGCCTGTTTTCATCTTTCCCTCTTCCCACAGTCTTCCCCCACTTCTGTGGACACAGGACATACAGTGGCCGCTTCAGCTCTTATCTGTCAGCTTGCTCCAAGAGGCAACAGTAAAGAACTGGAATTTCTTTTTTTTCTTTTTTTTTTTTTGTAGAGATGGGGGTCTCACTATGTTGTCCAGGCTGGTCCTGAACTCCTGGGCTAAAGTAATCCTCCCACTTTGGCCTCCCAAAGTTCTGGAATTACAGATGTGAGCCACCGTGCCTGGCCACAAGGACTGGAATTCCTGAGTAGCAATTACAAATTTTAGCAAAACAAAATCCAATTGGCCTAGCTTGGGTCAAGGTTCTTGGAGAGAGGGCCATTGTGGGAGCACGTGTCCAGTGGTCAACAGCATTTAATAGGCCCTTAAGTACCCATCAGTGTGTTTACTGCCATGACCAGGTCAGATTTTTAAAGCTACTGTTAATTGAGTGTTTCTGTAAGTCAGGGACTGTGCTTGGCATCAGTGATTTCATTTCATCCTCACAATAACCATTTGATGGATGCATAATAAATCCCAAATTTTTACATATGAGGAAACTGAGGCTTAGATGATAAAGCCATTTGCCTGAGATGCATAGTGCATAGGTGATAAGAGGCAGAGCCAAGATTTGAACAAAGGTCTGTGTGACTCCAGATCAGGCGCAATGTAACCACCTGCCTATAAGACATTTATTGCTCATCTGAATGTTCAGGAGTGAATGAAGGAATGAGTGTATTTCTTCCTAGCTCTGCTATCTTTCTGGGTTTCAATTTCCTCATGCCTAAAACAGGACTAAGTTATTTGAAAGTCCTGTGCTCTGCCTCCTATAGAAAGTTTCACGAGGCCAAATTGAGCCCAGATGAGGGGTTCTGAAGGGTCAGAAGAGCTGTCTAAATACATGAGGTGCTATTATCATTATTGGTAATGACGTTAAAAGGCTGTTTTGGTCACAGGTTGTGCGAACAAATACTTGACAGATGGTGCTTCCAGAGCACTCCCAGGGGCCTTGTTAATGTGGGATTTTCCACTGAGTGCAGTCCTATTTCAAAGTTCTGTTTTGTTTTGAAACCAGAGAGCCAGTGAGAAGCCTTGGTTAATCCTGGATACGGGCTGAGCAACTCAACTAGCTGAGCATGGGGCAAGCCTTTTATCTAGGCCTCAACCTTTGGTTGACCTGGGAAGAGAAACTCTCAGTCCCAAAGACAGCTGGCCACAGTTGACCAAATGTGAGCTGCAGGCTTATTGCAGTTCCCAGAAGCCTCTGGACTGAGCTGAGCCACTTTCTCTGCCTTATCTAGATATGCTTTCTTTTGGCCAGGTGTGGAGGGGAAGGGGGATCATAGCATATTGCAGTTGTAGGGACCTTAGAACCATCTAATCCAACTAATCTTCATGTTGCTAATCATGACACAAAGTCCAGAGACGCTTAGTATCCTGCCTAACATCATGCAGAAAATTAGAAGACAGCTAGTAACAGAACTAAGGACTTCTAACCTCTAGGCCCGGGGCTGTTTACCAACCCGCAGAGGCTGTTGACCGCAGCTACCTGAGGGCCTCAGCTGAGGTGGGAAGCGGGGGAAGGATTGGATCCAATTTCACATCTCAGTGACTGGTTCTCCCTCTGGTGTGGACAGAGGAGATTCTGTCAGAGGAGATTCTCTGCAGAAGCAGCCACAGTCAGTGACCTGGCTGACCCTGGCTAACCGGCTTTGAAATGCAAGAGAAAGTTGATTAGGGTCTGATTTCTGCCTTCAAGACTGCCCCAACCACTGCCTGAAATTCCTCCATTAATGCCCCTCTTTGGGGATGCCTCTCTAGGATTTCACTGTTTAGAATGTGCATACCCCTGGGAGCAGTGACACTTTTCCATCCGCTCTGCCTGAGCGCCTCGGGATTCCAGCAGGTCCTGAGAGAGGATCAAACAAAACATTTGGGGGTGTGGTGGGGTGCGGTGACGGGAGAGAGTATAGAAGCGAGGACTTGGGTTATGGAAAACAAACTTTTCTACCCATACTGTGGTGACAGTCGGACGGCTCTGTGGGCCTGGCCCCTGCCTGGGTGAGGGGGCACTTGCCCTTCTCACCTGATGGTCTTGACCTGACTTCTAACTTCACCGAGGCAGCCTGGGAAATCCAGGTTCTCCTCAGAATTTCACCTGCCTTTGACTCCTCTCACAGATGTGGGGTAAGGGTTTTTGGGGGGCACTGCACCTGGGATCAGGAGCTGCTGGGAACAGGGGCCCAGGCAGAGGGCCAGGTGCTCCTTCTGGCCATTTCTGGGGCGTGGAAGGCCTCTTAAGGGTTTTATGCTTAAGGCTTCAAGTTGGCCCCGGCCAGAGTGCACAGCTGGTGCTCAGTGGCTATGACGGCCGTGAGAGAGCTTGGGGAGGGAGTCTTTGCAAAGTCAGGGAAAGCCCTCCTCATTCTTGTGTGATTTCAGGGGAAAAGAGGAGCACTACCTGACCCCTAAACTTGCTCCCTCTGTTGGCTCTGCCTTCCCACAAAGGGATTTCTTTGAAAAAATAGCGTCTGACAAAAAATAGCCTCTTCCCACCCTAATGGCGGAGCAGCGCCCCACCGTCGCCTCTCACCCTCTCCTCCAGGGAAAGGAAGACTCTGCTGTCTATTCATTTATCCCTGCCCTGCCAGTCCATTCTCTGTTAAAAGGCTATTCTAAGTCTGAACCTCTTGAGAGTGTGAAGAGCTGGTGGGACATATCCAAGTGAAGAGAAGGGAGCATTGCGGAGGCCTGGCCAGGGTTCAGGAGCAAACAATGGTGACACTCTAAGACTACCCACAGCTGGAAGACTCACCTCTCCTAGGAATGCAAGGAGATTTGGAGAGGCTGTGGCCACGGAAAGGGCTACAGGGTAAGATCCATGGCCACAGGAGGACACGGAAACTGCACTTCTCACCCTCTGGTCTTTGCTGGTGCTTCCCACGGACTGTGCCCAACAGAAAGCCAGAGGTGAGGGGAGCCCAGGGGATGCAGTCCCCAGGGGTCAGCCTTCTAGGACCAGAGAAAGAACAGAGAATGGACTGGCGGGGCAGGGATAAATGAATAGACAACAGAGTCTTCCCTTCCCTGGAGGAGTGGGTGAGGAGGCAATGGTGGAGCGCTACTCCACCATTAGGATGGGAGACAGGCGGGGCACGGTGGCTCACGCCTGTAATCCCAGCACTTTGGGAGGTGGAGGTGGGCGGACCACAAGGTTAAGAAATCGAGACCATCCTGGCCAACACGGTGAAACCCTGTCTCTACTAAAAATACAAAAATTAGCCAGGCGTGGTGGCACGTGCCTGTAATCCCAGCTACTCGGGAGGCTGAGGCAGGAGAATCACTTGAACCTGGGAGGCGGAGGCTGCAGTAAGCCAAGACCGCACCACTGCACTCCAGCCCAGCAACAGAGTGAGACTCTGTCTCAAAAAATAAAAAAATACAAAAAAAAAATAAGGAGTGGGAGACAGAGGCCAACTATGGCACTACTCCACAGGTAGAGAAAGCCCCCTTTATCTGTGGGTTTGCTTTCCATGATTTCACTTACACCAACCACAGTTCCAGAAATAAATGATTCTGACATATGGTCAGAAGGTCAATAGCAGTCTAATGCTACGTCATGATGCCTGTGTCATTCGCCTTACTTCATCTCATCATGTAGGCATTTTATCATCTCCTGTCTTCACGAGAAGGGTGAGTGCAGAACAAGAAGGTATTTTGAGAGAGAGAGAAGAAAGAGACACACCACATTCACACAACCCTTATTATAGTATATTTTACAATTGTTCAATTTTATTTTTAATTATTGTGGTTAAGCTCTTAACTGTGCCTGATTTATAAGTTAAACTTCATCATAGGTATGTATATATAGGAAAAACATAGTACTGCATATATAGAGTTTGGCACCATCCACAGGAAGGTATTCCCCACAAATAAGAGGGGAAAGACTGTAAATAAAAGTCAGGAGTGGAGAAAAAGCCCCTCCCCCATCTTTCTCTATCTCTCTCTCTATATCTATCTATCTATCTATCTATCTACCTACCTACCTGTCATGTATATCTGTCTATAAATTCTAGGGAAAAATCAGACGCCGTCTAGAATAGCAGCAAGTGCAGGCTTTAGAACCAGGCCACTGAGTGCTGGCTGGGCCACTCAGCAGCTGTGTGAGTTTGAGCTGTTACTTTACCTCTCCAAGGCTCAGTTTCCTCATTTTGCAATGGTAGCAATGGTAGTTAGGAGAGTTAGATGACTGAATATGTGCAAAGTGTTTGGAACAGTTCCTGGCACATGGTAGGTAGCTATGTCAACAATTCTTCTTTTGTTTGCTAAAATTTTTTTTTTGATTGTGAATGAAGACATTGCCAACTTACATATATCATTTTTATTTGGAGTATTTTTTCACCTTGCAGTGGTCCTGAGAAATTAAAAAATGCATTAACTTTAGCTCTATAAATAACACAACTTAATATTAAGGTTGGATTGGAAATTTCCCACATTTAGATATTTCACTAAAAATCAAAAGACAATTTATCAGTTTTATGTAGCGAAATCTTAATAAGTATTTAACTTTTTAATAAGTTAAAAGATAAAGACTGGCAAATAATCACAAATGTCAGAACATTAAAGTAGCATTTTTTTCCATAGGAATATATAAAATAAATATCACCTATCCTTACTTGATATTTAAAAATCAGGTTCAAATGCTTTCAAGTTTGATGCGTGATAGCATTTTCTAAATAATTCTTGTTACTCTTCTGTCCCTGAAGACATAGCTTTCCCCCCCATCTATTGATTGGATAAGTATTTTGATAGTTTCTGTACTCTTTTCAATTAACCATTAAGAGGGTAAAAGGAACCAAAGGCTTTATTTGGGGGAATATTGGACGTTTAAATTGGCTAGTTGGAAAGAAGCCATTCCTTTTTTCCTAAGGTTTTGTTTAGTTTTGTTTTTTCTTCCTTTCATTTTTTAAAAATCAAGAATGGCAGGAATGAAAATTCAGACAATTTGATCCAGTATTATGCTAAAATTAAATTCAATGGCTGGATGAATTTTCTACTACAGTATAGAGGTTGAAAACCATTAGGAATGTGGTGAAAAACTATGGCAGAGAAGGTGGAATTCAACCACAAATTCTGAGTGGATAGAGAAATAAACAGAAAAATGACTGTAGTTAAAATGTTGCAGTTAAACGCACTGTTAGCAATGTCCTCTTGCCAACATTAGAATTATATGCTTCATCACTGTCTCGTTACTAAGACGGTTCTGTGAGCAGGTGGTTCATCTCTGACACAACTAAGTTTCAGAAAAATCGATATGTTATATCTGGTTTAGATCAGCGAACACTAAGTATGCATACCAGTCAGCTAGAGTTTCAATGACACAATGGAAACATTAGGTAGTATAGCTGTAGGACAAGGTCACATACTTATTTAAATAGCAGCCATTTAATATCATGCTCTGTGATGTTTAGCTATGCTATCCACCCACAACAGCTTTTAAAATTATGTTAAACTATGGGATGAGACGGGGACAGGTTGTTTTGGTCGGAGAAGGAAATACTAAAAAATGTCACAAAAGGCATTTCAAGTATGATGACATACTACCTAAATACCATGCATATCTTTTTCAAATTAAAAGAGAAAACTTTTTACATATTCTATTTCTTAAAAATAAAGGACCGTGTGTGTGTGTGTTTAACTTAGAAACTAGTATTTCATTTGCTCCACACTGAAATGAAACTTCAATGGCAAGCAGCAAATAATGTAGAATAGTCAGTGAAAGTATCTTTGTTAGGAGTATATAAAAACCAAGGAGTAGGCCGGGTGCAGTGGCTCATGCCTGTAATCACAGCACTCTGGGAGGCTGAGGCAGGTGGATCCCTTGAGGTCAGGAGTTTGAGACCAGCCTGGCCAACATGGCGAAACCCTGTCTCTACTAAAAATACAAAAATTAGCCTGGTATGGTGGCACACACCTGTAATCCCAGCTACTTGGGAGGCTGAGGCAGGAGAATCTCTTGAACCCGGGAGGTGGAGGTTGCAGTAAGCCGGGATCATGCCATTGCACCCCAGCCTGGGTGACAAGAATGAAATTCCATCTCAAAAACAAAAAACAAAAAACCCTCCCAAAAAAGCAAGGGGTAAACAACTCATAGAGAAATAATAATGGGCAAAAAACCAAGAGGAGGCAGCTTGACAGTTCTAATACAGAACTTGTATGACCACTTCCTTTAAAGTATACTAAATAAAGAATGGCAATATAAATTAGTTATCCAAGGAGATAGGAGACATTCTGAAGCAGCATTCTCAGTTACTTCATTTTTCAGAAAAACAAGTTTCACCCATCAACGTCTAAATAAGACTTCTAGTCTTCCAAATATATTAGAAAGTACAGTTAATCACAGCAAAACTTGCAAACAACCGAATTTAGTTCTGGCCTGAGCCACGCCTATTTACATATTTGAATTTGTCTCATTTTCACCTTTGTTTGTTACACAAATGTTTCTATTTTAAAGGCATATAGAAATTTACAAAATTTGCAAGAAATGTCTTTTTAAATGTACAACTTCAACAACTAATAAAAATGTGAACATCCAGATACAGTTAAGTTTCAAGTCAGGATTTTTTTATGATGGGTTTATAAAAAATTAAAGAAATACTCTCTTCAGTTTCAGACATCTGGGTACTGGTGCTATCAAAGCAAATTCACTGCCCTCAGTCGCTACTGTGATGAGAGCAGTTGAGTCTCAGATTGCTGTACCTCATATATCAGGAAGTGGCATGTTCAGTGATATTGCTAATTATACTTATGTAGATGCAGCTGTATGGTTTAACACTTACATGAAAGTTGTATGAATTTGTGTAAAGAAACATGTAGTTTTAAGATGATGTCTTTAAATAGATATCTTAGCTGTTACAACTAAGTGATATATCTGCATTATATACCCAACAATAAAAAGGAACAAACTAGTGATACATCCAAAAACTTGGATGGATCTCAAGGGAGTTATGCTGAGTGAAAAAATACCAGTCTCAAGAGGTTACACATTGATTTCATTTATATAACATTCTCTAAATAACAAAATGACTGAGATGGAGAACAGTTAGTGATTGTCAGGGATTCAGGAGAGGGACAGGGAGGTGGCTATGATTATGAGAGGGCAACACAGGGGATGCTTGTGATGGAAGTGTTCTGTATCTTGACTGTGGTGGTAGTCACAAGAATCTACACCCAGGGCTGGGCACAGTGGCTCATGCCTGTAATCCCAGCACTTTGGGAGGCCGAGTGGGAGGATCACTTGAGCCCAGTAGTTTGACAACAGCTTGGCAACATAGTGAGACCCCATCTCTATTTAAAACAACAACAACAATAACGAAAGAATTTACACACATGCTGACATTGCACAGGACCAAATACATACTTCATCTCAGGGCACCAATGACCTTCCAGGGACCATCTTGTTGGCCTGTTTCCACAAAGTCCTCCAAAGATGATCACTATATGCTTCAGATCAACTTTCCACACTATGCAGAGAAGGCACTACTAGTATTTTTTTATTCTTCATTAAAAAAAAAAAAACTCTCTTGACAAACCACAATCTCTAGCTTAAATGTGCTTGGAAATCACAGAAGGAAATAGAAAGCTAACATATAGCTACTAGTATTTTTGTCTGTCTGTATCTTTGTAAATTAAGGTAAAAGATAAATCAAATGTTCCTAGCTTAAATTAAGTCAAATCAGAAGGAATAAATCAGATGATATAGCAAACACTTCCTCTTGACACCTGCAATTTCTAAAAGCATTAGGAATATTTTTATTAAATTCAGAGAAAGCATTAACTACAAATAAATACGTGACGTTTTCTAAAAGGCCACTTTGTGATAAAGTACATATAGTGTTCATGGTTTCTTTAAAGTGCTAGATTGTCTCTGGCTTGAGAATCATCTATTGTTTTCCAAGGTCTTTCAACACAACTCCAGCGCTGTTGTCAGGTAACACTGGCAAAGGTGTAAATGTGGGCCAAACATCTGAGATGGGTTTCAAAAGAAGATGCTGGGGCCCACCAGGTCCAAGTCCAGCTGGGTTAATAAGAGGTACAGCTGCCGAGCGAGGAGCCAAAACCGAATTTACCTCTCGTCTTCTACCTGACCTGGATTCTGCTGTATCTTTAAAACTTTCTGGTGCATTTGTGTCTAGTTTTCTCCTTCCTGGTGATTCTAGAGGTTTCATATCATGAACAGAAAGCTTTGGTGGTGGAACAGATGAATGAGATTCTGTTTCTAGAAATTTAACAAAACATTCTGAAAAAGAACTATTAAGCACAGATTGCTGATTTGGTCTCAAAGGTGTGTTGGGAACACTTTTTGATCCTCTTCCAAGCCACCCAGTCATCCACCTGGTAACACTGCCCTGATTGTCATGAAACAGCTGCTCCATCTCCTCCCTTCTGACCCCCAGGATGCTGCCCATCAACCGTAACACTTCGTGACGCTGATTTTTTGGCATGTGGAAATGACTGATGAAGAGGTTTCTCATTAGGACTTTGTCCACTTTTCCTTCTAGGCTGTTTGCTAAGTTCACCAATTTCTTTTGTACATCATCCAGCATTTCTTGTTGGAACTCATTTTGTTTTTTAAGTTCTTCAATTTGTTCTTCTTTTAGATCTAACTGTTCTGTAAGTCTTGATGCTGAATCCAATGCAGCATCTGCTTCATCCAAACGTTCCTGTAATGATATCACTTTTCTTTCCAAACTTTCTGCCTTTTTCTTCCATTCAGCTATAAGCTGTTTTTGCTTTTGTAGTTCAGCAGAATACATAGATTTTTCCTCTTTTTGGAAATGCTGTAGTACCATCTGCAGGTTGGCCAGTGACAGAGCATACTGCTTTACTTGTTGCTGAGAGGCAGAAAGCAGCGCAGTTTCATCCCTTTGCTTGGAGACTACATTCAATTGTTCTTGCAATGACTCTACCTGCACACTGGCTTGATGACTTGCATTTTCCATTGCATTAGAGGATGAAACTAGCTTTTCCTCCAATACTGTGACTTTCTTTCTTAGTTTAGCCTCTCTATGTTCTGAGGCCAAAGCTTCACTGGTATAAGAACCTTCTGATTCTAAAAGATGATTACGCAGTCTCTCTAGCTTCTGGTTTGACTGAAATTCTTAGTCACGTAAACATTGAACCTCTCTCTGTAGGGCAGTGTTTTCCATTTGTTTTTGTTTCAGGGCCAACATGACTTGGTCTCTCCTGTTGAAATACAACTGTCTTCTCCTGCACTGATTTAACTGCATTTAAAAGCTGTTTCTTTTCCACATTTAGCTGTTCTTGTTCTCTCCTCAAAATATCTCTACCATTTTCTGCAGAAGATAATTTTTTATTTATATCTTTTATTTTATCCTCAAGTTCCTCAATTTTTTTGGTAGACTCCACTTTTTCTGTTTGTAGAAGTTGAATAGTTTTTTTGCATCTCATAGACTTTAGAGTGATCAATTTCTGTAACTCCAGAGCTACCTTATTGTAACAGATTTTTGAGTTCTTCAGTTCGTTCTTCATAGTCACTTAATTCTTCTCGATGTCGTTGACTTATTTCTGTTGATGTGCATTGTGCAGTACTGATATTTCATGTTGATGGTCATCAATTTCCTGACTTTGGTTCTGTTTCAGTTCCTTAATGATATTTTGTAGTTTGCATGTTTTACTTTGGGCAGAGCTATGTGTTCCTCATGCTTTCAAAGTCTAAGCAATATGCCTCCAATAGCCAACTTCAGACTCAAGCCTTGAAACTTCATTTAAGAGTCGGTTTATTTCTTGTTGGGACAAAATTGTGTCCTCAAAGTCCATGTCATCATCATGGAAAGCTGAAGAATGATGACTAATCACATAAATGAATGAAGCTGCAGTGGTTGCTGGTACATCGCCAGCTGCTGAAGGTACTGACTGAGCAGCTGACCGCAGTTTCAGCAACTGATCCTGGAGGCAATCTGTCTGGCTTTAAGATGTCTGATTTCTACCTCTTTTTGTTGAAGTTGATTTCAACTTCAACAAAAAGCATTGTAGAATGCTTTTTAAACGTTAAAAAGCATTAATAAACAGCATTGTAGAATGCTGGTTTATTTGAAGCTCTGATGCTTCATATTTCACTTCTAGATCTGTACAAAGTTTCTTAAGCCTTTCATTCTCTGATCTCAAGATTGAATGAATGGCTTCAATTTCCTTTGTCCTGGAATCAGGTAATTCTGCTTCCACTTCCTCTGAGCCCTCCATCAGCATAACCTTTGTAAAGTTTGAAATCTGGCCAGTGAGGGAAGCCAGGCTGCCCCCGACTTGACCCAGAGACTGGCCCCATCTGGAGCCGAGGCTCCCAAGCCAGGACGACATCACGGCGACTTTAGTGAACTACCTGGTCCACTTGGAAAAAAAAGGTTTAGTGCCGTCGGATGATCCGACCAAATATCCTTGAATGCCTGCCTTCACGAGACTAGTCCAAAACACTCAGGATTCGATAACATAAGGCGGGGTTCCCAGGCAACGCCTGCTCCTAGTTCTGCTTAGAAACGCAGAGGCCTAGCCTGGGACTTTACCAGGTGCCCGCCTCTAGTGACATAGTCACCCATGCAGGGCTTCTGTTCATTCCCATGAATTCCCGTCGTCCAGATTGGGTCACTTCTTCATCTGCTCTAGTGAGTTTCTCCAGTTCCATGGGCAACTCCTGCCAACTTGACACCGCTCCCATGACACCTGCCAACAATTCTGCCAACAATTCTTTCTTTTTTTTTTTTAACTTTAAGTTCTGGGATACATGTGCAGAACGTGCAGGTTTATTACATAGGTTTACATGTGCCATGGTGGTTTGCTGCACCCGTCAACTTGTCATCTACGTGTTCAGCCCAGCATACATTAGGTATTTGTCCTAATGTTCTCCCTCCCCTTCCCCCAACTCCCCCACAGGCCCCGGTGTGTGACGTTCCCCTCCCTGTGTCCATGTGTTCTCATTGTTCAACTCCCACTTATGAGTGAGGACATGTGGTGTTTGGTTTTCTGTTCCTGTGTTAGTTTGCTGAGAATGGTGGTTTCCAGCTTCAGTCATGTCCCTGCAAAGGACATGAACTAATCCTTTTTTATGGCTGCATAGTATTCCATGGTGTATATATGCCACATTTTCTTTATCTAGTCTATCATTGATGGGCATTTGGGTTGGTTCCAAGTCTTTGCTATTGTGAATAGTGCCACAATAAACATACATGTTGATGTGTCTTTATAGTGAAATGATTTATAATCCTTTGGGTATATACCCAGTAATGGGATTACTGGGTCAAATGGTATTTCTGCTTCTAGATCCTTGAGGAATCACCACACTGTCCTCCACAATGATTGAACTCATTTACACTCCCACCAACAGTGTAAAAGCGTTCCTATTTCTCCACACCCTCTCTAGCATCTGTTGTTTCCTGACTTTTTGATGATCACCATTCTCACGAGCGTGAGATGGTATCTCATTGTGGTTTTGACTTGCATTTATCTAATGACCAGTGATGATGAGCTTTTTTTCATACGTTTGTTGGCCACATAAATGTCTTCTTTTGAGAAGTGTTTGTTCATATCCTTTGTCCACTTTTTGATGGGGTTGTATTTTTCTTGTAAATTTGTTTAAGTTCCTTGTAGATTCTGGATATTAGACCTTTGTCAGATGGATAGATGGCAAAAATTTTCTCCCATTCTGTAGGTTGCCTGTTCACTCTGATGATAGTTTCTCTTGCTGTGCAGAAACTCATTAGTTTGATTAGATCTCACTTGTCGATTTTGGCTTTTGTTGCAATTGCTTTTGGTATTTCAGTCACGAAGTCTTTGCCCGTGCCTATGTCCTGAATGGTATTGCCCAGGTTTTCTTCTAGGGTTTTTATGGTTTTAGGTTTTAAGTTTCAGTCTTTAATTCATCTTGAGTTATTTTTTGTAAAAGGTGTAAGGAAGAGGTTCAGTTTCTGTTTTCTGCATATGGCTAGCCAGTTTTCCCAGCACCATTTATTAAATAGGGAATCCTTTCCCCATTGCTTGTTTTTGTCAGGTTTGTCAAAGATCATATGGTTGTAGATGTATGGTGTTATTTCTGAGGCCTCTCTTCTGTTCCATTGGTCTATGTATCTGTTTTGGTAGCAGTACCATGCTGTTTTGGTTACTGTAGCCTTGTAGTATAGTTTGAAGTCAGGTAGCATGATGCCTCCAGTTTTGTTCTTTTTGCTTAGGATTGTCTTGGCCATATGGGCTCTTTTTTGGTTTCATATGAAATTTAAAGTAGTTTTTTCTAACTCTATGAAGGAAGTCAATGGTAGCTTGATGGGAATAGCAGTGAATCTGTAAATTAGTTTGGTTAGTATGACAATTTTCACAATATTAATTCCTCCTATCCATGAGCATGAAATTTTTTTTCCATTTGTTTGTGTCCTCTCTTATTTCTTTGAGCAGTGGTTTGTAGTTTTCCTTGAAAAGGTCCTTCACATCCCTAGTAAGTTGTATTCCTAGGTATTTTATTCTCTTTGTTGTAATTGTGAATGGGAGTTCACTCATTATTTGGCTCTCTGTTTGTCTTATTATTGGTGTATAGCAATGTTTGTAATTTTTGTACATTGATTTTGTATCCTGAGGCTTTGCTGAAGTTTCTTATCAGCTTAAGGAGATTGTGGGCTAAGATGATGGGGTTTTCTAAATATACAATCATGTCATCTGCAAACAGGGACAATTTGACTTCCTCTCTTCCTATTTGAATATGCTTTATTTCTTTCTCTTGCCTGATTGCCCTGGCCAGAACTTCCAATACTATGTTGAACAGGAGTGGTGAGAGAGGGCATCCTTGTCTTGTGCCAGTTTTCAAAGGGAATACTTCCAGCTTTTGCCTATTCAGTATGATATTGGCTATAATTTTGTCATAAATAGCTCTTATTATTTTGAGATATGTTCCATCAATACCTAGTTTATTGAGAGTTTTTAGCATGAAGGGGTGTTGAATTTTATGGAAGGCCTTTTCTGCATCTATTGAGATAATCATGTGTTTTTTGTCATTGGTTCTGTTTATACGATGGATTACATTTATTGATTTGCATATGTTGAACCAGCCTTGCATCCCAGGGATGAAGCCAACTTGATCATGGTGGATAAACTTTTTGATGTGCTGCTGGATCTGGTTTGCCAGTATTTTATTGAGGATTTTTGCACTGGTGTTCATCAGGGATATTGGCCTGAAATTTTCTTTTTTTGTTGTGTCTCTGCCGGCTTTTGGTATCAGGATGATGCTGGCCTCATAAAATGAGTTAGGGAGGAGTTCCTCTTTTTCTATTGCTTGGAATAGTTTCAAAAGGAATGGTACCAGCTCCTCTTTGTAACTCTGGTAGAATTCAGCTGTGAATCCGTCTGGTCCTGGACTTTTTTTGGTTGGTAGGATATTAATTACTGCCTCAATTTCAGAACTTACTATCGGTCTATTCAGGGATTCGACTTCTTCCTGGTTTTGTCTTGGGAGGGTGTATGTGTCCAGGAATTTATCCATTTCTTCTAGATTTTCTAGCTTAGTTGCATAGAGGTGTTTATAGTATTCTCTGATGGTAGTTTGTATTTCTGTGGGATCAGTGATGATATCCCCTTTATCATTTTTTATTGTCTCTGTTTGATTCTTCTCTCTTTTCTTGTTTATTAGTCTGGCTAGTGATCTATTTTGTTAATCTTTTCAAAAAACCAGCTCCTGGATTCATTGATTTTTTGAAGGATTTTTCGTGTATCTCTCTCCTTCAATTTTGCTCTGATCTTAGATATTTCTTGTCTTCTGCTAGCTTTTGAATTTGTTTGCCCTTGTTTCTCTAGTTCTTTTAATTGTGATGTTAGGGTGCCGATTTTAGATCTTTCCCGCTTTCTGATGTGGGCATTTAGTGCATAAATTTCTCTCTTAACACTGCTTTAGCTGTGTCCAGAGATTCTGGTATGTTGTCTCTTTGTTCTCATTGGTTTCAAAGAACTTTATTTCTGCCTTAATTTCCCTATTTACCCAGTAGTCATTCAGGACCTGGTTGTTCAAGTGTTCATGTAGTTGTGCAGTTTTGAGTGACTTTCTTAATCCAGAGTTCTAATTTGGTTGCACTGTGGTCTGAGAGACTGTTGGTTATGATTTCTGTTCTTTTACGTTTGCTGAGGTGTATTTTACTTCCAATTATGTGGTCCATTTTAGAACAAGTGCTATGTGGTGCTGAGAAGAATGTATATTCTGTTGATTTGGGGTGGAG
Source organism: Homo sapiens (assembly GCF_000001405.40). Classification (NCBI taxonomy): domain Eukaryota; kingdom Metazoa; phylum Chordata; class Mammalia; order Primates; family Hominidae; genus Homo; species Homo sapiens. The sequence continues at coordinate 106,166,116 of NC_000012.12, read as the reverse complement.
AGTTCTGTAGATATCTATTAGGTCTGCTTGGTCCAGAGCTGAGTTCAAGTCTTGAATGTCCGTGTTAATTATCTGTCTCGTTGATCTGTCTAATATTGACAGTGGGGTGTTAAAGTCTCCCACTATTATTGCATGGGAGTCTAAGTCTCTTTGTAGGTCTCTAAGAACTTGTTTTATGAATCTGAGCGTTCCTGTATTGGGTGCATATTTAGGATAGTTAGCTCTTCTTGTTGCATTTATCCCTTTACTGCTATGTAATGCACTTATTTGTCTCTTTTGATCTTTGTTGGTTTAAAGTCTGTTTTATCAGAGAATAGGATTGCAACCCCTCCTTTTTTTTTTCTTCCCATTTGCTTGGTAAATATTCCTCCATCCCTTTATTTTGAGCCTATGTGTGTCTTTGCATGTGAGATGGGTCTCCTTAATACGATACACCAATGGGTCTTGACTCTTGATCCAATTTGCCAGTCTGTGTCTTTTAATTGGGGCATTTAGCCCATTTACATTTAAGGTTAATATTGTTATGTGTGAATTTGATCCTGTCATCATGATGCTAGCTGGTTATTTTGCACATTAGTTGATGCAGTTTCTTCATAATGTCATTGGTCTTTATATTTTGGTGTGTTTTTGCAGTTGCTGGTACCAGTTTTTCCTTTCCATATTTAATGCTTCCTTCATGAGCTCTTATAAGGCAGGCCTGGTGGTGACAAAATCCTTCAAAATTTCCTTGTCTGTAGAGGATTTTATTTCTCCTTCATTTATGACCCTTAGTTTGGCTGGATATGAAATTCTGGGTTGAAAATTCTTTTCTTTAAGAATGTTGAATATTGACCCCACTCTCTTCTGGCTTGTAGGGTTTCTGCAGAGACATCCACTGTTAGTCTGATGGGCTTCCCTTTGTAGGTAACCTGACCTTTCTCTCTGGCTGCGCTTAACATTTTTTTTCCTTCTTTTCAACCTTGGAGAATCTGACAATTATGTGTCTTGGGGTTGCTCTTCTCAAGGAGTATCTTAGTGGTGTTCTTTGTATTTCCTGAATTTGAATGTTGGCCTGTCTTGCTAGGTTGGGGAAGTTTTCCTGGATAATATCCTGAAGAGTGTTTTCCAACTTGGTTCCATTCTCCCCGTCATTTTCAGGTACACCAATCAATCATAGGTTTGGTCTTTTCACATAGTCCCATATTTCTTGGAGGCTTTGTTTGTTTCTTTTCATTCTTTTTTGTCTAATCTTGTGTTTACGCCTTATTTCATTACGTTGATCTTCAATCTCTGATATCCTTTCTTCTGCTTGATCGATTTGGCTGTTGATACTTGTGTATGCTTCACGAAGTTCTTGTGCTGTGTTTTTCAGCTCCATCAGGTCATTTATGTTCTTCTCTAAGCTGGTTATTCTTGTTAGCAGCTCCTCTCACCTTTTATCAAGGTTCTTTTTTTTTTTTTTTTTTTTTTTTGAGACGGAGTCTGGCTCTGTTGCCCAGGCTGGAGTGCAGTGGCATGATCTTGGCTCACTGCAAGCTCCGCCTCCCAGGTTCACACCATTCTCCTGCCTTGGCCTCCCGAGTAGCTGGGATTACAGGCACCCGCCACCATGCCCAGCTAATTTTTTTTGTATTTTTAGTAGAGACGGGGTTTCACCGTGTTAGCCAAGATGGTCTCAATATCCTGACCTTTATCAAGGTTCTTAGCTTCCTTGTATTGGGTTAGAACATGATCCTTTAGCTCAGAGGAGTGTGTTATTACCCACCTTGTGAAGCCTACTTCTGTCCATTCGTCAAACTCATTCTTCATTCAGTTTTGTGCCCTTGCTGGAGAGTTGTTGTGATCATTTGGAGGAGAAGAGGCATTCTGGTTTTTGAAATTTTCAGCATTTGGGGGCTGGTTTTTCCTCATCTTCGTGGACTTATCTACCTTTGATCTTTGGTGCTGATGTCCTTTGGATGGGGTTTTTGTGTGGGGGTCCTTTTTGTTGATGTTGATGTTATTGCTTCCTGTTTGTCAGTTTTTCTTCTAATAGTCAGGCCCTTCTCTGCAGGTCTGGTGGGGTTTGCTGGAGGTCTACTCCAGACCCTGTTTACCTGGGTATCATCAGTGGAGGCTTCAGAACAGCAAAGATTGCTGTCTGCTCCTTCCTCTGGTAGCTTCCTCCCAGAGGGGCACCCACCTGATGCCAGCCGGAGCTCTCCTGTATGAGGTGTCTGTCGACCCCTGCTGGGAGATGTCACCCAGTCAGGAGGCATGGGAGCCAGGGACCCACTTGAGGAGAATTCCACTTATATACCTTAGCAGAGCTTGAGCACTGTGCTGGGAGATCCACTGCTCTCTTCAGAGCCGGCAGACAGGGACATTTATGTCCACTAAAGCTGTGCCCATGCCCACAGCTGCCCATTCCCCCAGGTGCTCTGTCCCAGGGAGATGGGAGTTTTATCTATAAGCCCCTGACTGGGGCTGCTGCCTTTCTTTCAGAGATGCCTTTCCCAGAGAGGAGGAACCTAGAGAGGCAGTCTGGCCACAGCCACTTTGCCACGCTGTAGTGAGTTCCCAACAATTCATTTTCATGAAGAACTAGCAAATAGTTGGGTAACACTTCCTAGTTAAAAAAAAAAAAGTGCCATTCACCAGGTTATGGAGGTGGGTCTGGGGTCTGCTTGCCCCAGGTTAGATTCAGGTTCTCAGTCAGAGACCCAGGGGTGATCCTCTAGGAGGTCTTTCGGGGGACTTTCTCTTCCAGTTCATTCCTTTGAAAATGGGAGGGAGTGATTCTCACCGGGGTACTAAGAATTTATCACATCCTGGCAGGCAAGAAGGAGATACTTACTTAGCCAGACCCAGAAAGGAGAGAAAAGGGAAGGGAGGGAAGAAAGAGGGGTAGGAAACTGCAGCAAAAGGCACCAAAGGGGATATGTGGGACCCAAAGACAAGTCCCATGGGGGCAAGTGGATACTGGGTTTCCCCTTCCACTCCCTTCCGCAGCTCTTCTCCGCCTGGACTTCAGTATGACTTAGTGGGGTCAGCCAGGCCTGCCTCAAATCCCTCTCTGCCCCTTCTGAGGTGGCCCCTGGGGCAAGCCACGAAAAAAGCCTCGGTTTCCTTACCTGTAAAATAAGGACAATAACCCCCTCATTTCCTTGTGGGGAGGTTAAATCCAGTAAGGCATCTGTGGCGCTTGCTAGAGTGCCTGGAACAAAACGTGAAAGCAACATTTGGTCAGGAAAAATAAAACCAAGGGCTTTGAATAGATATTTCTCCAAAGAAGATATACAAGTGGCCAATAAGCACACGGCAATATGCTCTGTGCTCAATATTACTAATCATCAGGGAGATGCAAATTATAACCAAAAGAAGATACACACACTGACACACACACCCATTATTATTTAAAAAAAAGAAAACACAACATAACAAGTATAGGTGAAGATGTGGAGACATTGGAACCCTTGTGCACTGTTGGTGGGAATGTAATATGGCACAGCCACTGTGGAAGACTGTATGGTGTCTCCTCAAAATATGAAACAGAACCACCATGTGATCCAGCAATTCCACTTCTGAGTGTATACCCGAGAGAAATGAAAGCAGGAACTTGGAGAGAGATTTGCACACCCATGTTCAGAGTAGCATTATTCACAGCAATCACCACGTGGAAGCAACTCAAGTATCCACTGAAGGACGAATGGGTAAACAAATGGGGTATATCCAACAATGGAATATTATCCAGCCTTAAAGTGGGAGGGAATTCTGATCAATGCTATAGCATGGATGAAACCCGAATACATTATGCTCGGTGAAATAATCCAGATACAAAAGGACAAATATTGTATGATTCCACTTATATACCTGTTAAAGCAAACTAAGTATGGACTGAGAAGGACTCCATACTTCCATATTTGAGTCCTTGTGATGAACTGTAACCTAGCTTAATAGGCAGACAAAATTGAAAACCTAACTTAGTAGTACACACCTGTAACACTAGTTAAGGCTTAGCCAATCCCAGTGGCCACACTTCAACCATTCATACACTGCTGAGTGTTCAAACTATGTTCAAATAAGACATATGCTGAGCTGTAACCAATCCAGGCATTCGGTACCTCACTTCTAATTTCTGTACATCATTTCCCTTTCTTTTTTTTTTACCTATAAATCTTCTTCCACCATGTGGCTGCGCCGGAGTCTCTGTGAATCTGCTGTGATTCTGGGGACTGCCCAATTCTCAAATTGTTCATTGCTCAATTAAACTCCTTTAAATTTAATTCAGCTGAAGTTTCTATTTTATCATATCTAAGAGTAGTCAAATCTATAGAGACAGAAAATCTCTGCAGCGGTTGCCAAGGGCTGGGGAAGGGGACATAGAAAATTAGTGGTTAATGGACATGGAGTTTCAGTTGTGGAAGATGAAAAAGTTGTGGAGGTGGATGGTGGTGATGATTGCACAACAATGGGGATGTACTTGATGCCACCGACCTGTACACTAAAAAATGGTTAAAATAGCAAATGTTATAAGATTTGACAACAAACAAGTAAAAGCAAATAAAACCAAGGAAGTTATCATAGCAATGTTATTAACAATAATTACTATTATCTTTCTGAAAGCAGATCCTGTTTACTTTCTTAACACACTTTTCTTCCCTGAGCCTAGCACGGTGCCAGGGTCTCAATACACAAAAGCTTAAAACAAAATGAAATACACAAACTGAAGAAGCAAAAATCCGTGGTGTGTTAAAACCCTTGGAGACTGGAATGAGGGGTCTGTTGGTCTGTCTGGCTTATTTGCATTCGGTATTTGAACAATTCATGGTCCTTTCTCCTTTTGCAGACCATGTGACTAGTCTTTGGAGTGAGAAGAAAAAGGAAGAGGCAAAACTGGGGTCTTTGGCTTAATTGACAAGGGCAGCATGTGGGCTGGTTGCTGTCTCACTTCTTCATCCTTAGGAGAGTCTGTGCACAGTCACTGCAACTCTCACCACCATCCTTGGACAAACCCAGGTTGCCATTGTATTAGTTAGCTTTTGCTGGGTAACAAACAGTTCCAAAACTTAGTAGCTTATAACAACAGCAATTCATTTAGCTCATGAGACTGTGTTTTGAATGGCTGTTTCTCTTATCTGGGCCAGGTGGGACTTATGTCTGCTGGGCTCATGTGTCTGCAGTCAGTTGCAAGATGACCCAAGACCAGGCTGATCTAGGACGGCCTCAGCTAGGCTGGCTTATCTCTGCTTCATATGGTCTCCCACTCTCCAGTGGGCTGGCCTAGCCCAGGCTTATTCCTGTGGTAGGACCCAGGGCCTCAAGGGAGTGAGCAGAAGTGGGCAAGGCCTCTTGAGGTCCAAGCTTGGAACTGGCTGGACATCATTTCCACTTCATTTTATTGGTCAAAGCAAGGCATAAAACCAGCCTAGATTCAAGGAGTGGGGAAATTGATTCATGGAGGGGAATTATTGCAGGGCATTTTTTTTTTTGCAGTCTGCTATTCTAACTTTACAAGTTTGGGGTCATCTGGAACAGCATGTGTATTGAAGAAATAATGAAATAGCACTTAGCACAGTGCTTGCCATTAGTCATGTTCAGGTAATGTTGAGTGAATAAAGAAAAGCATCTTCTTAGGCTGAAGAGATAAAGTACGAACAAGATGCATTTCATGTCCTCAAGAATCTCAGAGCCAGCTGGGCATGGTGTCTCACGCCTATAATCCCAGCAGTTTGGGAGGCCAAGGCAGGAGGATCACTTGAAGTGAGAAGTTCGAGACCTGGGCAACAAAGTGAGACCCCCATCTCTGCAAAAACTAAAAAAAATTATTCAGGCACAGTGCTGTGCCCCCTCTAGTCTCAGCTACTTGGGAGGCTGAGGTAGGAGGATTGCTTGAGGCCAGGAGCTTGAGGCCAGGAGTTCGAGGCTACAGTGAGCTGTAATGATGCCCCTGGCCTCCAGCATGGGTGACAGAGCTATAACCTATCTCTTAAATAAATAAATAAATAAATAAATAATAAATCTCAGAGCCAAGAGGAGAAGACAGACTCATAAACAGATTACTCTGTAACAGTGGTCAGTGCTGTGATAGGAGTTTGTATGGTGCATTGCAGACACCAATAAGAGAAGGACTCCACTCATCCAGCCTGGGAGACAGTGTGCAGGGGAGCCAGAGGCAGTAAAGCATAGTGGTTCGGGGCATGGTTTCCTACAATGTTGCCCATGTTGGAATCTGGCTCTGATACTAGTTATCTGACCTGGGTCAAGTCACTTGACCTCTCTGTGCCTCAGTTCCTTCATCTTTAATTTGTGGATGTTAAAAATAGTAGTGCCTACTTATAGTGTTTACATGAATTTAATTAATTAATTAATTATAATTATTATAATTGAGACAGGGTCTCACTCTGTTGTCCAGGCTGGAGTGTAGTGGCACAGTCATAGCTCACTGTAGCTTCAAACTCCTGGGCTGAAGGGATCTTCCCTCCTCAGCCTCCTGAGTAGCTGGGACTACAGGCATGTGCCACCATGCCTGGCTAATTTTTTTTTTAGAGGTCTTGCTATTTTGGCCAGGCTGGTCTTGAACTCCTGACTTCAAGCAATTCTCCTGCCTCACCCTCCCAATGCACTGAGATTAGAGACATAAGCCACTGTGCCCAGGCTGCATTAATTTTAAATTAACAAATATTTGAAAAACACTTATGACAGTGACTTAACACATAGTAAGCATTAAATGAGTGTTAGTTATTATTATTATTATTTTTTATTACTATTATTCAAGAATGAGTAGATGTTAGCCAGATGGAGCCTGACAGGGGTTAGTGCATTCTAAGTATTGGGGGGTTTGGTGAAACCTTAGTCAGTTCTCCCCTCCTTCATACTGTAACACAACTGAGAAATGGACACAGGAATCAGAGGTGAAAGGATCAGTTCCATGCTGGTAAAGGTGGATCTCAGCTTGGGTCTCTCTGAAGTTGGTATGGTCTTCCTGCTCCTTTGCCCTATTAATAGACTGACTTACCTTTTGTTGGGGGCTAAGTCCTGCCCTGGTGAACTTATCATAGGGCACAGGGAAAGGAGAAAATAGGCAGGCAGGTTTCTAGGGAGAGACCTCACGTGGGACAGTCCCCTCTTCCATCTCCCCACTTGGATAGCGAGAAATTGTTGAGAGAGGAAACAATCTCTTAATATTGTTCTCTCCTGAATGGTGATCCCATGGAAACAGAAGTGGAGTAGATTGTATTATTGCATTTCAGATATTCACTGTCCCTCCCACTTTGCAGTGTAAGGGGTACACACTCTTGCCTCATTGGTCTTTGGCCCCCTAATGTGACTTGCCCTCAGCAATGCAATGGAACAGAGTTGATGTATACCAGATCTGGTCAGAGGCTTGACATGTGCTCTCGTGGTTGGCTTGGCCTGTTGAGCGTCTACCTCCATCATGAGCTCAACCTGCCCCAGAGAGTGGCTTCTCTTCCAGCCTGGGTCCTGCAATTTGTAGACAAAAAGCTCACACTTGAACTGGCGCCAAACCCAGCTACACCCAGCAGAGCCACAGAAGACTGGTGAACCCACATTTGAGAAATAATTTCTTATCATAAACCCCTGAGATTTCGGAGGTTGGTTGTTACCACAGGAAAAGATAACTTTTAACGGCAAAGATTATTTTTAATGGCAAAAACTGCATTACTTTTGCACCAACCTAATACTAAAGGTGAGTAATTGGCATGTTCCTTGACCGTTAAATGAGAAAAGGGCATGAGCGAAGTCAGAGAGGCATGGAGAGAAGCTGCAAGCTGTCAGGGCTGCTGGAGCATCACCGTGGACTGGAAGATAGATGGAGAGTAGGCAGGGGACAGGCTAAGAAGGATGGGTCCTGTGGTCAAGGCCTGTGAACTTTAACACCAAAGAAATGGAAGACATTGAAGAGTTTTAAGCATAGGGGTGACTTGAATAAGATGTGAACTTTAACTCATCCAGGAGTTGTTGTAGTGCAATGCATTACTCACATATCTCTGGTGATGCTGGTGTAAACAAAGCACTGTACTGCCAGTCATATAGAAGTCCGGCACCTACAAGGATGCACAGTAGATAATGCTTCATAATGATAATAAATGACCATGTTATGGGTGCATGCATTTAGTATACTGTACTTTCTGTTGTTATTTTAGAGTGCATTCCTTCTACTTATAAAAAGAAGAAGTTAGCTGTAAAACAGCCCCAGGGAGGTCATTCCAGAAGAAGGCATTGTTATCATAAGAGATGACTGCCCAATGTGTGTTATTACCCCTGAAGTCCTTCCAGCGGGGCAAGATGTGGAGGTGGAAGATGGTGATATTGATGATTCTGACTGTGTAGGACTAGGCCAATGTGTGCGTTTGTATAGTTTTTAGCAAAAAAAGTTTAAAAAATAAAAATAAAAAAATTTAAAAAATGGAAAAGCTTATAGAATAAGGATATAAAGAAAGAAAATATTTATATACAGTTGCACAATGTATTTTAAGCTAAGTGTTATTACATGAGTCATAAAGTTGAAAACATTAAAAAGTTTATAAAGTAAAAAGGTTACTAAGCTTTATTATCAAAGATCATTGATCGAAGAAAGAAAAACATTTTAAAAAGAAATTTAGTGTAGCTTAAGTGTACAGTATTTCTAAAGTCTGCAGTCGTATCCAGTACTGTTCTCAACCTTCATCTTCACTCACCACTCACTCGCTGACTCACCCAAAGCAATTCCAGTCCTGCTCCACTCATGGGAAGTGCCCTATACAGGGGTACCATTTTCTAATCTTACATACTGTATTTTTACTGTATCTTTTTTATGTTTAGATATATTTAGATACAAGAATACTTCCCATTGTGTTAGAATTGCCTGCAGTATTCAGTACAGTTACGTGCTGTAAAGGTTTGTAATCCAGGAACAATAGGCTCTACGCAAGCTGTCAACACGTGGCCCACAGGCTGCATGTGGCCCAGGACAGCTTTGAATACTGCCCAACACAAATGTGTAAACTTTCTTAAAACATTATGAGAATTTTTTTGCAATTTTTTTTTTTTTTTTAGCTCATCAGCTATCGTTAGTGTTAGTGTATTGTATTTTATGTGTGGCCAAAGACAAGTTTTCCTCCAATGTGGCCTACGGAAGCCGAAAGATTGAACACCCCTGCTCTACTGTATAGCCTTGGTTTGGAGTAGCCGACACCATCTAGGTTTATGTAAGCATACTCTGATGTTCACACAATGAAATTACCAAATGATGAATTTCCCCGAATGTACCCCTGTCATTAGTTGATGCATGACTATAATCATAAAAGATCCAGAGATACATTTGGGCTTTCTGAAAAGAAGTGAGATGGTGGAGACTCAACTCCCATTTCAAGTATTAGGTGGAACTTAGGCGGCCTAGGCCAGATTGGAATTTAGGAGCTTGGTTTCCTGAATCTTGTCTTTCCCAGATGTGTCCATTGAAAGAGAAAAGAGAGGTGAGACCAGCTTTCCCCGTCAAGCTGTGAAGTATGTCTACTGAGAGAAGGCCACTGGACACAGAATGACAGAAGCTGAGCCTGTGGCTTGGTCCTGCCACTTGCTTAGCTTTACTGCATCTCATGATATTATTTGCAACTCTGCTTGCAAGTGTAACAAACACCTATTTGAGCTAGGGAAGCTCAACATGGGGGATTTGCTGTAAAAATATAGAGATGGTTTGCAGAATTTAAGGAAAGAGATACAGCTGAACCTTTGGGTAAGACTGGGATCAGGGTTGTAAAAGCCATCGGGGACCATACAGCTTCTCTCTGCTCATCTGCTTCAATCTCTGTTTATAGACTGACTTTTTCTGCTTCTTGGTCCACAGCTCTGGAGCTTACATCACCTCTACTCAAGTCATCAGCTCAGACCAAACTAGAATCACTTAATCCTCATTGCAAATAGACATAGAAAAAGGACTCTGACCCATTTTGGGTTAATTGTTCACTCTGGTGGCCATCAGGTCAAGGTCAGGGGGCACATATTTAATTAGGGGAGCTCATACTTATTGGTGAAGTGGGAGGACAAGGGCACTGCTGTAGCCTGGGTAGTTATCCCAAATTTTATCTGTGGGGTATCTTAGAACACAAGTTCACTGGTTTAACAGAGACTTCAAATACAGTGGTTTAAATAGGAAGTATATTCCTCTTGTAACAGTCCAGTGATAAGAAATGTAGGATTGAGAGGCCGGGCGCGGTGGCTCACGCCTGTAATCCCAGCACTTTGGGAGGCTGAGACGGGCGGATCATGAGGTCAGGAGATCGAGACCATCCTAGCTAACACGGTGAACCCCATCTCTACTAAAAATACAAAAAAAAAATTAGCCGGGCGTGGTGGCCGGTACCTGTAGTCCCAGCTACTTGGGAGGCTGAGGCAGGAGAATGGCGTGAACCTGGGAGGCGGAGCTTGCAGTGAGCCGAGATCGTGCCACTGCACTCCAGCCTGGGCGACAGAGCAAGACTCTGTCTCAAAACAAACAAACAAACAAACAAAAAAACAGAAATGTAGGATTGAGAGATTAAAGCCACAATGCCAGCACACTGGGCCGTACTGATGGTGGAGTCTTATTTTGATGTCCACCATCCCTAGGCTTTCACCCTCATCTCTGATGTTCATTATGGTTCTCCATGGTTCTCCATCAGATTCACCTTCTGGGTAGCAAGATAGGGGAAGGGGAAGAGAGAGGGAAGGCCATTCTCTTTAAGGGCATGACTCAGAAGTTGGCCAGATCTTTTTGTTTATAATAGAACTTAGTTACATGTATAAGAGAACTTAGTTACATATAAGGAAGGCTGGGAAATATAGTCTCTATTCTGGGTGGCCATAATCTCAGTTAAAAATTGGGAGTTCTGCTACTACCGAAGAAAGGGAGAAGCAGATTAAATGGTGTGGCTAAATGGTGCGGGCCAACTGAAAATCCTCCTGCAGTGTAATATTTCCTACAAATTGTTCTGAGGATCAAATGACCTGGTCAGGGCAGGCGAAAATGGAAAGCACAATATAACTGTTCACCTCAGCCTCCCTCAGTTTTATGAGCCATGAAACCTTCTTGTGAATAGTTTTCAGTCTGGTTTTGGAATTAAAAGCCTTATATTAGAGTTGGCAGGGCTTTACCATTTATTATTTGTGTGCCCTGGGGTGAGTAATTTCACCTTTCTGGTATCAGTTTCCTCAAAGATAAAATTGGGCTAACAATAGTGGCTACCTCAAGGGTGTTGGGAAGATTAATTAAGATAACATATGCCGAGGACTTATTACTAATCTGGCATATAGTTAGTGTTCAACATGTTATCATGATTTATGGTCCCACCTTGAGGTTAGAGCTCAGATTCCAACTGACTTTTGGCTTTTATCAGAAATAAAATCTCTGAGAACCCTTCTTGGTTGCCTCCCAGCAGCCATCCTCAATCTTTCTTCTCTCCCTGCCTTTCACTTCAGAGACTGAATGTGCCAGGTACTCAGCCTGCTTTGCAGCTAAGGGTAGCTAGGTGATGGGGTGTTTAGGGAGGTATTTCCATCTGACATAAAAGGAGAGAAAGACACATGAAGGGAGCTGCCCTTTTCCCCTGGCTGAGCCTCTACTTCATTCCTTCTTACTTCCTTCAAAAATAATAGTACGAGAGTGTGATATCTGGAACAAAGGCAACCATCTGTGATTACTGGGTCACAACCCAATGGATTCTAGAAAGCTAAATGGTAGAGAAGAATAGAAAGAGCCTGGATCTTTGATGACTTTGTCGAGCTGCTGAGCCAACCTTGGAACTATTAACCCCAGTCATCTTGCCATGTGAGATAATAACATTTTCACTGTTTTTTTTTTTGTCGTTGTTGTTTTTTTTTTGAGACACAGTCTCACTCTGTCACCCAGGCTGGAGTGCGATGGCACGATCTCAGCTCACTGCAACGTCTGCCTCCTGGGTTCAAGCGATTCTCCTGCCTCAGCCTCCTGAGTAGCTGGGACTACAGGTGTGTGCCACCATGCCCAGCTAATTTTTGTATTTTTAGTAGAAACGGGGTTTCACCATGTTGGCCAGGCTGGTCTTGAACTCCTGACCTCAGGTGATGCGCCTCAGCCTCCCAAAGTGCTGGGATTAGAGGTGTGAGCCACCGCGCCTGGCCACATTTTCGTTATTTAAGGCACATTTACTTAGTTGTTTTCTTTCTTGTCACTAAAAGGATTCTCATATAAATCCTCCCATTAGGAGAGGAAAATGCACTCTCACTAAAGCTGTTCAAAAGAATGTGCCACCCACTAAAAAGGCTGTTTCCCCAAAAGGGCACAGCAAGTGCGCCACCTCTTATGGTGACTTCCCTGAAATGGACACCATTCATTTTGTATGTATGCATTCTGATATATTTATTTTTAAAAAAAAAAACAGTCTCGTTCCTTCATAGTTACAATTCTGGGCTTCGGCTCAGCTAAGTTCAATATTTACTTATCACCAGCTATATCAAGAACAGTAATAGTGCCAATGACGCACAGTAAAGAAGAGACCCAGACGCTGCCTTCAAAGAGCTTGTAGTCTAGAGGGGAGAAGAAATAGATAAACAGAGGATCCCAACACACAATGGAAAGAGCTATGATGGTATGGAAGGACAAAGAAGAGGAACTCAGCCATAAGGCAGGGGGGAAAGTGGGGAGCAAAGCAAACCAGGAAAGAGAATATTTATTGAACACCTACCATGGGTGTGTTAACTGTATGTGTATGTGATTTTTAACTAGAAGTCTCACTTCTGGCACCAATGTATCAGCACAGGAGGTCTGTCTGTCTCCCAGCAAGGACCATCATCAGCATTTTAAGGTAGCCTAATCTACACATCCATACAAAATAGAAAGATAGGTGGGGGTAAATAGAGTCAGCAGGCACTAATTAACATATCTAGGATCAACATATTTGGCCTTGCTTATTCGCATATAGCCAGTCAGAGCAAGAGGGTGAACAGCAACACCCCAAAGAAACCAATCACAAAAAGGAGTTCCTCAGGACAAAGCCCAAGGACCCTGAGGGCAGATGGCTAGATGGCAGGGACTGTACTGTGCTTCCTCATTCTGTTTTCCCACTTTCCTAAGTAACTTGTGGAGCTCTTTGTCTAGAGGCTCTGGGTCATGCTCGGATAAGAACTCTTCTCCTAGATCCAACCTATGGTGATGGCTGAGATGAAGGCTGAGGTGACACAGCATTCATTCCTACAGATGAATGATTCCTACAGGTACCTCCTTGGACATTCTGGCTTCCTAATAATGCCCAGGAGAACCATGATATCACATTGTTTGTGTCCAATTTACGGATGAACAATGTGAATCCCAACAGCCTACATTATCAATAGAAATTTGGAATTTGAGCCAAGAGATAAGGCCTTTTATCGCCAAAGAATTTATGTGTGTGCATTAATGGGAAGGTTTAGTCGAGACAGTTTAGATAATTTTATATTAGATGATTCTTTTGTTATTAAATACTCCTAATTTTGTGTATGTGTGTGTGTGCATGTATGTGTGTGTGTGTAATCTGAAAAGGCTTCCTCCGATGGGTTTCTACCTATGACAGAGCCAGTGGAGTGCATGAAGCACAGCTCACTGTAACCTTAGACCCCTGAAAGTTTGGCAGGTGCTCATAAATGGGAACTGTGCCAGATGCTTCTGCTGAAGGAACAAGGATGGATTTGTGGAGTATGTCAGTGTCTTCTGCAGCCTGCAGGTTTCACTCAGGGGCCAGAGCCACAGTCGAGGCTGGACTCTACAAATTCAGGATAACACCCTCAGAGGACAAGGTCACCCGTGGTCACACTGCCATATGCCTCTAATTTGCAAAGGTGATGGGAAGTTCCCATTTCATCTGCATTGACACTTGTCAAGCTCATCTGACTATGCCTCAAATTCCACAATTAGAATTTCATCCTTTTGGCTAAAGCCAAACAGGAAATCTGTGTCTTATTCAAGGACATTTCTACCTGGAGAGTGAGACTTTATGCTTAATAGCCACAAATGTGACGTTCTCACATCCCCTCCTCTCACTGGATGCCCTTGATAGCTCAGTAATATAGGTTTGACGATTTTACCTGTTTACCTGATGAGCAAACAGAGGCCCAAATGGAAGCCAAAATGTAAACTCTTGGCTCGAATTCCAGATTTCTATGGATAATGTAGGCTGTTGGGACTCACATTGTTCATCTGTAAATCGGACACAAGAATGTGATATCATGGTTCTCCTGGGCGTTATCAGGAAGCCAGAATGAGGCACACTGCTCTTTTGCTTGTTAGCTCATTTGTTCGTTCATTCATTCACATTCAGCAAGTGGTTCTTTGCAGTCTTGATCTAAGGGACAAAGGGCTACCAAGATGCCTAAGCAGAACCTGCTACCCTAACTCCCCTTTAACTGAGCCCTTATTATTTTCCAGACACCAGGCATATTTTAATATAATCTTCCCCAAATAACTATATTTGTTAGGCATTCTTCCCATCTTGTAGATGCAGAAACTGAGACCCAGAGAAGTTAAGCAAGTTACCTAAAGTCACGCAGCTAGAAATGGAGGGAGCTGGAGTTTGACCCAGATCAGACTACAAGAGCTTTCATTCTCAATATTACACAGCCTCTCTCACATTGGAATTTCTCTGTGTTTTATTCCCTTCAACTTTGGCTGGACTTATTTTAGATGGATGTAGCTGGATTCTAAGGGGCTACACTGGATACTAAAGTCTGAGCCAGCAGGTAGGCCAATGACCCAAGTATTTTGGTGAGAGCTACTGGGACATTTAGGTAAAAGTGTTTATCTAAATTTTCTCTGGAAAATTGCTGTATCTGTGCTGTGGCCAGGTGTGGACCGAGTGGGCTGCTCACCGGCTCCTGCCTCAGCAGTAGGTCTTTGCTTCTCTTCTAGAACTGCCCTAGGGACTACTCATCCACTCTATTTTTTAAAATTATTTTTATTTTTATTATTTTTTTGAGAGGGAGTCCCGCTCTGTCTCCCAGGCTAGCCTGGAGTGCAATGGCGAAATCTCAGCTCACTGCAGCTTCCACCTCCTGGGTTCAAGTGATTCTCATGACTCAGCCTCCCAAGTAGCTGGGATTACAGGCACAAGCCACCACATCCGGCTAATTTTTTATATTTTTGGTAGAAACGGGGTTTCACCAAATTGGCCAGGCTGGTCTCAAACTCCTGACCTCAAGTGATCCACCAGCCTCGGCCTCTCAAAGTGCTGGGATTACAGGAGTGAGCCACCCCACCTGGCCTCTCATTCACTCTGTCAGTACAGAGATTGGTCCCTATGGCCAGAGTCCACTCATCACCTGCTCTCTGTCTGCTATGAGTGGCTGGTACCACCTCTGAAGTTTGCCAGCTGGTAACGTGAAAAGCCAGGGGTGAGAGCGAAGTGCAAGGCTGGAGGGGACTACTGGATAGCGATAGCAATCCCCCAAGGACACATTAATTTCTCTAAATGACCTTTCCAGCATAATGAAGGTACAGAGAATCCAATCAGTTGCCCTTTCGAAAGAACAGTGAGACAGCTGCTCTTTTTGAAAAAGCGGGACTCCAAGCTGAAGCCAGGCTGGATTTCTTTGTGCTGTCCTTTCTCTGGCTCACGAAATTCTACCTTGGAGGCTGAAAACTCATGGCATTCAGTTTCATTTTAAAAAGGAGATTGGAACCCTGAAACTAAGTATCTACAAATTATTTTAGAAGTGGCTTTCACAAAGATGCTCTCTTTTTTTTTTCATTTTGATGATGTCTCTACATTGGAGGGTATGGAGGGTATCATTATCCCCATTTTCTAGATGGGGAAACTAAGGCCAGGAGAGACTGTGTGATGTGATGGGAAATGTTGGGAAATTGAGACTATAAGCTGGCTCTAGTCTGATAAATAATAGACACAACATGTAGAGCCCTTCGCAGCTGACAAAGTATTTGCATGTTTTAAACTTTTTAATCCATCCATCCAACAAACCCAGTAAGACATTTTATTATTATCCCTGGTCTTACAGATCAGTTAGTGACAGACCTGGCCTTCTAACTCCTTCCCATCCTTCTGTTCTCTTTCCATCGTATTACTTCTTCTTGGGTTCTTTGACTTCTTTGAGTCTCTATTCTAGGAGCTGGTATTTTTTTCTGTAAAGAGCCAGATAGTAAATATTTTAGGCTTTGATGGCCATATGATCTCTGTTGAAACTACTCAGTTCTGCCCTTCTAGCTCAAAAGCAGCCATAGATGTACGTAAAAAAATGGATGTTACTGTGTTCAAATAAATCTATATTTATGGCCCTGAAATCTGAATTTCATATAATTTTCATGAATCATGAAATATTATTATTATTTGATTTTCAAAAGCAACTCAAAAGTGTAAAAACCATTCTTAGCTTGTGTATGGCACAAAAACAGGCAGGGGGCCATAGCGTGCTGACTCTCGCCCTATCTTTGTCTGTAAAATTGGGAAGTAGTAATACATCCGCCGTAGACTCACATGGATTAAGTAAGATCACACCAGTACCATGTTTTGCACAGGGTCCACCATTGCCCTTCTGTCACACGATGAGAGCATGAACGTCTCTGGGTTTCAGTTCTCTTATCTATTAGAAGGGAAGTGTTGGCTACTTCTAGCTCTGAGTCTATATATTTTTGCCAAATTACTTTTTGCTAAAGAGCTTCAACCGCCTTCCTTCTCCCTGCCCTGAGGACATCCATGCCTCCTGGGTCTCCCCAGAATTTCTCCACCCCATTTCCATTTGGCCAACTTCTCTTTCTTGGTCCTAGTCGTTATTTTGTACCTTGGCTTGCACTGAAGTGAACTAGATTTCTTCTCCATTTCTTGGAGAAGTTTTCAGTGGGCAGACCCAGCCACTTGGTGGAGCTGTGGGGAGATGTTTTTCCTTATAAAGCTACCTGATGTTTCCCCTGGAGAACTTCAGGTTTGAAGGTAGGGACGCTGGAAATGGTGCTTCTGGGGGAAAGAGGTGTTGTTCATACCTGTGTGCGTGTTTCCAGCATCTGTCCATATCCAGTTAATTTGGGCAGTCAGGGTTTTGAGTTCAGATGTTTCAAGAGTCCTGAGTGGGGCATTTATATGGGAGAGGCCAGGGACAGATAGATCCTAGATCTGGCGAGGTTCTCAATCCGAATTCCTGGAAGTTTCCCAGTTGTCCCTTGTTCTGTCATGGAGGAAATCAGTCTGTCTCCTCACCATGCAAAACATGCACTTTCTTTTTGGAGCCATTAGATGTACAATCGAATAGCCTTTATCTTTTAAGGAGCTGACTTTTTGTGACTTTTATATATGTAAAACATGCAATTTCTTTTTGGAGCCATTAGATATACAGTCAAATAGACTTTATCTTTCAAGGAGCTGACTTTTTGTGACTTTTATATAACAACTATTGGTGAGATGTGATTTCTTCTCCCTTTCTTGGAGAAGTTTTTGGTTGCTCAGATATTAGCTATTATGTAGCCAAATTACCTGAGCTTGTAAGTTGCGAGACCATAGGGTAGTCTCTCGATCTCTTAGCATATCCCATGAAAAACGTGGGAAATAAAAATATCTAATCCCAAGTAAAGTATCATTTTGAGAATTAAAAAAGACCACTTGTGGGAAAGTGTTTTGTAAACTGTAAAGCATCATGCTGATGGGAGGTATTAGAAACTCCTCGAGGGCAGAGGACCATCTTGTATTACTCTTTATCTGCAGAATGACTGCAGCATCATAGATGCTCAGCTAACATCTGTTGAATGAATGAGTGAACAGGCGAATGAAGAGCATCACGAAGGGGTTGGCAGACTGGAAATATGCCTATTAAATTAAGGGTTTCAAAGGATGAGGCTGGGAGAAGCAGGAGAAGCAGGCCCTTGAGAGGAATCTAGGGCACGTGGCTTGTCTGCCAGGAAGGCAGCTAATGCATCCCTTGCCAGCTAGCCGGCTGCCGGGCAGGCTGGCTCCACTGGGCGAGCTGCCAGGCCCCAGGCCATCTAAGGCTTGTGTGAGCGTCCCAGAGCAGGTGGGCCGGGAGCGTCTGTCGTCACGGGTGGGCTGGTGACCCGCCTGGAATGCCTTCCCTCTCGTGCCTGCTTTTAGAGCCTTAGTCCCTGGTGACAGTAAACAGAATGGACGCAGGGCCTGACACTGAGCCACCCTGGGTCTTGGCAGGGTGGGTCTGAGAGACCTGTTTTCCAGAGTTAAAAGAATACAAATAAACACAGCACAGATAAATGTAGGCAGTTATATAGGAAATCTAGGTCCCAGGGCTATTTTTTCCTGACCCAGTTTTTTTGTTTGTTTGTTTGGGACATAATTACTTGGGAAATGGTAATTGTTTTACATGCTTGCTATAGACCTGATAGAATAAATCTAATAATAATATTATTTAAACAATAATAATAGCAGCTAATGTTTTGTCTGTGTTTACCACGTGCCTATGTAGTACTATGTTAAACACTTCATAGACATTTTCATAGTTCTACAAGGTAATCATTAACTCTGTAGGATTGTATCCTGTCAATCCTATGTACTAAGTATTATTACTATACCTATTTTACGTATGGAGGGATTGAGGTTCAGTCACTTCCTGGGGTCACAGAGCTGAATGGTGGAAGAGCTGCTAGAACTCAACTCAAACCATTCATCCACCCATTCATTCATTACATAATGATTGAGCACCTACTATATAGCAGGTACTAGGGATTCATGTGTGAATAATACCAATAAAAACTCCTGCTATGTGGGGACAAACACAACAAATAAAGAAATTTTATAATATATTATATGGTGGTAAATGCAATGGTGAAGAATAAAGCATCCAGGGAAGGAAAGCAGCGCCAATAGCAGAATGGGAGGTGGAGAAGGTGGGCTGCAATTGTAGACAGGATGGTCAGGAAAGGCCCCATGGTGAGGGTGACATCTGAGCAGAGTTGAAGGTACTGGGTTGCTGAACTGTGTGGATTGGAAAGTAGAACTTTGTTTTGTATGAACTTTGCCCAATGGGGCAAACAGGCAAATTGGAGTCCAAGGAAGATTTCTGTGAATTCACTTTTTTTCTTAAGTTCATTCTCACTCTCTTTTCTGGGCTATGCATTTCCAGAATAGGAAATTGAATGGCAAACTAGGGAGAAAGTAAAGGCATCAAATAAATTCATCGATCAATCCGTCCATCCATCCGTCCATCCATTCATCCATCCATCTACCCACCCATCCATCCATACATCTGTTCAACATTCCTAAGGCACCCACTACAAGCCAGACCTATGCTTCTCTTAGAAGAATAAGATCTAGCTCTATACTGTTGGATATATAAAATATATATAAAATAAATATATATGTATAAAATAAATATAAGTAATGTTATATAATTTTATATAATCAACTGTAAATATATTTTACACTGCTTCAGATTTTTTAAATTTAAATTTTCAAATGAAAATTTTATTAAATACAACTTTATTGTTTTGCTAGAGTTGCATTTCAGTTTAATCATTGAAAATTTATCTCTGAATTGAGAATACTCTAAGTGTGAAATGCATAATGAATTTTGAAGATTGAGCACAGAAAAATGTAAAATATCTTATCAGTGAGTTGTTTATATTAATTACATATTGAAATTAAACTATTCCAAATATTTTATTGTTACTATTTATTTTATAGTAATACAGTAATATGTTTATTACTATTTCGAATATTATATTATTAAAGTTAATTTCTCTTGTTTTTGACTTGTTTTTAACATGGCTGCCAGGAAAGTTAAAATTATTTATGTGGCTCGCGTTATATTTCTATTGGATAGTGCTGTTCTAGACCTTGCCATTCCGGAGCTTCCAGGCAACTGCAGGGAGCTGGGCACACAATTGAGTAATTGTAATACCATGTGGTAAGTGCTATAATAGACCCAGGAACCGAGTGCTCTGGGGACAGAGGAGAACTGAGCCTTCAGTTCTGCCCAGCCCAGGATCAGGGGAGAGGTGACGTCCTCAGCTAGGTCTCTGAGATGGTAGAAGTTTGTCATCTGGAGGCCAGGAAATGAGGGGTCCCAGGAATTGGGTATAGCATGTGCAAAGGCCAAGAGACATGAAACCCTGAGAACCATGAAGGGAAAGGAATGTGTGCATTATTCAGCAAGAGAAAGGACCCCACCCTGCCCAGAACCCTATTTAACCTCAGTGAAAGCCTAAGCCTCTTCCATTGTAGCCAATTAGAGTTTTTCTCCCACCCGACCCCAGCACGTCCCTGCACGTGACATTTTTACTCTTGCGACTTTCTGGCAGCCACTCTTTCCAGGGTGGCACGGTGTTGTTTCTGCTCTGGAGTCCTGCCAGTGCCTTATCTGTTGACAGGAATTTATCACCTTTCAGTTTCTTTTTTTTTTGATAACAGAAACTTCCAACGAATCCCTGCTGTTTTATTCCCCAGGAAGAAGCTATCTTATTTTTCAGTACAGGGTTTAGAACAGAGAAAACAAGGCAAATGGGACTGCTGCCAGCTGTCCACGTGCTCCATCCCATTCATATGTGCAGGAGGAAGGCAAGAAGGAATGTGCAAGGAACGGAAGCCTGACATCTCCAAAAGGAATCAAGAATGTCAGTGTTGGAGGGTGTCATCAGTCATCTGCTCCATCGGTTACCCACTGAGGTGGCTCCCCAGACTGACACTCTTCCCAACAGGCTCAATGGGCCCTCTCAACCATCAAATGCATGAGATAAATTAAAACTAAAACTCCATCTGAGCTATTTCTGTTGACCCTTGTAAATATCCACTGATTCTATTTATACTTCTGTTTCCTGATGTCACCTGTCAACCTCCATAGAAAGGCCTTCTCTTATATCTTTTTATATACAGAATAGAATACCAGTGGGCAGGTGGCAAAAAAACAAAACAAACAAACAAACAAAAAAACCCAAAAAAACAGCCTACATTTATTGGGTGCTACTACTCGTATCTTGCTGATCTTGTGCTTTTTTTTTTTAATTAACTCATCCAATCCTCAACAACAAAAAACCCTTTGAGACAGGTATTACTAATGCCCCCATCTTAAAGCTGAGAAAACTGAGAAACAAAGAGGAAGTTGACCAAGAGAACATAGATAGAAAGTGGGACAGTCAGCATTTGTACTCGGGTTTTTCTGATTCTGGAGTCTCTGCCCTTAGTCATCATTCTTGTTTCTCTAGCCACTTAGCAGGGGGAAGAAACATAGCTTTCTGTTGGATTTGTGAGTAAGCTTTAGTTTTATTTTAGTTATCTAGTCTGCACTCAAGTAGCCTGGGTTATCCCAAGAAGTTTGATGGCTGGAGGTCAGTTGAATGCTATCAACTGTACTTACTACTCGTAGACTGGAAGCTGCATGAAGATGAGATCAGACCTGTCTTGCCCCAGCACATTCTCAGCCCCAGGTGCCTGACATGTATGGGAAAATACTGTGGAATGAATAAATTTGTTTCTTCCTGTTTTATGACTGTTGAATACTACTCGTATTTAATCTCTGACACAAGCAATGCAGGAAAAATAAAAGAAAAACTCAAGACCCTAAATAATCTGGTATCTCCTTGAATAAACAGAGAGAAAATAAAAATGTCATTTTGGGTTTCAACTATTCAGGTACTTGTTATAATCTTCCATTTTGCTTTTTCTGTGTACATACAGATTTGGTGTAAACCGTATGTATTAGTTAGGGTAGTACTAGCTGTCATGACATAAACCCTCAAATTGCACGGGCTTAACACAATACAGTTAAGTTTATTATTCACTGATGCACCAGTCCAATGTCCTGGTCAGAGAATGACTTTATTTCTTAAGGTGAAGTAGTGGCCCAAGTTTCTTTTATCTTATGGCTTCACCATCCACTTAGGGCCTCCAAGTCCTCTGTTTCCAGCTAGGCAATGCGGAGAAGGCACACCCACTTTTTAAACACCCTGGATTGGAAGCAAAAAACATCACTTTTGCTCATGTTCCATTAGAGAGACCTAGTCTCATGGCCACACTTCGATGTATGGGAGGCTGGGCATTGTCCCTGGCTGAGCAGCCGTCTGTCAGCTCTATGGATGAAGCAGCATGAATTTTTGGTTGCAATTATCTTCCTTCCACTACAGTGAAGACTAAGCACTTATTTAGCTTGCTATTTAAAGTAAATTGTCCACCAGACCACATGTTTAAGTTAGAAACATCACAGTCTTAGGTAACTTTTCAAAACTTCATCTAGCAAAGTGTAAGAACAGTTATCAGCCAAAGCACAGGCATTAATTGACATGAGCTCGGGATAGGGGTTGGAGCAAAGCCTTAGAGTCGGAGGCTCGCGTTCAAATCCTGACTGCAGTTACTGTTTGATCACAGGCAACTTAGCCTCTTTGAGACTCAGATTTCTCAGTAGCAAAATGGGCAACATAACACCCACCTTGCAGTTTTACGATGATTAGCAGGGCGATATGCATATGTAGGGGTCCTAGGTAGTAAATAAATAATGTAGTAGGTAGTAAATAAATAATGACTGCTACTACTATGTTTTCTGAACAAATGTTTCTTTTTTTTCTTTTATTTTTAACTGACACATCATTGTACATATTTATGGGGCACAGTGTGATATTTCGATACATGCATACAACGTGTAATGATCAAATCAGGGTTATTCACATAGCAAACATATATCATTTTGTTGTGTTGGGAACATTCAAAATCTGCTCTTCTAGCTATCTGAATATATAAAATAAATTATTAATATAGACAATATATTGTATATAATTTATATACAATAAATTATAAACATACAATAAATAAATATATACAATCAATAATGAATATATACAATATAATATTCTACTGTATGTTCTTAAATACACAATATAAATTACTAATTTATTGTATCCTCCCAATTAAATTATTAATTATAGTCACCCTGCAGTGCTATCAAAGATGAGCACTTATTTGTCTTATCTAGTTGTAATTTTGTGCTCGCTAACCAACCTTTGGCTATCCCTGTCCCCTCCCCCAACCTCTAGTAACCACAATTCTACTCTCTACTTCAATGAGATTAACTTTTTTAGCTTCCACATATGAGTGAGAACATGTGGTATTTGTCTTGCTGTGCCTGGCTTATTTCACTCAACATAATGTCCTCCAAGCTCATCTATGCTGCCTGAATGACAGGATTCCTGAACAACGATTTCTTGAGAAAGCGAACATACCTTCTTTCTTTTAAATTGCTTTGAAAATAGAAAGTGCAGTGAAGGACCAGTAATGAGCCTTATGTAAATAAAAGATGTAGGATAGTGTGGATGTCACACTTTCAAGTGCCAATGTTACTACATCTGTCCTGTATCCAAGAACAAAACCAGAAATCAGAGTCTAACCAAGCAGTATGATTAAACTGCTTAAAATTGCCCCAGGCCAGGCACGGTGGCTCATTCCTGTAATCCCAGCACTTTGGGAGGCCTAGGCAGGTGGGTCACCTGTGGTCAGGAGTTTGAGACCAGCCTGACCGACATGGTGAAACCTCGTCTCTATTGAAAATACAAAAAAATTAGCTGGGCGTGGTGGCACATGCCTGTAATTCCAGGTACTTGGGAGGCTGAGGCAGGGGAATTGCTTGAACTAGGGAGGCGGAGGTTGCAGTGAGCCAAGATCGTGCCATTGCACTCCAGCCTGGGTGACAAGAGTGAAATTCCATCGCAAAAAAAAAAAGGCTCCAAATTCTAGTAGGAGCTATGGAAGATGAAAAGTATCGTATTAATATCCACGATTTATTGAGTGGATATAGTCTAGCCCTTAATCCTCATACCAACCCTGTGGGATGTGTTATTGGCGTAATTGCTAATACCACATACATTGTTACTGTCAGGCCTCTGTGCCCAAGCCAAGCCATCGCATCCCCTGTGACTTGCACGTATACGCCCAGATGGCCTGAAGTAACTGAAGAATCAGAAAAGAAGTGAAAATGCCCTGCCCTGCCTTAACTGATGACATTCCACCACAAAAGAAGTGAAAATGGCCGGCCCTTGCCTTAAGTGATGACATTACCTTGTGAAAGTCCTTTTCCTGGCTCTTCCTGGCTCATCCTGGCTCAAAAAGCTCCCCCACTGAGCACCTCACGACCCCCACCCCTGCCCGCCAGAGAACAACCCCCCTTTCTTTGACTGTAATTTTCCTTTACCTACCCAAATCTTATAAAACGGCCCCACCCCTATCTCCCTTTGCTGACTCTCTTTTTGGACTCAGCCCGCCTGCACCCAGGTGATTAAAAGCTTTATTGCTCACACAAAGCCTGTTTGGTGGTCTCTTCACACAGACGCACATGAAAGTTACCATCGCCACTTTGCAGATTAGAGAACTGAGGCATAGAGGGGGAAAACAATTATCCAAGATGATCATAAGAGGTGGAACAGGGATTTGAACCTAGTCACTCTGCCTCTAGATCTGAAGCTCTTAATCAAGGAGCCTGGGCTCTTGTTGGAGAAAATGCTTTATCGATGTGAAAACATTCACACACAATGCCTGATAGCATTGTGCTGAAGTGTGGTTCCAATTATAAACGTGGTAGGAATTCAGTCTGGAGAGGAACTCCCAGTGCCTGGGCATGACTGTGTGCTAGGCATTGTACTGGGTGTTTTTCATCCTTCCCATTTAAGGAGACGGAGCATGGCATATATGAAAGGAGAAGGGGGAGCTTTGGAACTGGACAGGTAGGGTTTAAATCCTGGTCCTGCCATTTACAAACTGTGTAACCTCTGGGAAATTACTTAACCTTTCTGATACGGTTTCTTCAATTGAAAATAGGGATTGTAAACAGCTACTTTACAGAGGAGGGTTTACTGTCATAAAACAGTACCAGCCTATGGTAGATGATGCTGTTGATTCAATAGATACTGATGAAGTCCCACATATCTGGGAGTAACACTATCAGCCAGAATAAGCCAGGTTATGCTGCTTTAACAAATCCCACTGACTTAACATAAATAAAGTTTAATATTTGCTGACACTACTTTTCCAATGCAGATTGGCTGGGATTTTCTGCCATCTTTACACAGAGACTCAGGCTGGCTTGGGGAGGCTCCAACTTTGTACCACCATGATTGTCAAGATAGGAAAAAGAAGACATGGGGATTTGCTCACTGGCTCCTAAAGGTTCCAAGTGAAAGCAACACAATCACTTCTGCTCTCATTCCATTGGCCTAAGCAAGTCCGATGGTCTCATCTAACTTCAAGAGGATGGGGTAGTGGATTTCTACCACATCGCAGGGGAGGGGAAGAAGTAGAAAATATTTTAAAATACTACTGTAGACACAATGTGTTTATCTCTACAATAGATCTGCTAAATCCATATCTTAAGAGAAAACCGAAGCTCTGAGAGGTTATGTCATTTGACCAAGGCCACACAGCCAATCCTCTGGGAAGCCAGGACTCAACCTGCATGCCACTCATCCTGACTGTGGGATCTATAGGCACAACGTCCACAAACTGTATAGAAGCAGAACAGTTTCAGGATGGGGGTGGGTGGCAGGGAGGCCCTGCAAATGCGGTGGACAGAATAGGAATTGAATAGGCATGATGCGCCTTTGTGTCTGTGTTCTGTCATTGCTCCTGGGGAAGGGAAGAAGGGGCAGGGAAGTTTGTGTGAAATATCAGTAGAAGGAAAGTTTGGACAGGTAAGAATATCACGCGTCAGAGTACAGCAGAGACACGTGTGGAGGATGAGGGCAGTGTTTCAGGCCATTACTCTGGCAGCAGTGAGGAGGCTCCCGGGGAGGGTTGGGGAGAGCGGGCTGTTGCTGGAGTCCGGGGTAAGGTGACCAGGGGTAGACAGGAATGAAGGCGGCGGGAATGTAGAGGAAGGGCTGCACCTGAGAGCTGCAGAGGAGGCCCCAGTGAGGTCCACTGGTGGAAAAGAACCGCCATGCGATCTGCAGAACACCAGACCTTCTTCAGCCTTCACTCTTCCCACCCTAGTCTGGTACATTGCACCACTTGTTAAAAAAAAAAATTTCCCTAAGACCTCTTTTTCTCTAGCCTTCTTCCTTATTTTTCATGGTCTCTTCTTAGAACGGCGGCAGCCACGCCGCGGTGGGAGGCCCTTCCTGCCTGACCCTTACCGTGCGGGGTACCGTTCCTGTCACCATCGCCAGGATCTGGCCCTTTCAGTGAAAGGAAATCTCCCAAGGCCTAAGGAGGCAAGAGGCCTGCAAATCGCCTCCTGCTCAGCAAACGGGTTGCTCAGCAGGCCCGGGGTCCTGGTCCACCCCAGGTCCCTGGTTTGCCCACCTCCGATGGCGGCCTTCGCTGGCAGGGTGGGCGCCTCTGGGGAGCCAGCTCCGTCCCGGCGCCTTTAGAGCCCCATCTCTTCCACGTCCCTGGCCTTCCTCCCCTTCCAGGCGGCTGTCCCCGCCGGGGTCCAGATGGTGTCGGAGGGCCGGCGGTTCGACGGCGGGCCCGGGGTTCAGCCTCCCGGCCTCCCTCCGTCCCTGACTCTCCTTTCTTCGGAGAGGGCGCGGGGGCCGGGGCCAAAGCGCCGCTCTTGGGGTTCTCCTGGACTCGGAGTTGCCCCAGGCGGGCGCAGCTCTGCCCCGCGGGGTGCCAGCCTCGGGCGGGCAAGGTCCGTGAGTCACCGCCTGTAACCGAACACCAGGCCTCCCTGCCCCCTCCCCCAGCTCCGGCCGCCAGGCTGCGGCGACACCTACAAGAAAATGAAGGGGCGCCCAGGCCCGCGGCGGCCCCGGCCGTATCGCGAGCAGGTCCCGGCGGCCCCCGGCTCGCGGCGCTCTTTCTTCCCCGGCCCCGGGGCTCGGCCAGCCGCAACCGCCGCCCCGGCGCCAGCAGGAATCCAGGCCGAGCGACCGGCCCCGGAGCCCGAGGCGGCGGAGGGCCCGCGGTAGCTGCGACTGGCGAGCCCGAGAGCGCCCGGGGAGGGGGCGCCCGGCTTGGAATTTCCCGGTCCCTTCCGGCCCAGCGAGGACAAAGCACTCCTGGCCGCCGCCGCCGCCGCCGCCGTGGCCTACGCCGCGCCGCACAAAGGGCGAGTCGCGACACGCTCCCATCCCCCTCCCAGCTCACGGCGGCCCCGGCCCCGGGTGGCTGCAGGGAGGTGGGGGAAGCCCTGGCTGCACCGCCCCTCGCTCCCCCTCCCCTGGGGCCGCG
This sequence comes from Homo sapiens, assembly GCF_000001405.40. Lineage (NCBI taxonomy): Eukaryota > Metazoa > Chordata > Mammalia > Primates > Hominidae > Homo > Homo sapiens. The sequence goes on along the minus strand of NC_000012.12, from coordinate 106,139,048 downwards.
CGAGCGCCGCCCCCGCCCCGTCTGCGCGTCCTCCCGGGGAGGGGTTGGGGGGCGCGGCGCCCCACATAACACTCCCCCTCCTGCGCTGCGAGCCACCCTCTCCCCTCCCTCCTGCAAACACCACCGCCTCCCCTGCCACCGCCGCCACCTCGCCCGACGCTCCACAGCTCGCCGCGGCCGGGGGGCGGTGCGCGGACCGTGCGCGCCGCGGGCGCCAGATGTGCAGTCCCCGCCGCCGCCAGTGACCGAGCCGCAGTCCGAGCGGTATCGGGCCGCCTCCCTGATGCTGCGGGGGCGACCTTGAGCGTACAGCGGCTTCCCTCGGTGGGGACCCCGACATCCCAGCGCTGTGCCCGGTCTTGCCCTCTGTAGCCCGGCTCGCCCCGCGCTTGGACATGGAAGGGGCCGCCGCGCCTGTGGCGGGGGACCGCCCCGACTTGGGGCTGGGGGCGCCGGGCTCTCCCCGAGAGGCGGTGGCGGGGGCGACTGCAGCCCTGGAGCCCAGGAAGCCGCACGGGGTGAAGCGGCATCACCACAAGCACAACTTGAAGCACCGCTACGAGCTGCAGGAGACCCTGGGCAAAGGCACCTACGGCAAAGTCAAGCGGGCCACCGAGAGGTTTTCTGGCCGAGTGGTGAGTGGGGCAATCCTGGAGGGTGCGGGGGGCGCTGGGTGGACGCGGCCGGGGACTGAGGGCGTGCGAGGCGGGGGTCTGTGCGCCCTGGGGCTCTCTTGACAGAGAGGGGGCTCATTGGGAAGCCCCGAGACAGACTCCTCACTCTTTCTCCAGCACCCCGTGACTCAGGCGTGTCTCTGTCCTGAAACACTTGTTACATCCTGTCTGCACATATTTTATTTTATTTTTTGGTTTGTTTTTAAAAATTTAATCCTAGCAGCAAAGGAATGTTTTAGATTTGCAAACACTTTGCAGCGTTGGGACGGCCGGGGTCTCTCTCCCTCGCAGGCACTCATTTAGACCATGCCCCGAAACGTCTTATTTCCACAACTCTCCAAAGAACCACATTCCCAGCTAGGAGCTAGCCCCTCAAGTCCGGTGTTTTGTAGGTGTCCCTACCCCCTTCCACCCATCTGCCCGCAGCTCCTTGCTCTGCATCCTCCCACTCAGACTCTGCATCGCCCTGATACTGCTGTGACTGCAAGGGAGGGCGACTCTTGCCTGTTTTTGAGACAAGGTTAGGGAGCAAAAATAAAGACTACTGCAAGCCTGAGGATTCTAACAGTTTGCATCATGGCTTTGGGAGGACCGAAATGTCCAGGGCATGGGTAGCTACAGAGATAGCTGTGCTTAGTTGCAGCAGGCTCAGTTGTGTTTCAGCTCCTGGTTGCAGGGCTACCAAACCGCTGAAGGGGTCTGGCCCCGCTGCTCTTGTGACAGCTGACACCCTGCCAGGGTCCTGGCACCATTTGCACAGCTCCAAGGAGTGCTTTGAGTGCCTTGGGGTCTGTCTGCCTTGTCCCAGCCTTGGTTTGTTGTTATTTTCACTTCTGCAGAACAGGCCCTTGAAATCCACACTGCTTGTGGCTAGAGAGTTGGGTTCAAAGTGACTGACTGTTGCAGAAAGATTTTGTGTGGTGTGTGGCAGAAAATTAACATGGTTCTTTGATTTGAAGCAGATCAGATGTATTCTAATCGATTTAGGGCCAAAGTCAGAAACTGATTATGGGACTCCTTGTGTGCACTTTTGGGGGTGTTTTGGAGGCTCAGGTTTGCTTATAAACAACAAATGACTGCAGGGAAAAAGGAAAATGAGCTGTCAAATAAAATAGCAGCTTAGTATTGACATGTTTCTTTTGCATTTCGGCAGGAACAGTTCTGTGAAAAAAACATGGGGGTGCCAGTCAGCAAAGTTCAGTCCCCAAATTCTCAAATATCTGGATACCCGGATAACGCCCTCCCAACCCATTTCTCAGATTTGATGTTTGGGTCTATATAACTTCGTCCCATAACGTTATTTTAAAAAAAAATCTGTTATCAATTAATTGGAAATTTGAGATGGCGTACATTTCTTTTTAAAGCTGGCTCTGTAATAAATTCTACAGCAAGCAAGTAGTTGAGAATTCACTCTGGGCAGGTGCCATTTTCGTAGGATGAAATTGTTAAAGGGGAGGGTTGTAAGGGTGGCCTCTGATGAAGGCAATTTCAGGTTTGTGGAAGAAGAGGCTGGGAAACGTGCACTTCATTCATGCTTTTCTTCTGAGGTGATATTCCCCAGGCTGGATGTTGAATAAGCAAAAACTAAGCTTAGATCCCTGCTCATGTTGTCTTAATAGCTGCTGAAGAATCGCACTGGGAAGGTGGGAAGCAGAATAATGAAAAACAGACGCAGTTCGAGCTGCAGGTTGAGAATGTGAGGCTATGAGGGGTTGTTGAAGTGGTAAGGGTGTGTCTAGGGTCTGTGAAGGGACCCCAAAGTCTAAATGCTGGGGCACTACCTCAGACCTTTCTAACGAACGAACCCTTGTCTTATGGCAGACGCCTTTCTGAGCGTCAGTGGGACTTCCTGTCAGGCGTTCTTGAGCTGTCTGATCCACAGACTAGGTTAGAGTGAAAGGGATTTGCATCAGTAGGCAGGAGTCCGCCTTTCTCTTTTGGGGGATGTCTTTCTCTGTATTTGCAGAAACTGAACATTCCGTCAGGATTTAGTCAAGCGGCCACGAGGGGGCGCCCTGAGAACGAGAGAGGCTTCTTTACCAGCCGCAAATCTGAAGTCCCGCTGTGTTATTGTTCAGCCCTAGTTCATTTTCCCATTGTGCTATTAATTTCAGCTAAATCTCTTGTTTTACCCCAAAATTATGTAAAGATTTTAAATCTGGCAGCAGACCCACGCCCAGAAACTGACAGTCTCTAAAATGCTTCGTTTATTCATGGGGCTGCTTTCTCCTTGATAGCTGAGCTTACAGAATGTTAGCCAGATCCCTGGGTAAAAACCTTGCATAAAACAGATGGGAAAACTGAGGTTTGGGGAAGGAAAGTCCTCCTTGGCCCCCCGTCCTCCCCCTGCTGAGCACACTGCTCACAGATGGTGTTAAGAACTTTAGTGAGAAACAGGAATTGTCAAGTGGAAAATTTCCTGTGACTGGCTGAACAGAAAATAACACCAAACAAACAAAAAATTGGTCAACGAGTTGTTCTTGCCCATACAGTGCCTGGTGACTCAGAACCTGTTAAGAGCAGTAAGACATTTTCATCTAAAATATGAACTTGGAGTTTTCTTCTGGTACCAGCGATGTGCTAAACATTCACAACATGCTTTGAAGGTGCAGTTGAGGAGAACTGAAAGGGCACTATCTTAATTTAGCCTTTTGATCTTTGGGTAGAATTTTGAAGTGATGTTTTATTTTCATTTGCACCAGTGCCTTTTACAGCATCTCTCAAGAGGAGCAGTGGTTCTAACGTGTTTTACTAATGTGAGTGGCCCAAGACAGGTGCCGAGTATGGGGTTGTATGAAATGCTGTGAAATCAACATCCCTGTTGAAAGCAGGGGTTCTTCTCAGAGAGGAGAGAAGTTTCTAAAAAATGAGGATGTGATGGTTTTTAATTGCATACCTGGAAGGACCTTCTGAATAAAACAAAACACAACACAGCATCATTTTCTATGTGCCGCGAAAGGCAGTTCTGAAGAGAAGTGCAGAATGAGATGCTTGGAGTCAGCTGGTGCGACCCTGTGTGTCGTCCAGGCACTCTCCTGCAGTCTTGCAGCCTCTGCTAAAGCATGTCCGTGAGACCAGGACTCAGAGTGGCTTGTTCCAGAGATGAACAAGCTCAAAAATGAGGCACTCTTGCAGAAAGGCAAAGAGCCCTGGCTTACATTCAAATCCTTGATCTATCCCCTACTAGCTTTGTGTCTTTTGGCAAGCTATGTGACTTTTTGAAACCTCAGCTTCTTCATCGGTAAAATGAGCTACTAAGAGTACCAACTTCATAGACTTGTGAGAACTGAATACAGTGATCTATATAAAACCTCAAAAGGGGACATTAATCAATTTAGTTCCTCCTTTTAGCAGATTTTTTTTCTCATCTCATTTTAGGATTTCATTAGATTTTAAGACCATCAGAGAGACAATGCATTGTATCATGCAGAGAGAGATAGAAGAAATAATCAACTTTTCAGAGTAATAAAATAAATACCAAATTAATTAGGGAGGTGTGTCCATAGGAAGATGAGATAATTAGCCAGATTCAGATAGGATCTGAACACATTTCTCAAGTCTTGAATTTGGGCCTTGTTTATTGCACAACTTTGGTTTTGATACAGTTTTGGGCAGGCCTACTGGGTGAGCCTCTGTGTCATAATTCGGCATGCATTTTCTTTGAGCTAAGCTCCCTGGACCTACAGGCCACACAAAGCGTTGCCAAAAATCCCAAAACCAAAGCCACACAATTTTATGTCCTGTGATCACCTCGATGTCAAGGGGCCAAGTTCAACTTCCTCACTGTACCAGGTTATCTCTAGTGAGCAGTAGGTGGTGTGGTGTGAGCTGGAGGCAGGGTCCCTGGGGGGGAGTCTGGGATGGGAGTGGCAGGACTGGTGGGCAATGTGTGCCCCTCCCCCACAGTCTGCCCTGGTGCCCCTGGCCACTAGAGCATTAGCTTGGGTGATGGGGCATCCTCACCTAGCAAGCCAAGTGTTTTGACCAAAAATGGGTGTTTTAAGCACCCAAAGCTATTCATAGCCTCCTGCTGGAAAACTGCAAATCAGGGAGGCAAATTAGCAAACTGGCCTGCCAAGCCAGGAGGTGTGTTGACGTCACATGCACGGTGGCAGAAGTGCCATGTTGCAGCTAAGGCCCAAATACAGTTTTAGAGTGTAAGGGACCATGGCAAACATGTGGTTCAAACTTGTCATCTTCGAGGTGGGACCAGTAAGGCGCAGAAGTGTTAAGTGACTTTGTTGAGGTTGCACAGGTCTTGAATGACGGAGCTGGATCTTAGAAACCCGATTCTTGGTTTGGTATTTTTCCATCACTCATTTAATAAATCTTTACTAGAGAAAGACATGGGCCTCACTCTTAAAGAACTTATAATCTAGTAGCAAAGGTGAAATGTACTTGCAAACTAATTCTGTTCAGTTCGATGAAGATTTATTGCCATCTGCCATGTGCTACTCACCATGTTAAATGCTGAGACATAGAAATGAGTAAGACCCAGGGAGCTTCCAGCCTGGTGAAAGAGAAGGCAGAAGTAGTTACTAGGCATGAGTAACTCTTCCATAGAGGATTGTTTCAGGTGATTTTCAAGTTGGACAACAGTTCATTGAAGCTTAGCTCATGAAAGTGAGTTTGATCCTGGACAGAATCATATTTCTACTGCTACCATTATTTACTACCAGCTGATATTTTTGAGAGCTTGTGGTGCATCCCACTGTGCTAAGTGCTTTAGAGACATTTTCCCTCACTTAACTTTCACAGCAACCCTGTGAGGTGTAAAATAGTGAGACCCATTTTACAGATGGGGAAAATGACACATAGGGAGGTTAGGTAACTTGCCAAGGGTCAGACAGCTGGATGGTGTTTGTTTGTTTGGATGGAGTTTGTTTGGAAACCCAATGCTGCTAGAGGAATTGAGAACCTTCCTTAATGTTGCACAGCTGGTGACCTCTGGATTTGGGTGTGGTTCTTTGCTAATGGTGCCAGAAGAGCAGCCATGGGGTGATCGCCCACCCTTCCGGAAGGGTATCTAGAGGAGGGGCCAGGGTATACTGTGGGATTAGAAAGTGTTCTCCAGCTAATGGGAGGACAAGTGCTGTTGAAAATGACCCTTGATTTGGGTTTCAGAGGATTGGAATGTGGGGCATTCCAAGGCATTCATTCACTTGTGTTTGGGGGAAGGTGAATATTCCAGGTGGCTTGGAATGCAGGGTTTGTGCTGGGACACAATGGGAGGGCAGGATTGGTAAGGTAAGATGGGGGTAATAATAATAATTGATGCTAATGCAAATAATAGCAACTAATACTTCTTGAGTGCTTATAACATGCTAGGTGCATGTTAACTGATTTAATCCTTATAACAATTCTGCTATCATCCCATTTTCTAGATGAAGAACCTGACTCACAGAGAGGTTAACTAGCTTGCTCAAGGTCACAGGCAGCAGCAGAGCCAGGTTTGGACCCAGGCAATGTGAATGCAGAGACCTTGACCTTAACTCTTCCTCTAGAGGGGTCTGAGCTGGGTTCTGATCACAGTGGGGTGTTGAGCCCGTCAGTTTGGTGTGCTGGCTTGGAGCAGGGAGTTTTTGCAAGAGTTGAGGTTGGGAAGATAAGAATCAGAGCCAAGTTAGGGAGAAGAGATGTGCCTGCTTCTGGTGAGCCATCTGTTTGTTGGTCTGTTTGTTGGACCTCGAGGAGTTTGTTGTAATGAATCAGGTCAGGGAGCTCTTCACCTGGACACATACAGAGTCCTTTGTTTCCCAAGCAGCCTCAGACCCTGGAGTCCCTAGGGGGCTTTGAGGGGTAAGCTGGTTCACTTCCCTGCCTGCAGACAAAAATGCCCCCACACCATGCCAGTGTGTGTTGATCTTGCTTCCTCCTGGGAAGCAGCAGGAGATAAGGGTTTGAGTCAAGGTATCTTGTCTGTCGCTGTGTCCTGTGTGTCTTGAATCCATCCTGCAAAGATACTTATTGTCAATGCCTCACATGGTGCCAAGCACATAGTAGGTCCTCAACAGAGGCTTGTAGGATGGAACTGAAGTGAATACATTGAGCGAGAGAATATCTTGGGAGGTGTCGAAGTTGTACGTTATCTTTCCTGACCTCAAGGAACTTTAGATTTGTGGGGAAGGAAAGACAACGGTTGAAAATGAATGGCAGGTTACAGAGCAATGTCTGAAAAGACAGGCAGACCCTTTTCTGCACGAATTCCCCTTCTGTTACGTTTGCACATGCATTTGTTAGGGAGAGACGTATATCCAGGGTTTGTCAGGTTTCTGGCCGTGGCTTCTTGTCCTCAGTGGCTCCAGAGTCAGACAGCAGAAGTCTCATTTGTCTTTCCCACATGAAAGTCCTGGAGCATCTGTAAGTTATGATTTGTGAAGTATCTGCTTTAAAGCAGAATGCATTTATCATCGTGCTGGCCCAGACGACATTGTAGAGCACAGGAATGAGAGGATCCCAGGCCTCAGAGTAGGAGGGGCTGGGCCTGATGACCCACCGTGAATGGAGTCTGGCTGAATTGATAAAATTCCCTGGAAACAGCCCAGGAGCAGCCAGATGTTGGCTTTACAGCGAAACTCTTCGGTAAACTTTTAACTGCATGTGAAAACCAGGGCTGGGCATTTCCACTTCTAGGTTTACCCAGGAGAAATGCAAACATATGTCCACACAGAAACTTCTACACAAATGTCTATAGAGCATTATTATTAGTAAGAGCCCCAAAGTGGAAGGAACTGATGAATGGGTAAATAAAAGCTGGCACATCCATTTCATTTGTGGAATATTACTTATGATCTATTCCATAATTTTATTTATGGAATATTTTTGGACTGTTATTCAACAGTAAAAAGGAATGAGGTACTTAATACATGTGACAGCATGGATGAACCTTGAAAACATTATGTTCAGTGAAAGAAGCCAGACACAAAAGACCACAGATTGTATGATTCCATTTGTATGTAATGTCCACAAGAGACAAATCCATAGAGACAGCGTAGATGAGTGGGCCTGCGGGTGGGGTTGGGAGTAAATTGGGAGTAGCTGCTAATGGGTGTGGAGTTTTCTGGGGGGTGCTGAAAATGTTCTAAAATTGTGATGATGGTTGCACCCCTCCGAATATACTAAAAACCCCTGAATTGTGCACTTTAAATGGGTGAATTATATGATATGTGAATTACATCTCAATAAAGCTGGTAATAACTTAAAAAGGGGGGGGCTCAGGGTGGAGAGTGGGAAAGGGGTGGAAGCCTCTATCTCTCAGGCCTCTAAGATTCCAACCTCTGGTTCCACAGAAATCTCATGCTCATTTTGTGAAAGAAGCGAAGACAATCTCCTGCCAACCATGGTCAACATAGAGAGCCCCAGGGCCAGGCTGCCTGTGTCTGTATGCCAGCCCACCCCTTGAGAGCTGTGTGACCTTGGGCTAGTGACTAATTTTTAACCTCTGGGTTCTTTGCTAGGGCTCACAATAGTTCTTCTTTTATGGATTGTTGAGAGGAAGCACCGAGGTGACATAGCTAAGCCTTTTGCCTGGTGCCTGGCACACAGTAGGTACACAATAGATGCAGCCAGGGCGATTGCTACTCTACAAGGCACCTTTGTGCAAATTAAAAAAAGGCCTCCTCCAGGTGGATACATATGAAAAGGCTTCTGTCCTGGCCAGAAGCAGCCCCTCTCCTACTAGCGGCTCTGTGAGAACGACGCGGGCTGGGGCCCATTCACCTGCCCATCGGCTGGTGCCTTGTGCATGTATGATCTGCACATCCCTGCTTGGCAGCCCTGGTGGTAGCTTGCTTTCTTCTTCCTCTTAGCTACCACTTGTCAATACTCTGTGGCTGAAGCTTCCCCATAAGAAAGACCTAACATCCCCACATTGGGGCTCAACACACCTGCTCTTCTTTTCAATCTAGCAATAAACCAGATAGATGTATTTAATGTGTGCTTAACAATGTGTCCAGCACCATAGGGACTTTCAGAGGAGGATATTACAAGTCCTGCCATTGAGATACCTAGAATTTAGTTGGGGCTATTAGATTCAGACATCTGGAATAATCTGAGAACAATGCAATAATCTGAGTATAGAAATGAGGTGTCGAGGCTGGGCACGGTGGTTCACGCCTGCAGTCCCAGGACTTGGGGAGGCCGAAGTGGGTGGATCACCGGAGGTTGGGAGTTTGAGACCAGCCTGGCCAACATGGTGAAACCCCGTCTCTACTAAAAGTACAAAAATTAGCCAGGCGTGGTGGCGCATGCCTGTAATCCCAGCTACTCGGGAGGCTGAGGCAGGAGAATCGCTTGAACCTGTGAGGCGGAGGTTGCAGTGAGTCAGGATCGCGCCACTGCACTCCAGTCTGGGTGACGGAGGCAGACTCCGTCTCACAGAGAGAGAGAAAAAAAAAAGGAATGAGGTGTGGAGGAAGAAATCCCAGCTGTCGAATCAGACAGACTTGGGTTCAAATTCTGTCCTGCTACCCAGGAGCTAGATGGTCCCAGGCAAGCTGCTCATTTTCTCTGGCTTCTGTTTACTCATCTGGAAAATGCAGCTATGAAGTATCCTACCAAGTGCAAAATATCCTACCAAGTGAGATTGCCATCAGAAATAGGATTTGGAAGCTTCCAGCACAGAGCCTGGTGCATAGTAGGCTCTTGAAAACTAGAGGTAATATTACTGTTTCAGGGAGAAGTACTAGGGTGGAGTACCCAGTGACCTTCTTATCTTGGCTCATGGCTCTCCATGCTTAAAATCCTCCCATGGTTGCATGGGACCCAAAGTCTGAATTTACCATGTCCTTCAAGGCTCATGCATGGGTCTTCAGACCACCACTTCCTTACTTCTTTGTTTCAGCCCCGTGTCTCGTGTCCTTGTGAGCACATGGAGAGTGTGTGTTGGACTATTTGTAGGCTCCATTCTTCCTTGTCTATTAGAAAGGCAGCAGGGCTGCTGTCTGTCTCACTCGTCACTGCAGCCCAGCCTGTAGCCCAGTGCTAGGCATCTAGTGGGTGCTCAGTAAGAATGAATGAATGATTGAATGAACAATTGCGGGAAGAAGCACCAGCAATCCTGAGAAGGGAGAGGTCTGTGAAGGCGGGAGTCAGCAGGGAAGGCCCTGGGGCTCCATCCTCCTCCTTCTCTGGGTCACGCTTCCCCTTAGCATTGTATGCACAGCATTGCCAGGTGCTTCTCAGTGACAGCAGCTGGAGAGGTGGCTCAAGCCCATCCCAAACCCATTTCCCACTCTTGGAGGCTGCTCCAGGCGGGTAGTTTTTCAGAGCTCAGCAGCCTCCTCAGGCTGCTCTCACACTGGCCTGGCTTCGTTCAGAGTCCAGCCCTCCATCTGAGAAGCCCAGGTAATCAGCTCTGCAGAGTGTGCAAGGTTTAGATGCAAAATGCATCTGCAAGGTTTTCAAAACATTTTTTTCTGGGTTGTAAATCAAGTACTTTAAGTATTGCAAACCGGCTGGGGTGCGGAGTTAATGTATGTCTTGAAAAAACACCATCATGATTTGCCTTTTAAATTTGAGAAAAGAATTCCACTTCCCTTACTTTTATTAGAGATATGGAGATCTCCAGGGGGAAGGCGCTAAGTGGAGGCTGTGGTAGGTGTTAGCTCCTTCCCTGGAAGGGCGGGGAATGGTGAGTGGCTTAGGGCTCAACTTTCGTCTGTTTGGCTGAAGGGCAATTTCCCTGTTTAAAAAAGGTAGCAGCTGCTTCTCTTAGTTATCTCCAGCGGGACCCCATTCACTTTTGTCTGTGTCAGGCTCACGGGCCACAAAGGTGCTTGATTGCAGCAGGTTCAAACGAAGCCTTGCTGGCTGCTGCCATTTCACTATGAACTGGGCTCAGCTCACGAGTGGTTCACCCCAACTGCCAGAGGTCACTCATGTCCCAGTCTTCTACAGGATCATGGAAGGGAAGTGGACCGTCCAATCTATACATCAAAAAGGGAAGCGGGAGTGGTGGCTCATTCCTGTAAATCCCAGCACTTTGAGAGGCCGAGGTGGGTGGATTATTTGAGGTTAGGAGTTCAAGACCAGCCTGAACAACATGGCAAAACCCTGTCTCTACTAAAAATACAAAATTGGCTGGGCACAGTGGCGCACACCAGTAATCCCAACTACTCAGTAGGCTGAGGCAGGAGAATCGCTTGAACCCGGGAGGCGGAGGTTGCAGTGAGAGAAGATTGCACAATTGCACTCCAGCCTAGGCAACAGAACGAGTCTCTGTGTCAAAAAAAAAAAAAAAGAAAAAGAAAAGAGAGAATTTGGAGCTAGGCTTCCTGGGTTTGAAAGAACATGAACCTCCAATGTAACCTTGAGATAATCAACTGTGACTCGGTTTCTTCGTCTGTGAAATGGGAGTTGCAGTGTTAACAAATTGTATGTCGAGTTCTTAGAAAAGTGTGTCGCCCACAGTGAATGGTCCATAAATCTAAGTTTTGGAAGGAGGCCTCTTTGGAAAGGCAGGATGGGGTCTTGGTCCTGTCTGTCCCTGCAGCAGCCTGGGCACGGGGCATTGCACACAGTAGGTGCTGCTGTGTCGAGCACACTTGCTTCACTTGTAAATTGAGGGCCTGAGACAAAAATGTCCTTAAGGGTCCCTTCCAGCTCGTAGGAAGAGAATCCTAGGATTCACTGAAAGGCTGCATTTCCTATTGCTTGTTTTTTGGCAGAAGGGCTCCTTGCTGGGGAAAGCAGGAAGTATCTTCAATTCTCATACACACTTTGCAAGTGTACGGAGAGTCTCCCTGTGTAGACTGTCAGCCTATGTTTAGGGAGGTCTGCTCGCCTTCCCTGCTCTCTGGTTCTGTGGGATGCAAATACATTCTATTCAGCTCAAGGCAGCCAAGGCTTTCTGAAACACGTGTATGAGGTGGCTTCTGAACTAGACTCTATGTGAGACAGAAAATGTTCACCCATGCTGGGTGTGGTTGCTTCTGCCTGTAATCCTACACTTTGGGAGGCAGGGGGATCACTTGAGGCCAGGAGCTCTAGATCAGCCTGGTCAACACAGTGAGACTCCCTCATCTCTACAAAAAAATTGAAAAGTTAGCTGGGCATAGTGGCCTGCGTCTGTAGTCCTGGCTACTTGGGGGGCCAAGATGGGAGGATTGCTTGAGCCCAGGAGTTGGAGGCCACAGTGATCTACGATCACACCACTGCACTCCAGCCTGGGCAACAGAGCAAGAACTTGTCTCAAATAAAAGAAAATAAAAAGAAAATGCTCATCCTCAAAGAACCTCTCAGTTTTCTCATCTGTAAAATGGGTTGGTAATAGAACTTAACTCCTAGGTTGTCACAAGGACTCATGGACCACACACACTCTGAGAACAGTGCCTGACATGAAGCCACTTGTCAAGCAGTGTTATTTGTTATTATTTGTGATTCAGAGGAGGGTAAGCTCATGTTCTGCTGGGCAGCTCAGAGGAATCTTTGCTCATTCCTTAGATGCTTAGACTTTAAAGGGGCTTTGCTTTTGGTCCCAGTGAGGCCAGAGGCTCCTGGCTGCCTCTGCTCTCAGGATCTCCCTGTGGACACCACTTATTCTTCCCAAGGCTTTAGCAGTGATTGGGCACATTGAGCACCCAGGAGAGCTTGGCTTCTTGATCCTGGATGACAGGTAGGCTAGAGGCAAGATTCCAGGGATGAGGAAAAGACTTAAGAGAGCCCTGTCCCCAGGGGAAGGGCTGTTTTTGCAGTCTCACTTAGAGGGAAGAATTGACTCATATGTTTACTACTATTTCATCCTTGAAGATGAACAAATAAAGCTAACCTTTACTGAGCACTTTGCCAGGCTCTGTGCTGAGTAATTTGCCTGTGTCATCTCACTGAATTCTTAGAACCATTCTATGAGATAGATGCTGTCACCTGACTTTGCCCAGAGGTAACTGAGGCCCAGGGCCCCACTGTTTGTAACTTGGGGATGATGGCAGGAATACAACCCATGTCTGTCTGAGCTCGAAATTATGAGCCTAGACTGCTTCCCAAGAAAGAGTAGAAATATCTCTGTCATTTTTTCTTGTGGCAGGTGTTCCCTTCTGCCTCTCCCAGGTAGCTGGTTTAAAAATATTTATTCAAATAGCACTGTGCTAGGCACTGGGGGAGGCAACAGGGAGTAAGATATTGCCCCGTTGAGTTCACCCACCTCTTGATTCTAGAATGTGCATCTAACCCTGACATTTGAAGATCTTCAGTCTTTGTGGTCCACATTTATCCCTCCTTGCTGGTCCTTTTAAGGAGACTGATTTCTTGTTGTATTTATTTTTCTTCTTTAATCTCTCAGAATTTTATTACTTTCTATCAAACACATCCGTTAGGCAGCCTTGGCTTTCTCAGTATCAATTAAGACAGATGCCAGCAAACCTTAGAAGCTCTCAGTGGTCCTTGAGGCAAGATAATTACCTTGTGTGATTCTTAGTAGATTTGATAGTGAACTCTTTCTTCCATTAGCAGAAGGCATGCAGGGGGGAGACTAATGGTCTGTGTCTCTGGTGAGCTCAAAGCCCAGCCGTGAACGTGTTTGCCTGGAAAGACAGGGCAGTGATGTGCTTGCTGCTCTGGGAAGAACCTCATTTTTCATCATCCTCATGGTTAGTGGGTATCTGTTTTTCAGGCAGGACCAAATGGAACACTGAGGGAGGAAATGAATGAGTGTGTGGGCGTGAAGCAGGTAGTAGAGATCCTGGAGAGGAGAAAAATGAAGTGGAAATCTCCACTTATTTGGTTGTGTAGGAAGGTCCAGAGCAGAGGGAGCATTTTTCCCTTAACAACCCTCATAGCAGGAATCATTGAGTGATCAGTGTGTGCCAGGCACTATTCTAACTATTTACGTGCTTTTTCGCCTTTGAACCTGTATTATTATCACATTCATTTCATAGATGAGGAGGCAGAGGCTTAGAGGAAGTCCAATGACTTGCCCAAAGTCACAGAGCCAGGATCACAGGATGTAGGGCTGGACCGTCTGACTTCAGGGTTCATGATTACAACCACTGTTGGAGCCGGACTTAAAGCACAGAGAAGTTGCCTCCGTGCTTGGGAAAATAGCAATATGAAGAACTTAATTTCATGATCCCAGTCGTTCTATGTCTTACTCATTTATATGCTCCCAGTGCCTAGTTCAGTGCCTGGCACACAGTCAGAATGCAAGAAATATTTGTCAAATGGCTGTGGAGTGTTATGAGTCTAGGTATGTTGGGAGACTTGGCTGCTGGTTCCATCACTGCCACAACTTAAGCTGTGTGACCTTGGGCAAGACATGCCCCTCCATGGCTTCAGCTAACTTATCTGTAAGATGAGCGCTCTGGGCCAGATTTTTGTTTTAAAATTTATTATCCATTCAACAGATATTTATTTATTTATTTATTTATTTATTTATTTATTTATTGAGATGGAGTCTGGCTCTGTCGCCCAGGCTGGAGTGCAGTGGCGTGATCTCGGCTCATTGCAACCTCCACCTCCCGGGTTCAAGTGATTCTCCTGCCTCAACCTCCCGAGTAGCTGGGACTACAGGTGTGCACCACCATGCCTAGCTGATTTTTGTATTTTTAGTAGAGACGGGGCACAGGCTGGTCTCAAACTCCTAACCTCAGGCGATCCACCTGCCTCAGCCTCCTGTAGTGCTGGGGTTACAGTCATGAGCCACCACACCTGGCCATTTAACAGATATTTATTGATTGCATTTTCTGTGTGAGATACCACTCTGGATGGTAGGGAGACAGCCATGGTGAGACAGATGACGTTTCTGCTCCCTTCCTTGCAGCTTACATTCCAGCCGCTTCTAGAAACTGCATTTTGTGAATCTTCATGTCTTGCCCCAAAATTGTTTCAAAGTGGCAGTTGCTGAATTCTCTTCTGTTTGCCTTCCCCTACTAAAAGGCAAGCCAGGGCAGGGGTTTTCATCAGTTTTGCCTACTGATGTACCCCAAGTGCCTAGAACAGTGCTTGGCAAGTTAATATTGCTGATGTGCATGCATGCATGAATGATTGCAATATCTCCTCTGCTAATGAGATCCCAGGATATAAAAATTCTAGGGCTGAAGCCTAAGAAAAAATTAAGGAGCAAAAATCAAATTTTCCAGGAAAAAATCCCATTTTCCAGGAAAAATACTGTCTTTATAAAGGCAAGAACAGTTGAGATTGGGATGGTTTATTATTATTCCTGCTAGTTGAGGGATTAGGGAATCAGGCAGGATTCCTTACTTTTTCATCTGGTGATGCTTTTTGCAAACCGCAGAGAAAACAAAACAAAAACAAAAACTCTTCCTTTCCCCCAACCCCTTTGCTTCAAGCAGAAAAAGCACTTGCTTCTTAAAACAGCTCATGAAGGAAAAAATTATAACGAATATTTTGCATTTCTCTGGTGGCGGCACAGTCTGAATTCCATTCAGCCCCACAATGAGTTCTAATTTTATGAAATGTTTGGATTAGCCACCAATTTTCCGGTGGAATTTAGGAGGCTTGTACTCGTACTTACGCTTGAAGCAAAGAAATCTCATAAAATCCTTGCAGTGTCTCGGGCCCAGTGGGACGTTGTAGCCAAGGACAAAATGACCATCAGCAGAATGACGGGGAGGAAAGAGATCTCTTTGGCAGCTGTGGCCTGGCTTTGCAGATGGTGGTGTGATCCTGAGCTGCAGTCTCTGGGGCTTGGCCGGGCTGCATACCATTTTCAACTGATCATGGGCTATAAAAATTCCAGCCCAAGCACAATGCCTCGTACCTGACCTTGTTCTTTCAATTCCCAGAGCCAGAGAACATTAGGGCATCTGGTAATTGGGTGAGAGGCATTTGATATAGCACATGGTGCTCTGTCTTCCCCTCCTCATAGCTCATGTTGCCTTTTGTTGTAATTTCCAGCTCACATATCTGCCTCTTTGCCTCTCGACCTGCACTGTCTAATATGGGCACATATGGCTATTAAAGTTAAAATTAATTATAATTAAATAAAACATTCAGTCCCTCGGTGGCACCAGCCACATTTCAAGTGCCCAGTAGCCCCATGTGGCTAGTGGCTATCATGGGATGTTGCAGAATAGATCATTTCCACTATCATAGAAAGTTCTGCTGGGCAGGACTAGTGCTGCTCTAGACACTAGGTTGAATGAGGACATGGCACACACTTGGCCCCTTACCTTGCTTTATTAGCTCCATAGCACACATTATGATCTATAAAGTATTATGTCTCTGAGCAACCTCGTTCATCACATTTTTTGTATCTCCGGTGTCTAGAACAGTTCCTGGTATGCACTAAGCACCCAGTAACGATTTTCAGAATGAATGAAATTGCCTGAATCAGCATTGCTTTGCATGAGCCTAACACATAGTGAGTCTTCAAACAAATGGAACAAATACTTCTAGAGGTGAAACCATGTAATGGATTCATCTGATATTTGTCGAGCATGGACTACAGGTTGGGCGTTATGCGAGGCTCTGGGTATATAGTGATGAGCAAACAAACAGATCCTCTGGGTGAGGAGCTTATTCAGTCCAGTGGCTCTTAAATTTTCAGGGATGTGGGAATCTCCTAGGTGCACCTGTTAAAATATACCATCCTTGGCACTGACCTCAGAGAGTCTGATTCTGATTCAACAGGGTTGGAGTGGGACTTGGGGACACCCGAGTATCTTCTGCATTTTAACCAAGCAACTCAAGTGAATGTGATGGGGGAAGTCCATGGTCTTTATTTTGAGAACACAGCTCTGGACAATGGGAAGCTAGTTGCTGTATTCATTTGGGGATACACCACACCATTTTCTCTCGTCTATACCTTCTCTTGTGATAAATGGAGGGCTCCTATTTGGGCCTGAAACTTGAGGTTTCTTTTCTTGTTATCCAATCATGGAGTAATAATAATGGCAAACAATTACATAGCAGCAATTACATGCCAGGCGATAGTCTAAGCATGTCAGTCACTGACCTGAATTCATCCCCATGGTAACCCTAAGAGGTGAACACCATTATCATCCCCATTTTTCAGGCGGATAAACAGGCACAGAAAACTAAGTCACTTGCCCATGTTTACACTCCTTGTAAGATCTGAAAATCCTGAACTGCTGTGATACTGCCGCTCATGGCCACTGGACTTGGGGCAGCTGCCTCCTGAATGCCCAGTGTGCCTTTTTATCCTTTTCTGCTAGTTGCTTGGAATCAAAGTTCCAGTATACTTATGAAATGCCTGTTTAGGGGATTACCACGTGTGGATGTTATGAGCACTGTTGGTCTACAAATATCCACCCCTGCCCCCAAGGAGCTTAACTGTTCAATGGACATTCCCTTGGGCCTACTGTGCACCAGCCCTGTGTAGTACACCCAGGCATAAGACTTGCACTTGGTCTAATGGAGGAGACAGAGGCACAGGCAAAGAGTTTCTGAGAAAGTGTCGCACACAAGATAGGTTTTCTTCTAGATGAGAAAAGCAAAGAAAATCTTTAAGATTGGGTTTTCCTCACTTTTGCTACTTGTGACTCAGTTTTTACATAGTTTTGCTGTTTCACCCAGTAGGGGTGTGTGCATGTGTGTGTGTTTTGTGTGTGTAGGGATCCACCAACCCGTTCTGTCAGCACTCTTGTTCATACCTGCTTTTCAGGAGGGATGTTCCTCCCTCCCCACACCCCCCCACCTTTTTTTTTCCCGAGACAGGGTCTCGCTCTGTACCCCAGGCTGGAATGTGGTGGCACAGTCTCGGCACACTGTAACCTCTGCCTCCTGAGTTCAAGTGCTTCCAGTGCCTCAGCCACCCAAGTAGCTGGGATTGCAGGCACCCGCCACCATGCCCAGCTAATTTTTGTATTTTTAGTAGAGATGGGGTTTTGCCTTGTTGGCCAGGGTGGTCTTGAATGCTTGGCCTCAAGTGATCTGCTGGCCTTGGCCTCCCAAAGTGCTGGGATTACAGGTGTGGGCTACCACGCCCAGCCTCCCACCCTTTTTTAACCACTTAGAAAGACAGGAGACCCCTTAGAACTGAGAGCTGCTTCGAACTCCTGACCCACGTGGGAGAACCTTGAAAAGAGAAGCGTGAAATGAGGAGGGGTTAACATTTAGAAACCACCTTGTGTGTGCCTTCTGCAAGATACACTAAGTGATGCAGTTTACATACATTATCTTGTACCGTCTTCACAGCAACTCTGTGACGGGGAGTGATGATCGTCCTCACTTTAGGGTTAAAGAAACCGATGCTCAGACAGAAGGGCTGATCTGCTCAAGAAAGCAAGAGAGCATTGGAGTTAAAAGCTCGGGTCTGCCTGACCCCGCTGTGGGTTCTTTCCGCTATGTGGCTAGTTCTCAGGCCTGGCTGAGCATGAGAATCACCTGGGATCTTTTCAAAACACTGATGTCTGGACTTTACCCCAGGCTAACTAAAGGAGGCTGCCTGGGGAAGGAACTCAGGTATCAGTATTTTTAAACAGACCCGTAGGTCACTGTAATGCACTGCTAGGGCTGAGAGCCACTGGCTAGAGCATGCTGACAGCAGAAGTTCAAGGGTCTGCTCTCCTGAAGGTGGCCCCATCCATGCCTGGTCAAGATGGGACCTTGCTTACAGGAAGGTGAGCCCCCTCCTCCATCCTCGCCCCTGTGGGACCGGTGTGTCCGAAGCCATTGCACTGGACCTGGGCCGAGACCTCTTGCTATCTTGCGTCATAGGCTGCCTGTAAATCAGCAGCTGGCTTGTTTGCTTTTTAGGCCCCAGTTGTAGTGACCTTTGACTGTCTGTTTATTTCAGGGAAATAATTCCATCCTGCGAAATCAATTCCCTGGGGACTACAGAAGTACATTTGGAGGGACTTCTGTTAGTGGGGTGACCTGAGATGGCTTCTCAGAAGAGGCGACAGCTGCTCCTTTTCTCCCAGCCCCCTTCTCACTTTGCCCCCGACATCGTCCTCTGAGTCTCAGATTTTGAAGTTCTCATTGTGGTGTTTGTATTTGCACACGCCTCTGCATAACGTCTGTTCGTTATTATTATAATAATAAAAATGATAAGAACAGCCAGCATTTTTGGAGCATATACTGGATGTTGGGCACAATATTGGGCATTTTCTCTATGCCGTCTCACATCACTTTGCCTTTTCTTGGCAATGATGAGGGCAAATCTAAGTCTGAAATTGGACTTCTTATCCTTAGCAAAGGGCCAGTTGCAGTGGTGCTGTAAGTTTCTGGTCCTGTTGGAGGCCATGGTCTGTAGAGACTGCGATATTGGAAGTGGTAGACTTGGCTGAGATGAGGGTGGGTAGTTGGCTCATTGTGTGGACCGGTGTGGGAAAAGCAGAGAGTAGCCCAACAGCCCCTAGTGTTCAGCCTGCCATGAGCCTCAGTCAAGGGAATGGAGAACGCTGGTTAATCGGATGCTTTGGTTAAGTGGAAATACTAATAAGTTATAATAGAGAGCTCTAAATATATTTTTTTCCAGATAATTGAAGCTCACCCATTTAAGAGCCAATCCTCTTAAACATTGTAGGCATTTCTTCAGGAAATCTTTCTCATCGGGATGCACACTTTCTTGCCTTCTTAAAACAAAGTTCCTTGAAGGTAGTGAAAACTTTTTCTTGATGAGTTTGAGAAAATTCTCCTCAATGGTCCTCTGTACTGTGTTTTGGAGTTCTCATGTCTGCTATTTATAGTTTGTGTCTGTCATCTCCCTTATTAACTTTCATTCCTCTTTGTGACCTTTTTAAAAAATAAAATTCTTCTTTTCCCTTAGCGAAAATAGTGCATGCTCAATACTGAAAACTCGCCAGATACAGAAAAGTTAAAGATTAAGGGGAAAGTGAGTTGTCATGTCTTGCTTCTGTCAGTGAGGCTGTGTCTAGCAGCTTTCTAGTTCCATTTTTCCAGCTTCCCTACAGATTTTCTGTGAGTAAGCTTTCCTCGTAATTGTGTTAGTAGGAAAACTATGGGTGACGATCTGCAGGGGCGCCGTGCATGGAATCCATGGCATTTCTTTGAGTGGCATTTCTAAGGGCTTATTTCCATTCCCCAAAGTCTTCAGGGCTGAATGGCGCTCCAAGCATGAAGTCGTGTTTTCTGGGTAACAGGATGAGCCACCTTGGAGTAAATAGGGCTGGTCGGGGTCACTCAGTTAGGATGTGGCTGAGCTGGGTCTCTTGACTCAAGGTCAAGTGTATTTTCTATTTTGCTACCTCTTACCTGTGTTTTACACTACAGGTTAAGAGATAGTGGTTTTGGCATAAAGAAGCTATTGCTATATTTGGATAATTAAAACCAGGAAAAACCTACCTTTATCTCAGTCATCTATGTTGCTCAAGTGACAGATTTTTAGATTTCTTTTTTGAGGGAGTAAGAAGTAGAATTTAGTCCCCTTATTAGCATGCCAGACCCAGTCTCTGTTGGAACATCAGTCTTAGATTAATACTGAGATGGACTCAGAAATACACTTGAAAGCAACTTGCATTATTATCCTTACATAGCTTACATTTTATGACCTGCTTAAAGATGCAAGGAGCATAAATCTTGGGAAGGATGGTCTTATTTACTTGTTCGTCTTTTCTGCAGATGGGATGCTCACATTAGAGCCGGGCTGGCTTCAGATGTCTGCTCCAGGATATTTTAGCTGAACTGTATGAGTCCATTAAACAAATGTAAGAGTTTTTGGGAAAGAAGAGCAGTGTCTCAAACCAAATGTTTTACATGGAGAACATCTGGGGAATATTGGTATTTGTGTGTACAGTACATCAGAAAGCAGCTTGGCGGGGTTCCGCAGGGATGTTTCTGGCCTGTGGTTGCTGGATTTGACAGTTTTGTTGTAAGGGAATGGTTCTTATAAAGTATTGCCATCAAAGCAACGCTTGATCCAGGAAGGAGTGTCCTTGCTTAGCCGCACATTCAAATTGTTCTGATTAGCTCCCCGACCAGACCTTCCACGACATTTGAGCAATCTGCTATCTGAGCTAGTTTCCCCCAAGGCTTTACATTCCAGAGAAAGGAAGCATCACAATGCCAGGGCTAAGAGTGTTTTCTTCCTTACCACATATTTCCATAGATTTGACAAATGTGGAAACAGGCGTGGTCCAGTGGAAGCAGCATTGGCCACTGGATCCAAGTACCTGGGTTGAAACTTGGGTGGGGCCTTTGTGACCTGTGGAAACTTGGGGAGTTCTTGTTGGTTTCTGTTTTCCTCTCCTGCAAAATTTCTAGCTTATCTCATGGGGTGGTGGTGGGGGCAATAAAATGAAGTGGGATGACATTGTATCTATAGGTGGGAGGCCATTCATACAGCATGGTATTGCCTCCATGGATTTGTGGTCTTAGCCACAAGTACAGAGGCAACTTGGACCAGAGTGGAATCTGGGTAGACTGCCCGACTTCAGCAACTTGTAGATATTGGGCCAGGTAGTGGGTGGATAGGTAAGAAAGGAATAATTCTTATACAAATTAAGACTTACGATAGTCATCATTTTTTATAAAATTAAGCTCAACAAATATTTATTGGAAGTCTACTACTATAGAGCCAGATCCTTTCCTAGATATTGAGGACACAGAGGGGAACACAGCAGTTCCTGGCTTGCAGTCTCTGCTTGCTATGTCTGGGGCATTGACAATGAATGACCTTCCCTTTTGTTAGGCTATATACTGACTGTCATTGTGTAGCATGGACAGTGGCAGGTAAATAGTTTGTAGGTGTGAACATTATTTGGCAGAGAATGAAGCTGGACTTCCTGCACCTTTGTGCAAAGTAGGTCAATGTTATCCTTACTGAATCCCTCCCCTGAAATGGGATGAAGCTCCACAATAATTTGATATTGTATTTTTGTGGTGTTTGACGAAGTTATTATAAAAATGACATCTATGTGGGTCCTGAAGACTGCATTTCAACTAGTACCGGTCAAGTGAAGTAGGCCCATTTTATGGAGGAGATGACTGAGTGTAAGGCACGCAGTGTGAGAGAGAAGCAGCAGCAACACTGCCTTGGCTTTTTTTGGAAATGGGAAAATGAATAGCTGAGCAAAGTGAGACTCGGTTTTCTGGTTTGAACTGATAGTTATTTAGGAGTGTGAGAAAGACACAGGGATAGAAATGGGGGAGCCATGCATGGAATGACTTCTCAAGAGGCCCCATCTGTGTGCATACACATCATGTGTCTGTGGGCTCCCAAAAGAACACTTTGCTGGGATGGTTCTTGAAACCTTAGAAAGAGCATCTCCAGGGCTAGCTCTAGAGTTGTGTGCCTGCCTGTTGGCATGGGAGAGGGTGAAGTATCTTGGTCTCTTTCAAAAGGCATCTTGGGGGTAGGAATAGTCCTCACAGTGAAGTCAGGGTGTTCCTCCCAAAAGGAGAGTGAATAGGGAGGGGCTGGGCAGGGAGGAGCCCCTGTGTCTACTGGCCTTTCCAGTAGGATGGTAGGCAACTTGAAGGGTAGGTCTAGTTCATGTTCTCTAGGACTGGATCAATGCCTTATCCAGAACAGATTTTCCACAATTGCTTGCTGTGGAATCGACTCATTCTCACATCGTTTTAGGGACATGCCTCCCAGCCCCTCCCATACAATTCTGCCTTTTGCCCACCTGGTCCCACAGAAAGCAGCAGGAACACTGATTGATAGATGTGCTTTTGAAGATGGAAGTGGTTTAAATATTAGCTAACAAAAGGACTTCTGGTGGGGACAAGGCAGTGCGGCCTCGATGGGGCCTTCATGTCCAGAGGTTCTGATTCAGCTCATATTTATGTAACACCTACTATGTGCCAGGCACTGTGCTGATTGCTTTGTCAGTGTGCTTCAGAGGTTAAGAGTATGGTCTTTCAGCGTATGGAGACCCAGACCTCCTATTTATTTATGTGCCTTAGGGCACGTTACTTAACTTCCCTCAGACTCAGTTTATATTCATTGAGAAGGCAGAAATAATAATGTTTTTGTAAGAATTTAATGAGTGAGAGGTTGAGAGGCTTAACAGAAAGGTACTGAGGGCCTGGCACATAGTGAGGGCTTGATAACTGGTAATTATTATGACTGCTAGCTTTTATTGTGAATCACCCCCAACCCCTCTGGAGTGGGCACTGTTATTGTCTCCATTTGGAAGATGAGGAAGTTCAGGCTCAGTGATTTTGGGACAAGAAGGGATTCCACGTTTGAAAGGTGAGCAAGTAAAAGAAGGCTCAGCGGCAGATGGCTGGGGTTTAGGTTGGCTGGAATGATCAGATGTCCCACTATGGTTTTCTGTTTGTCAAGGGTCCTTCTTAATACTTGGGCTCCATTTTAGCAACAGCTTTTTTGTATATACTGTACATTAGGCACATGCTTAGTACTGGAGATGCCGTGGTGCATAAAACAGAAATGATTTTCGTGCAAATGAAGCTTATGAGCAATGGTGAGCGAGGTTATAAAAGGGGACCCATATCTGCAAAGGGGTCATTGCAGGGGATGGGCCATGTCTGCAGCAGATGGATGCAGAGGAGTTGGTCAACCGAAAATGTTAATGGCGAGGACAGGATGTGGAGGATCCTGGCAGAGAAAATGGCAGGTGCCATGTCTAGGGGCATGAGCACACTCCCCAACCCAGGGCACAACTAGGGTCTCCAAGATGACCACAGACCCCTGCCCCAGCCTCCTTGAGGGTAGGAACTGAGAGTTGAGTACTGGGCGAGGCTCATCCCCATGATGGGACGGCAGGAAATGCTCGTCTGGGGCCGAGCACACTCCTCAGCTCAGCCTGCGGTTTCTTGGGGCTGTGCATTTGCAATGAGCAAGAGCATCCCAGCAGGCAGGCTTGTGGAGCACTAATGAGGGAGATGACAAGCCTCCCGATGGATCTTGCAACGGGCTGGGGAGGAGGGACCAGCCTTTTAACTCTAGGAATAATGGACAATGAGAGCTTCTCTTGGAAGGAAAAAGATGCTTGTGAGGAGATAATGAGAGAGGCCTCGGGGGCTCCTGAGTGCTCTCCAGAGGCTTTGGGGGACGGACTGCAGCCTGCACGGTTGCTCCCGCCCTATCTGATAGGTCTTGTACATTGCTATAAATCAGTTTTCTAAACAGAAGAGATTCTGTCTGGATAAAAATAACTTCTGCAGAATCTTCTCTTTCACTTATTTATAAAACCATTCATGATTAGAATATAAAATAAGATAGAAAGTCATGCCTCTTTTTAGCTTGTTGTATTTTACCATATTAAGAAATGAAGAAAAGTTTTTTTGGTTCTGCTCACCTGGATCAGCTAAACTCAACTGACTAATTTCCTTTCCCTTTGGAAAACTAATTTTGCTTCTTAGGTTTTTGTGTTCCTAGCTCATTGTCCCCAAGGTTAGTGATTCAGTAGTGGCCTGAAGTTATCATTTAATAGCAGTGTTTGCAATGAATTAAGAAATAATAGGATGAAAACTTCCCAAGTATGCGTATTCATGGGTGATATTAAATCAGTCTTCAGAAATTGGAGGAAAGTTTGGATAGAACTGAACTGAAAACAGCGTCTCTGGCATAGCTATGTGAGGACAGACATTAGATGGAGGTGAAATACACCAAGCTGCAGCACAAGTCATGATTTGTCAGCACCCTGAAGAGTATCTGCCACTCCCATCTCGGTTTATTAATGATGCAACAGTTCTGGGGACTTGGCTGTGACTGGAGCCAGCCTCCCATGTAAATGTTGAATTTTTTTTGTGGCAGTTTCAGCCCTGCTGCTCACTGTGGCTTAGTATTTGATTAGGAAGGACCCCTTGCTCAGAGTGTTTATCCCTCCTGGAGTGGGAATCAGGACTCTCTTGTTGCAATTCCAGTGCTGCTGATAACTTCGTGAACTTGGGGCCTGTATGTACTTTAACCTCCCTGGGACTCAGTTTCCCCATCTGTAACATGAGGAGATTGGCATAGAGCATTCTAAGTCCTTACAGCTCTAACATCTACTCATGATAACAGTCCTCATTTTGGCTTCTGCCGTAGGTACTATTTGCCTTCTCTGCCTTCCATCATATACACAATCTGCCATGTTGCCACAGCAACCTTGTGAGGTTGGTACCATCATCATCCTCATTTGCAGGTGAGGAAACTGAGCCGGTGGCGTGATTATCCGAGTCCCTCTCCTTATAGGAGTCGCCTTGGCTGGGTTGCTGTGACTGATGACAAGCCCAAGGTGCAGATGCTGGATTTCTTAGCAGTACTGGCTCGGGTTCTTCTGGGTTTGGAGGTTGATAAATAAAAGTTGCACAACCTTAAGCTTATCCAAGCCTTGTTATAAACAGTGTCAGAGTGATCAGATGCTACCAGTTGAGGCTGTCCAAGTTGTAAGCAACCTCAGCCCTCTGGCCCAGCCCTTTCTCTCCCTTCCCAGGGCAATTGTAACCTGGAAGAAAAACAGTTGCACTTTAGAATTCTGATTTGGTGTTGCATTTGGCTTCAGAGACGTGAACGTCCAAAAATAAACAGCTGCTTGGCAACTCCAGTCTCAGCTAAATGGCCTGGCATTTTCAGTCTTTCTTTGAATCTGATATTGTCTGTGTTAGCGTCTCTTGTGTTACCAGAGGCTTTTTCGTGCTCCGGGTTATGTGTAGACTGTGAAGTAACCCATCCACACCCACATTCCCTGGCATCACTTCATCCACAGGCCCTCCTTGGGCTGGGACTAGGGAGATACCCATTGGAAGCAAACTTTCCATTTACCAGGGGTAAATTAATTCAAGTCACTGAGCCCCCTCAAGGAAGCCTGTGTTTAATTCCTCTGTGTATAAATGGAAGGTTCATTAATTTTCATCAGTCATCTAGTATGTAATATAACTGCTTCCTGTTTAAGCTACAGAACAATAGGTGTCGTCAGGGCCACATTTACCCTGCTTTAAGGTGACTGCTCTCAAACCTCAGAGTGCAGCAGAATCACCTGGGAGGCTGTAAAGAATGCTGATACCAGGTCTGCCCCCTACCCTGAACACTGCCACCTTCATTCACTAGCTCTGGGGTGGGCCCAGGAATCTGCATTTTAGCAATCAGTTTCCCCTTTCCCCCTAACCAGGGGATCGGAGGCAGGTGATCTGCTCACCACCCTTGGACAGATAGTGCTCTAGAGTCTCTGACTGTCCTTTTCAGGCGGGTTTGTGGCTCACTTTTGGCATGCCCACTCAGCACGAACTTTCCGGTGGCCTTTTTGCTATTTCTTTGGTTCTTGCCTGGTCAGCCACGGTTTGTATCTTATGTTTACAAACCTCAACAGGGAGTGTGAATCTGCCCACGGTTTCTTAGTCATTAATTCCACTTCCCTTGTGGCATCACCACTTGCAATGACATTCTTAGCTCAGTCTTTGAAGGGGAGAGGGGTGGGGGTGAGTCTTAGAGACCAAGGAATGACTGTCCCTGTAGATAAAAATGTCCCAGCCCTGAGGTCCTCCTGAGCTGGCCCAGGCCCAGTCAAGCACGAATCTGCTTTGTTTTTTATGTTCTGAAAATAGAATGCATTTTTTATGGCAGGAGAGAAATCAATATCATCACAGGAATCATCATCTCTTTTATGTAGAATTTTGAGAAATAGAGGTTTGAGAACCAAGTTACAGAGGATTAAATTTTCAGAACCTCTTACAACATTAAAGGGCTGATGAGGGCCAGTGAGGGGATGCCACTCTTTGAAGGAAAAGCTCCTAGCTACACATACCATGCTCCCTGGCTTCAGTGCCTCGCCTCAGAGCCTGTTGATACAACTCTTGGCTTCCAATCCATTTCTTTCTGAAATACATTCATGTAGGACATGAACCAACAGGCTAAAGAGGAAGGGAAGAAGAGGCCCATGGGCCCCCAGGCAGAGCTGGCTTGGTTCCCATGGGGCCCGTTGCATCACAGCAACTTGCTGGGGTGTTGTTCTGAGTTGGCCAGGCCCCTCCATAAAGAGCCCGGGGTCATTTAATTAATTAGGGGCTTTGTTTGCAAGATGGGTGGCATCACCGTGGTGACTGTCCTCGGCCAGAGGCTTTTTGAGTGAAAGCCACATGGTGATCCTGGGAGCTTTGGACCGGTGTGGCCTCGGTGGGGCTGTGCCTTGCCCCACACTCTGTGCATCTCCCAGGCAAGAGCAGGAGCACTTTACAGCCTCCAGCCGGGCTTGGCTGCCTGCTCCTGCTGCAGGCGGCCTCTGGGCTCCTAGGTAAGGAGAGATCCCCTGAGCTGCCTCTGACTTCGTGCCCTGCAGCTCCCGTGGAACGTGCCTGGGTATGAGATCACACCTTGTGAATGGCAGGGAAGTTGCCAGCTCGTGTTGCTGGGATTAGGATGCAAACTTGTTCTCACTAAGTGATGCTAATGCCATATTTATGACTGTGTTTCTTCCCTGCTGCTCAGCCCTCCAGTCCCTCCTTTTGGGACCTCACATATGACCCTGTAAAACTTCATCTGCTTGGAGGGGGGTCCATCTCACTAGGCTTTAGGGACCCTTTCGGATCCTACAGGAGATTCTGTTCCCTGTGATGTTTTCTATTCATCCCAACTTTATTCATAGCCTTAAAAATCAGCAGCCTCTGGGCTCGAATTCTAGCTCCACTTTTTTTTTTTTTTTTTTTACAGGCTATGTAACTTTGGGAAATATTTATCTTTCCTGGCCTCAATGTTCTCATCTGTAAAATAGGATTGTAGGTAGGCTTAAATGAGATAAGGTCCACTGGCACATGATTAACACCTAAGAAATATTAATTATTGCTATTATTAAGAATATTGCCACTGATTTAAAAATGTTGAGGGTCAAAGACGAAGCACTAAGACCTGGCTACTCCAAGTGTGGTCCCTGGGGCTGGCATCACCTGGGACCTTGCTGGAAATGCAGAATCCCAGGCTGGATACCCAGACCTATGGATTCAGAATCTGCACTTTTTCAAGATGCATGGGTGACTCCTATTTGAGAGGCACTTCAAGAATACTCCTTGAAGTCCAGCTTATATCAATGAATGAGCATGCAGGGAGATGGTTGCAAAAGGAGGAGGGCAGGGATTCTCTTGGTTAGAGCCTCGACGACATACAACCTGCCCAGACTCTCTGCCACGCCCCCAAGGCTGGTCCTACACTACACAGGCGTCCTCTCCATAAGACACCAGGACACCCTGGGGCTGGCCGGATATTAATTTTAACCTGCTTTTGCCACTGTGCAAATGTGGGGAGGGGAGGATATGTGTGGGGGTGGAGAGGAGCCAAGAGACCTATGATATGATTTGCTGTGGGCTCATTACCTCTTAAGTGTGGTTTATAATCACTGCCATTCAGTGAATACTGTGTGCTGGGGCCTTTACTTACCTAGTTTCCACTCCTCACAACAACCCCAAGAAACAGGATTTTGTAACCCCATTTTACAGGTGAGGAAACCGAGACCTGGGAAGTTTGGGCTTGCCTGAGGTCACCCAGCCGGTGACAGTCTGAGCATTTACTCTTCTACTCTGCATCCCCCAGCCCTTCCTAGGTCACCAAGCTCTGAACACCCACAGCAGCCAATGTGGGAGAGGATGCCCAGCAGGCCACAGAGCAGGTGGTTTTTGGTGATTATTCAAAAAAGGAAAAACCTCCAACCCTCAAGAGGAGGCTGTGCCTGTTGCATGTAACAGAATTGGCTGGGCTGAGTTTGCCTCTGAAACAGGCAGGCACTGCAGGGCGGGATTCACAGGTTCTCCACCAAACCTGCTGCTGCAGAAGGTTTAAACATTAAACCATAAGGTGGCCTTATTTAAAAGCAGACCATTTTATAAGGCACATGGTACTGTCTAGACTTGGGAACATTTATGAATGTGGCTGTACTGTGAGTCGGGCTCAAACACCTGAGTTCCCTCCTCCTCTCAGGCTCTCTGACTTGTACAGGAACAAATGGGATTTTTAGGGGTGGAGGGTGTGTGATTTCAGACATTTGGTAATCTCTTCCTGCTGGGCCCCTTCCTTACCTCTGTGTTTCTTTGTAGATGTGAGAATTGAGGAAAACTGGAGAGGAGGTTTCCTCCGCAATGCCGGGCATGTCTGTGCATTTCTTTGGTAGCCCTGGCCATGAGGGTAATTATGTAATTACTGGTGTGAGTTTTGCTTATTGCCCGTACCCTCCCCACCCCACCTCCCACCTTGAGGGCTGGAGCAGTCGCGCTGGCTCCCTTTTGTGTAGCCGGTACTTGGTAGGTTTTCAAAAAGAACAAGTGGATGAACAGTCAAATTTCATAAAGGCTGAAGTGTGAATATCTTGAGGCTGAGTTTTGATTTTAAGTAGGAACATATTTGTGCCCTGTTCAGCTGAATGGTGAAAGGAGACAGTGTGGGAGCGGGTGGAGAAATGCTCCTGGGATTGCTTTTTGGGTTCAAGATGTTCATCCTCCTGTCTGGTTTGGACTCAGGAGCCCTGCTGATAATGGTGTGTAACCAGCTGATCTGATCTTCCTGATTTCAGATGAGGTTGCAATGTAAAGACCCAGGATGGAGATGCTCTTGTCCTTTATGTACTATGAAAACATGTCCCTAAGACCTCCACTCACTGTCTCTTGAGGAGCCAGGAGGAATTCAAGTTTGCTCTGAAAAAGAAAGGAAGAAGGGAAGGTTCTACTTACAGAACACTCACTCTGGGTTAAAAAAGACTGACACTTATTTAGCAGTTACCCCCTGGCCCAGGTGTATTCTTGAGCACCTGATGTGTAATCCTTACCAGGACCTATGAGGCAGGTACTATTATTTCTCTACTAGATGAATGAGAAAACTGGTGCACAGAGAGGTTATGTAACCTGCCCAGGGTCACACAGCTAGAGGGTGATTTTAGCCTGGACTTAAAGCCATGTTCCTAAGCATTATGCAATACTGTCTGTGCACTGGCTCAGTGTATCCTTCAACTTCCTGAAGCAGATACTTTTGCAGGAGCTGCGTTAGAGATTTTCTTTTTTTTTTTTTTTTTTTCCTTAACAACCCTTAAACAATATGACAATCATTCTTAGCTCCCTGGGTCCTACAAAAACAGGCTGAATATGTGGCTAATAAAGTAGTTGGTGTGAAATGCTCCAGAGAAGATAAAATGGGAAGGGTATAGAGAGAGGGAGGTGGCCATAAGTGTGGCCTTATCAGCTAGAGGGATCAGGAAGGATCTCCCTGAGAGGGTGGTGTGAAGCTGAGGCTTAAATGAGAAGGGTGCAAAGATCCCTGGCATGTAAAGCATTCAGCACGGTGTCTGCTCCATATATTAAGTGGCTAATGAATACTGGCCATTACTATTAGTAGTAGTAGTGCTTTTTTGTTTTGTCATTAACCGGCTGTCTGAACCTTGGATGGGTCCGCCACCACTCTGGGAGTAGAGCTGAATGTCTTCCCTCCAGCCTTGGCAGGTGCACAGATGAGAGTGATTTCTAGCATTTGTCTCCTCCTGACTTCCTGTCACCCCTTTGAAACAGGGGAGCAGAATGCACCCTCTTTTACATTTTCAGTGGAAAAATCATTGTAGGAAAAGGGAAAATTTTTGTGGAGAGACAGCCACTATGCTTATTAACATTTATGGAGCCCTTTTAGTTTCCTCAGTGCTGAGCAAGGCTTGATGAGAATGTGGGCACTTTCCTTTTCACACCCAGCTGAAAGCATCCCCTGGCGATTGCACCATGGGACCCTCCGCCTCGCTGGACTGTTAGGGGGAATCAGCAAGTGGGCCTATTTTTTTACCCTTTAGAATGTTGCTACCCTCCTCTGACCCTGCATGGTGAAGAATTTATGCCTATTGTAACTTGACAATAGAGCCTCCTTGAGGCCAAGTTCAGCTTGCTGCATAATCAAAGGGGTGGTTTCTACCCTCGGCCATCTTTAGTTTATGGAGGAATGTAGGAGTTGTTCCAGCAGCCACCCACACCCTCCACAGCCTGTGTGTGTTCACTGTCTGCTTCCTCCCAGAACAAGGTCCCAGGATTACAGCCCTTCCTCAGATAAAATAAAGCCATCCAGTCATATCTTTACATTTGACGTAAGTGAAGGGAAGTTTTTCTTGCCCTATACTGAATGGGGCTGTGGTGAGGACTTGGGGTAGCTCTGAGTCTGGCTCTCTGCTGAAAAGGGGCCTTTAAGCTGGAAGGCTCATTCATCTCCATGCAGCCTCCTTCTATCCAGCCATGGGTCCACCCAGGGTCGAAGGGAGGTGGAGCCTGCCCCTGGGTTTACAGCAGGGCCCCCTGTGTTTTATATTTGTTTAGCTATTCCTCTATTGCCTGTGTAGATAGATGTTAAAGGAATTCTTAATCTTCTTACTATTATGCTTGTCGTGGCAGTATTATTTAACTGGGGTGGTTCCCCCTTTTTTTTTCCCCAGTTCTGCTACCACCTCTCTGGTCTGAGCTTGCATCAATTAATAACAGCAACCCTCCCCTCCCTCTAGCTTCCCTCCTTTCCTCCTTCCCTTCATCTTTCCTTCGTTTTTTATCTACCTGCCTACCTGCCTACACTAAATGTTTTCCCGGGTCTACCGTATGCCAAGCATGGTGTTAAGGACTGGAAGTTAAATAAAGCAGTGAATAAGATCCCTACCAGTGTAGAGTCAAGTAAAGACACAAATGCTGATTTAATCACAACTGGGGTAAGGACTGCAAAGGAGAAATCCCAGGAGCTGCTAGTCAGACATAACCTGTCTTTTGGGAGGTCAATACATAGCAAAAACAGTCATAACAGCTACCCAGTTCTTGTTGAGTCATAGATGGACTGATGCATTTTAGAAATGTTTTTGTTTGTAGTGCTTGGTGGAGAGCTGGTACAAGTCAGAAGTAGCACGTGCTCCTAAAAGTGAATATATTCCTGCTGAGGCTGGCTGGGGTTGACTGTGTGATAGGCAAGGTGTGGCCGTGGGCTGCTGATAATGAGGACTTTCTTTGCTCCAGATGACTGTATGCCTTTATAATCCAGAAGGATGGTTTAGCTGCCTTTCCCCTAGGAAAGTTTACCTGACCTCCACAGGTGAGAGTTGAGGTCACAAGAGGACCAGCCTGGAAGGGAACTAGGCAGGCTTTCTGATCCGGCAGCAAATTGATTGGTGGGCTTCTTTGTTACCCGTGGATACTCCCTTCCTGAAGTAGTTTTTGGCCCCCTTAGAGCCAATCTGATTAAGTTACTGACCAGCTTGTTTATGAGCAAAGATGAATCCATTGGCGAACACACTTTTCCTTATTAGGTTCCTATTGTCATTCATTGCCTTTTTCTCGGTGTGTTTCTTTTGAGTAATTGCTCCATGTGTTGGCCCTGGCAGGTCTCTGCAGTTTGCATTTGCAACATTGGCACTGAGCTTTGGGAATTGACAGGGGCCGGGCAGGGAGATGAGCTGTCACTACCTTTGTTTTACCCTGATTTGTCTCCAGAAGAGCCCTCTGGTCATACCATGTGCTATTGAAGGTGGCTTGGGCAAGAGGAAGGATGTAGGAAGGAATTCGCTTCTGAGCCCTTGCGTAAACACAGCATAGCCTGGAGTCTTAAAAGCCGAGGCTTGAGGCAGAGCTGGCCTCGAGGTTGGCCAGGCAGTAATGATTTTTTATAGCCACTGCTGTGGCAGCTGCACAGTGGAACTGAGTGGTACCAATTTCACCTAACCATGTTTAATCATCAGTACCCTGTAAACTGAACTTGCCTTTTTTTCTTTTTTCAAAGCATCAGGGTTCTTCGAGTAAACGACTCTGGCCATGTTAAGCAGCCTCTGCTTTATGAAAAAACAAAAACAAAACAAAACAAAAACAAAAACAAAACCACCATCACAAATCCCAGGCTGTCAAACCTGATGTTTTCTGTTGCCAGGAGAAGGGTGTTTTTGCTGTGTATGAAAGACATGACAAGGGGGCATTTCCAAGCTTTGTTTTGGTTATTGTCAGTTCTGCCAACAAGTAACATCTGTATTTATTTTCCAAACTCCCCCAATGGCTGATTTGCATCTGTTTAGCTCTCTGAATAACATTTCATTTCCTGACTTTATAGGTTGCTATAAAATCCATTCGTAAGGACAAAATTAAGGATGAACAAGACATGGTTCACATCAGACGAGAGATTGAGATCATGTCATCTCTCAACCATCCTCATATCATCAGTATTTATGAAGGTCAGTGATTTTTTTTTTTTTTAACCCCCATATCAGTTACCATTTCTCATACCATGGGGCCTGCCAAGACTTTGAGATAATTGCCCTTCTGGGCAGAAGCCAAGTATTTTTCCTCATGATGCAAAAATAGTCGGGTGTTATCTCTTACTTGGTTACCTTGAACACAACCAGACACATGAGTGCAGCTCATTTTGGTCATAAAATATCTCTGGCGGATACCTTATTCTGTCTTCTTAATTCCTTGGCAGTTGCTAAGCAACCCACCTTATTGAAAGCCAGTTTGTGAGACAGCCCTGGTTTCTGAAAAATGACAGTTTGCTGGGTGACCAAATAACAGTGGATACATTGTAAATGTCATTCCCCAAAGCCAGTCGCTTTGCTGGTGGTACGGAGTTACTCCAAGTTAGGTTCTTTGAGTTAGAAATTAACCCTGAGCAGGTCCAGTAAGCACCAAGAAAGAGGGTTGGTGCAGCAGATGCCTTATAAATGGAGCCCAAATTGTGTTGGTGTTTGCAAAAAAGAGCAGCATGGGGAAAAGCTTATACAGACGCTCAGGCTTCAGTTCAACTCCTTGGTCCTTCATGAGAAGAAATGGAGAGAATAAACCGCCCACAGACTATCATTTATGTTTTAAGACCCTGTAAATAAATTACACAGCAGTATGTGTTTATTGTAGAAATGATTGAAATCGAAATGTTAAAATTAAAAAATAATTTCTGTTCTAACTCCCAATTTGATAAATAGCTCTCTATCCATATCTCTATATTTATCTATTTCTCTGTATCTATTTGTGGTTTTTGTCCAGTTAGATCATGCTATTTAAACTGTTTTTTAGCTTGATTCTTTTTTCATTTGTTGTCTCGTGCATCTTTTCTGTATCAATAAATATTCCCCTGTAAGGACATTTGAAAAGGTTTTATAGCATTCTGTTTATGGACATACCATAATTTATTGAATCTAATTTCTTTTGCCAAACACTTAAGTTGTTCCAAATTTCTGGTTATTATAAACAGGGCTTCACAACTCTCCTTGTGCATCATTTTGACATTCATTTCTGATTATTTTCTTATGAAAATTTCCCAATTTTGGTTTTACTGAGTCAGAGTGTTTCCCTAGAATATTTAAAAATATGTGGCTGAAAAATGAACTTATTGCTGGGTGCAGTGGCTTATGCCTGTGATACTGGCACCTTGGGAGGCTGAGGTGGGCAGGTGGCTTGAAGTCAGGAGTTCGAGACCAGCCTGGCCAACATGGTGAAACCCGTCTCTACTAAAAATACAAAAAGTAGTCAGGTGTGGTGGCGCATGCCTGTAGTCCCAGCTACTCAGGAGGCTGAGGCACGTGAATCACTTGAGCTAGGGAGACGGAGGTTGCAGTGAGCTGAGATCGTGCCACTGCATTCCAGCCTGGGTGACAGAGTGAGACTCTGTTTAAAAAAAAAAAAAAAGAAAAATGAACTTATTTTTAATTCGTGGTCAGATTATAAGAAGTTATCAGGTTGGGCTAAAAGGAAACCAACCAGTGGTGTCCCTAAAGTTTTTCTGATAGTTTTCGTTTTTCATCTGGTTCCCTGATCTTTTTTTGCCATTCTTTTTTTCTGCTGCTTCTATTTTTGCCTCTTATCTAGAAGTAAATGTTGGTAATATATTTCTTTTATCCTGGTCATTTGAAGGCTCATTTTTGGAGCCCTTGGTGATAGGATTTTTAAGGGAAATTTTTATCCATTCTATCTTTTATTTACATCACAAACACCTCTTACAGTGCTTCTCAAAGTGCCTGGGCTAGTGGCATGAGCATCACTTGAGATTATTAGAAATACAGATTCTCAGGCTTCACCCAGGACCTGCTGAATCTGAAACTCTCTGGGTGGGGCTCAGCAATCTGTGTTTCAACAAATTTGAGAACCACTAGTCTACTGAGTGGAGTGTCTACTTCGTGTTAAGCACTCTGTTCAGTGAAGTTAGAAATTTGAAAGCTGAATGTGATATGGACCCCACACTCAAGAAGCAACATAGATCCCACACTCAAGAAGCAATACAGGCTGGACATGATGGCTCACGCCTGTAATCCCAGCACTTTGAGAGGCCATGGCAAGAGGATCACTTGAGGTCAGGAGTTTGAGACCAGCCCGGCCAACATGGTGAAACCCCATCTCTCCTAAAAATACAAAAATTACCTGGTTGTGGTGGCATGTGCCTGTAATCCCAGCTATTTGGAAGGCTGAGGCAGGAGAATAGCTTGAACCTAGGAGGCACAGGTTGCAGTGAGCCAAGATTGTGCCATTGCTTTCCAGCCTGGGCAACCAAGTGAGACCCTGTCTTAAAAAAAAAAAAAAAAGAAGCAATACAAGGCAGTATGGAAAGAGTGCTATGTAGCAATGTAGTTTGTTCTCATGCTGCTATAACGAACTGCCCAAGAGTGGTAATTTATAAAGGAAAGAGATTTAATTGACTCACAGTTCTGCAAGGCTGGGGAGGCCTCAGGAAACTTACAATCATGGTGGAAGGGGAAGCAAACATTCCCTCTTCACATGGACAGAGGAAGGATAAGTGCCGAGTAAAAGGGGGAAAAGCCCCTTATAGAATCATCAGATCTTGTGAGAACTCACTCACTATCACGAGAACAGCATGAGGGTAACTGTCCCCATGATTAAATTACCTCCCACCGGGTCCCTTCCACAACATATAGGGATTATGGGAACTACAATTCAAGATGAGATTTGGGTGGGGAGATAGCCAAACCATATTAGTAGGCATGTAAGCAGTATATTCTGGGACCATGTTCTGGAAGCTTGGGGATTGGAAGTTTTCATGGAGATGTATGGCATTTGGGCTGGGTCTTGAAGGAATTTTTTGATAGGGGAAGAATTGTGGAAAATAGAATTCCAGGCTGATAAGATAAAATCTGAATATGTCCAGTGAATGAGGGGAATTTCTAGAAGTTGGAAGTGAGTAGAGAGACAAAGACACAATGTGGAAGTGGAAGTGAGTTTCGTTAAGCTCCGTAGGCCATGGTGAAGGATTGACCTGTAGGGTGTGGAGCCATACAATCCTGTGCCCTGAGAACACTATTGTGTTTTGGGATTTCTTGGCCCAGAGCAGGAGCCTTCTTTATCAGGAAGGGAAAGAGAGTGCATTCTCAGCATGAAGGTTCCAGGTTCTTTATTTGAGAGGCAGTCTGTGGTTGCTGGCGTCCCACATGGAGAAACCTGACTTCTTCACCAGCACCATGCCCTGTGTGGCCTTGGGAATCAGACAGGACGAATGGAGAACAGGAAACCATCCCCCTGGCAAAGAGAAGATCAGAGACAAACCTTAACGGAAGAATATTTAGTTACCAACGTGAAGTTGGCCTCAGTAGAGACCGGGCTGGAGGCTTTAAGGAGAAGAGAAGCCCTCAAGGCTCTTGCTTGTCACTTTAAAGATGCATAGCAGTGTGAGGAAGGTCTTTAGGTTACTAGAAATAATTTCTATCAAGGCCTCAGGAGGGAGCTGGGGCTTCAGTTGGTGAAACCCTTAGGACAGGTTTTAGGGAGTTAAGGAAGACTTGAGGTCTCACATCAGGAGGTCTTGAGCTTCAGCCTCCAGTCCTCCACTGTGACCTAGGCACAACACTTGGGGTAAGATGGTAGGCTTCTCAGTGCCTCAGTAATCACATCTGTAAAATGGGGATGACCATTCTAGCTCTGTCATGGGGTTTTCAGTAGGATTAAATGGCATGATACATGTATCTGGTAAGCTCAAAAAAGATAATTATTATGAGGACACTGTAATCATCACAAATAGTTCATAACGTGGGGTCCATTGACAAGGTATTTCATGGATGAGCTGCAGGGATCTGTGAATCCCTTGGAATAGTATGTAACTATGCTGTCCAACACAGAAGCCACTAGCCACAGGTGGATATTTAAATGGAAAATAATTAAAACAAAATAATTTAAAATTCAGTTCCCCAGTCACACTAGCCACATTTCATGTGCTCAGTAGCCACAGGAGGCTAGTGGCTACCATATGGGACAGCATAGCTGCAGAACATTTTCATCTTCATAGAAAGTTCTGCCGGACAGTGCTGCTATATAATGTTTCATGTGTTGTGTGCATGAGTTACTTTTTTCTGAGAGAGGGTACATAGCTTTCATCAGACTCTCAAAGGCATTCCTGACCTCAAGTAGGTTAACGAGAATCCAGTGCCTCCAAGTGTTTTGCGACCTATAGGGTATCATGCAAATAAAAGGTGTTGTTTTTATCCAGAAAACTCTCGGGGTCTTACATGTGTCCTTTTTCTTTCTTTTAATTTCTTAGAGCTCTCCAGTTTCTGTTCTGTTCCCTTTCCCTTCTCCCACGCAAGTTCTGTTTCTCCCACATCCACTAAATAACTGTGGAGGAGGGCAGCTCCCCTCCCTTCCCTGGGGGTTGGGAGCAGGAGATTGCCAAGGCTGTATTCCAGCTCCTACACCTCTCACTGGGAACCACAGTCCCAGGATCCCATGACTTTATCTGCTTTCCTGCCCAGCAGGACCCAAAGATCCAGCGCTGAACGTGAAGTTAGACATCCTGCCATCTGTAGAACTCTTCATAGTTTACAAAGGCCTCCCACATCTGGTCTCCTTTTATCCCCACAGCAAACCTGTGAGGTGGGCAGGCCAGGGATTCCCATTTTGCAGTTGTGGAAACTGAGGCTCTAGAAGGTTTAATGACTTGCTGGATGTATTAGTTTGTTAGGGCTGTCGTAAGAAAATACCATAGACTGGTGACTTAAGCAACAGAAATATATTTTCTCACAATTCTGGTCTGAGTGTGGTGAGGGAAGGATCTGTTCCAGGCCTCTCTCCTTGGCTTATAGATGACCGACTTTTAACTGTGTCTTCATACCTCTTCCCACCACATGTGTCTGTGTCCAAATTTCCTCTTCTCATGAGAACACCAGTCATATTGGATTAGGGCCTGTGCTAAGGACCTCATTTTAACTTATCTCCGTAAAGACACTGTCTCCAAATAGGGTCACGTTCTGAAGTACTTGGTGTTAGGGCTTCAACGCCTGAGTTTTTGCGGGGATGCAGTTCAGCTCATCACACTGGGGGTCATGGCTACGTGGTGACCCTGACATATGGGTCTCCTGGTCCCCTTTGTTTTCTTGCTCTGTCGTGCCTCATCCGTATTTCTGATCCTGTGTCTTCTCTTGCTGGCTCTGCAGGCCACCTCAGCCTGGCCTTTTCCATCCTGCCCCTACCTGCCCCTGCTGCAACCTGGGGGCGTGGTGGGGGCAAGGAGTGTGGCAGCAGTGGTGGTGGGACCCCAGTCTGTGAGCCCATCTGCTGGTCTCCCTGCTACTCACAGAATGAGAGGGGAACCTTCTCTCTGGAAGCCGGTTGGTCGACAGGCCAATCAAGAGCCTTAGCTCGGTGCAGAAATGCATTAATTTGCTTAGAAAGAAATTGATGCTAAGGCACCAAAGTGGCTATTTGGATACTAGCCAAATGAGTAGAAGCTGTTAAAGAACTTGCCAGTGTCTTCTTTAGCAAAGATCTTTATGATTAAAGAGTCAAATGCACACACACATAGTGACAGCAACAACAACAACATCAACAAAACAACAATAGCAACATGACAATGCAATGATGTGCCTAACCCTGTATGTTTAGAAAGTGTGGGTTTTAATGAAAGGAAGCCATCATCTTGAGCTGTACTAACCGGTGATATTGAAATACTAGTTCTAGAGAAAAAGCGATTTATTCATTAACAAAAATGCTAATAAAGTGCTTACTATGTGCCAGGCCCTATTCTAGGCACTAGGAATACAAGGGCCAACAAAGCAAGCTCCTGTCCCTCTTGGAACTGCCATTAAAGAGAGGAGACAGAGAGTCAACAAAGTGAACAGACCAGGCGGTCCCTTTCGGACTGAGCCTTGAGCTGAAGGACTTTTGAGTAAGTGGTTATTGAGTGAAGATCTGAATGAAGCGGAGACTAAACACTTCAGAGTCCTGGGAATGCCATACAAAGGGAACAGCATGCGCAAATGCTCAGAGGAGAGAAGGCACTTATATGGGTAGAAGGGACAAAGGATCTGGGAGGTTGGCAGGGGTGAGGAGAAGGGTAGTAGGAGAAGGAGGTGGAGAGGGCTAGATCTGGACCACACTGGCCAGAGGAAGGAGTGTGGATTCTCTTTCAGGAATGGTGGGAAACTGCTAAAAGGAGGAAGTAGCATTTTTTGATTTATACCTTTAAAATAATACTAGGGCTGGGTGTGGTGGCTCACACCTGTAATCCCAGCACTCTGGGAGGTCATGTTGGTAGAGATGGGGTTTCATCATGTTGCCCAGGCTGGTCTCGAACTCTTGAGCTCAAGTGAGGTATTTTTGGTAGATCCTCTGGCCTCACTTGAGCTCAAAAGTTCGAGACCAGCCTGGGCAACATGGTGAAACCCCGTCTCTACCAAAAATACAAAAAATTAGCTGGACGTGATGGTGCATGCCTGTGGTCCCAGCTACTCAGGAGGCTAAGGTGGGAGAATCACTTGAACCCGGAAGGTGGAGGTTGCAATGAGCCAAGTTTGTGCCACTGCACTCCAGCCTGGGTGACAGAGTGAGACCCCATCTCACAAAAATAAATAAAATAAAATAGTACTAATAATAGCTAGGAGTTATTGAGTGTTTACCTTGGGCTAGGAGGTGTGCATGTACTATCTCACTTAACCCTTATATCTGGGAAATATGAAATGTTAAGATCCCTATTTTATGGTAAGGAAAATTCAGCTTTAGAGGCAAAGTCCATTTTCTAAGGTTACCAACTAATAAGTGGTGGATCCGAGAGGTGAACCCAGGCAGCAACACTCAGAACTCGGTGCTCCTGATACTAACCAGGTCATTTGGTGGTCTGCAGAGACCCCTAACTGGAGGGAAGTATTGTTCTTGACCCTGTGATATGTAGAATTCCCAGTCTTCATAGAGGTTACTGTCTTACATATCTGAGAGCATTCAATCCTAGCTTTGTAGGCATTTTAGAAAATACTTCTGCCAGCATCCAAGGAAGAAGGTTGGGGTTCAAATCTGTTAAACTCATAGGTCAAGTGTTTTCTAAACTGCAGAACACCATGAAAATTTGATTTTTATATAATCACAATACCCCCAGGCCCATAAAATCTGTGACTTCACTGAAGTGATGCTGCTGTTCACCCAATCTCAAAAATAATTCCTTTCAAATGTGTCTTTCTTGAACCAAACCCTGGGGTTAACTCTCCTATTGACCCATGGGTGAAGGTGATTAACCCTCAAATTTGTCAACTCTGTGTAAATACAAACGTAACTGGCTTCTAATGCTAAGTAAATAAAAGAGGATAGACGTACACTTTTCAGTGTGTGATACTAAGGAAAGCCTAATCAAGAGAAAAGAAAGAAATCTCTGGCACCATCTCAAAGAGGGACCCCTGTTTCCAGTCAAAGGAATTCCATTCTCTCAGCAGGGAGGTAATTGACAATATGGAAAAAAAAGCTGAAAAGGAAGTGCCCACTGGAGCTTTCAACTGGGTTGCCTAGGATGGAAGAGATAAAAACAGTTTTTGCCTGAGGTTCTGATTTCAGGACCGAAGTTCAAACATCAAAGGCGCACTGTCTCACCCCCACTTCCCCTTTGAAAGCCTAGGAGACCCGATCTGCAAAACCACTGAGAACAAACATCTTTAGCATCCCATCTGGTAACAGTCCGGCATATAAAATTGAAAAGGTGGGTGGAGGGGTGGGGGAGATTCGGCCTGTGACTTCCCTTTGACACCCTTGGTTTTGGTTTCTGGAAATCTCTCCTCTTGGCCATGCAAGATTGCATCTCTTTATGGGTTCTTTGCATTGTGATGTGCTGGAACTGGCCAACCCTTTCATCACTTCTCCTATTTTAGATAAGGGTGATCCTGGCTTTCTGGGACAAAGTAGGAAGCCTCTTTGGCATTTGTTAACTGTGATCTCTCATCCGTTGGAAGTGTTTCTCCAACTTGAAAAGAAACGAAATAGACAAACACGTCCTTTGATAAGCATTTGAATCTGATGCCCCCACCCTGTGAGCCTTAAGCATGCTGCCCACGAGAAGATAAGTTATAATAAGTCTGTATTCTCAAATATTCTCTGAATTCCCACCATGAAGACACTTTGGATGAGTGCACTATCAGTTAAAAGCTCCTCTCATCTTACTAGAGAAATTGCACTACAATATGCTTTTGCAAGCTACCTGTGCTCCCTGAGATTTGGATAGGTCTTTCTGGGAGGAGATACCACTCTTGGCGAAAATCACTGCTCTAAAAATCCAGAGAAGCAGAAGAGAAATCAAGAGACAGGGGCTGTGGAAAAGCCTGTATTCCTTATTGTACACGGCATCGCCCCCAGCCCCTGCCCTGACCCCCAGCTCGTGGCCAGGGGCAGTGGGGCTTGTGTAAGATGTTTCTGCAGAACCCAGCAGAGGTCCTGGAATCAGAAAGTGTTGCTGCTCCATCCTGTGCCCCTGGAAAATCACCTCTTGAGAATGGCAGGCCCCTGGTAAACTGCTTAATAATGCATTTGAGCAGCAGTTCTCAAAGGGTAGCCCCAGACCTGCTGAATTGGAAACTCTGGGGGTGGGTTACAGCACCCAGAGTAATCATTAGCCCTCCACGTGTCTCTGATGTACACCCAAATTTGACAACCCCACTGTACTAGAAAAACCCCTGCAGAGAAGGTTAGAAGCAAAACCTTCCAAATAATTGATTCTGGTTTCCTTAGAAACAAAAGCAGGGCTGTATTTCTAGCATCAGTTACTTGGAAATATCTACAAACAGTTTATGTTTCTCTTCTCAGACACAACTGTGCTACTCCAGGGTTCTCAGGCAGGAAGATTTGCAAGCAGGTCCTGATATAGGTTCTTTTGAAGGCAGGGAATGGCTGAACTGATCTAACAAGATCAATGATCCTTAACATTATCCACTATTCTCATTCATTCATTTGCTTATTTAGTCATTGAATCATTCATGTGTTTTACAAAAAGGTATTGAGCACTTTTGTTCCAGGTACTATTCTATTAGCACTTTTGTTTCAGGTACCATTCATTAAAGTAATGGTGAAAACCACAATCAGTTTTGCATGAACCTAATAGTAGGGCAAGAGTATAAATTTGTCATCCACGTAGGCTGAGATTTGAGTGAGCCAATTGCACTGCTAGTTACTGCAGTGTGACCTTGGGCTAGTGACTAAGCTCTCTGAGGCTGTTTCCTTGTCTATAAAATGGGGCCAGTAGCTAGCTGCTTTATAGATAATGTAGGATTAAATGAGCTAATGAATAAAATTGCTAAGTACCGTGCCAGGGCCATGCTCAAGAAATGGAATTGATTATTCCTGATGTGATATCTAGGGATCAGTGAGATGTCCTTTCTGGCTGGAGTAGAAACTTCTGTCGGGAGATTGGAGAAGAGAAGATTGAGGCCAGCTTGCCTATCAGTGATTCTGAATGATGGAGGCACATTAAAATCTCATGAGGAGTTTGTAAAAAATGCTGATGCCTGGGTCTCACCCCCAAAAATTCCAGTTTAATTGACCAGGCTGAGAAATACAGGCTTAATCCTGCAACAAAGAGAAAACGAGCCCTGCTCTGGAAACTTGTCTTGGTCTGATCGTTTGTCATCAGTGAATTCCAGGGAAGAACGTGTGTCTGGCGGCGGTCACCAGTGAGCAGTGAATGATACCTTCGGGCTTGGGTTTACTTACTTAGCTGTTGGGTTGCTGCCCTCATCAGAGACTCAGAGCCCCGTGAAACAGTTTGTTGAACTTGGCAAAGTAGTGTATTATGCTTGTGTTTACTCCTTTGAACCCATGGCAAATAGTTGAGCATTTTAACACACTCCCTCTGCCGCCAGATTCACACGTTCCACATGAAGTCCCTGCAGACTGGATCCAAACTGAGGACTCGCCCTTATTCGTAACACAGCACCAGAGAGTTCTCTTCACGTGTAATCATGTGAACGAGTGCTTCAGCTGTGA
Source organism: Homo sapiens (assembly GCF_000001405.40). NCBI lineage: Eukaryota > Metazoa > Chordata > Mammalia > Primates > Hominidae > Homo > Homo sapiens. The sequence goes on along the minus strand of NC_000012.12, from coordinate 106,096,413 downwards.
GCCTGTCCAGCCACGTTTCTAATGAGTTTCCTATTAAGTTAGCTATTTGACCTTCAAGTTATTATTTTCATTGTTTTCTTTTGATTACACCCAAGTCATTTTTCTAGAGGCTGGAGATCAGAAACAAAACAGCTACAAACTAATGCTACTCCCAGGCTGTCCTGCCTCACCCTCCTGGGTTTCCTGGAATTCAATATTTTCTAGTGCCTTAAATAATGACACTTATACTTGACACTAATTTTTAAAGAAAAAAAAAAGACTCTATTGCCCTTTACTATGGGGTCTTTCGGAATGAACTGGGATAGCTTTCTTAATTTGCGCAGGCAGTCACCAGCATGCATTTGGGAAGGCTCACAGAGCACAGAAGAGGGGCCTCCACAATGGCCATGTACAACAGTGGGGATTTGGATATTGAAAGGGGGGTCAGATTAGATGAACTGTAACTTTTAACCTGCCGAGTCTGGGAATTTTTTTGATTGTGCTCCCCACCATGACTTCTGACAGCAGGTGCCTCTGGTAGGTATGGCTCAGAGATTGACACCCATGCTTGGAACAGCCCTAGGGACCAAAAGAATGAAAGAGAGCTAGGCTTGCCTTCACCTCAGCTTTTACTGGGGGTCACTCAAATCCTCTGATGTCTTTAAGTGTTCATTCACTATTTCTGCCATTCCTTCACCTCCAACCCATCACACACATACCTCAAGGTCTCAAATGCAGCCTTGGGTGTGGACTCTGCCAGTGCATACCCATAATTCTGGAGTTGATGTCTTCCTTAGTTCCCCTTTGCTGCTGAATCGGAACAGCTAACACTTCTGCGTACACTTGCTGCTGTGTGCTAATATTCACAGTGAGACGTAAGGTAGAGGCTTCATTTTAGCAGAGGAAGAGCCTGCAGGTACGGAAAGGCTAAGTAACTTGCCCAGGTCACCCAACTGGGAAGTGGCTGGAGCCAGAGGTGTGAGGACCACGGGCCTGGCCTTTCCACCTTGGTGAGGTGGTGATGGTGAGATGAATCCCTGTGCCAAAGCCCTCTGCCAGGGTTTCCAGGGGTGGAAGACTAAGGCTGTCTTCACAGAGGTATTTCTACCCCCATCACTGCCAGAATTGGGGAGCATGCTTTTTCAGAAGTTCACGGCATCAAGTACAAGAACCCTTGCTTCTTTCTGGGGGTAGTTGTGAGAGGTTCTGATCAATTGCCGGGGCTTTCTCACATTCAGGATTGTGTGAGTGAGTGTAATTTTTTTGAGAGAGAAAGAGTGGTGTGTGTGTGTTGTGTATGACACAAAAGCTGAGACAGAGCAATAGAGGGAATGATCAGGGAGGCTGTGGAGTTGTGTGTGATATGGAGTGTGTATCATGAGCCTGTGGTGATGGCTGATAGCGCCCGTTTCCACCTTAGGGCCCTGCATGGTTTCTAGAAATGCTCCCCAGGGATGGTTGTGGAAGGAGGGTGGAGTCCAGTGGCTCGTCCAGTGTGGTGTTGTCAAGTCCCCTCTCCCACACAACTTCTCTCTCTATCCTGGCCACGTCCCCTGCCTTCCTAGGATTGGATATTGGGCCCCATTGGCACTATTAATCCTAGCAGGCACGGATGGGTCTTGGCAAGGCTTCTGCATCCCCTCTTCTGCAGGTGGCTTCTACACTTTCTTACCATTTCTTCTGCCTTCCGTGGAGTCCACTTCTGGCAGTGGGTGGCCTCATTGGCTGTGGTTTTCTTCGGGCATGCCAGCCAACATCCAGAAAGAGTTTTGGTTCAAGAAAAGACAGTGAGTGAACAAAAAAGTCTTTTGTTGTGCAAACCAGGAACTGCACTGAATCAACTCGGACCGATTTATTGACAGGGAGATGCCAGTTTAAATTTCTCATCCTCACTGCTCTGGGCTTTCAGATCCAAGAGATCAGAGGACGATTTAGTGAAGCTGTGAGCCCACGAGGTGTTTGAAATTGACTTCTAGGGAGGAAAGTTTTGAAGAATGAGTCTTGTATTGACTAAATGACTCAACTGGTTTGCAGACAGTCTTTCAAAGAAAAGATCACTTCATTTTTGAAGTGATAAGCTACTTTCTGTGAGGACTGTACTGACCTTTAATAAAAGAGCACCCTTGAGGAGTGGAAAGGTACTCCGGTCCGAGATTTTGGGAAAATTACAAAAATGCTGCTGCCTAGGGAGGCAATGCTGTGGAAGAAATGGCAGCACCCTGGTTGTCACCTAGGAGACGGACCTGATGGAAGGCAAAGGTGTGGAGAGAATTCTCTTGGGGCCACTGCTAGGCCCTAGGCCTTTTTTTTTTTAAATCAACAGATGGGCTGGGTGCAGAGGCTCACGCCTGTAATCCCAGCACTTTGGGAGGCTGAGGTGGGCGGATGGCTTGAGTTCAGGAGTTTGAGACCAGCCTGGGCAACATGGCGAAACCCTGTCTCTACCAAGAAAAAAAAAAATTACAAAGATTAGCCAGGAGTGGTGGCACGTGCCTGTAGTCCCAGCTACTTGGGAGACTGAGGCAGGAGGATCACTTAAGCCTGGGAGGCGGAGGTTGCAGTGAGCTGAGATCTTGCCACTGCACTCCCACCTGTGTGACAGAGCAAGACCCTGTCTCAACAAACAAACAAACCAAAAAACTCAACAAAAGACTCTTCCTCCCTGGAGGTTACAGAAAGAAATTGTCCCTTTTTAAAAACTGACCCTTCCTGGGGCATCCTGTAAATTCATCCTCATCCTCTCTGCTTTCCAGGCTTCTTTCTTCCAAAACAGTCCAGTATATTCGGCTGTCACGTGGCCAGTGGATGCTTAAAATCCCAGGATCTCCTCACTCATCAGCGTTTCCCTCAGACCAGAGCACTGTTTTTATAATACACATTTTCTCAAGTTCTACAAGTTGTGTTGTTAACCTCGAGAGCTGCAGGAGGCAGTCTCTGGGAGCTGGGTCATTAGCCTGGTTGTGAAAACCAGATGATCAGAGGGCAGAACGGGACTGTCAAACCGAACATCTGATGAAATTCAGGATTAATGTGGAGAAGTAGCTGTTGCTATAGCAACCAATCCCTACTATCCTTTGAAATGGAAAATAAACAGCAAACAAGAAAAATAATTTAAGTTGGTGTCTGGGAAGAAGGAAGGCCTGCCAGTGGAATAGTCAAAGAAAAAGGAGAGTTCGGGTATTTTAGGATATGTTGAAACAATGGTGAAACTATCTCAAAAGCAAAACCCAGGTCATTTTGGGTGGTTCAGTTCCATGCCTGCTTTTTCTAGAAATCTTTTCAGGCCCCTTCTGGCTGACCTCACTGATCTTTCTGATTGTCCAGGTACTTAAAGTCTGTACTGTACAGGTTAGCTCTTGAATTATTTTTTAAGTACTGGTCATTTCCAACTCGAAAGCAACTCCTTGGGGTTAATGACTGTGCCTTCTCCTCTTTTGTATTCCCTTTAACATGTACCAAAATGCCCAGATAAATGCCTCAAATCGGCTGATAATAAAGCCATTTCAGAAAAATCAGTAAGTTTGGCTCCATTTAATGAAGGAGAACCTTTACTGGATGTAATGCAAAAAGCAGAACTGTATGATGGAGGAAGGGGGTGGAGAGTCATGGCGAGAACATGCGCTTTTGAGTTGCACAAATCTGCCATCCAATCTTGCTGGGTATCTACCCAACAAAAATGCGTACAGATGTGCATCAAAAGACATGCACAAGGATATCCACAGTAATACTATTCATAACAACCCTCAACTGGAAACAGCCCAAATGTCTATCAACAGTAGAATGGATAAATAAACCACACGATACATTCACATAATGGAGTACTCTAGAGCAATGAGAATGAACAATCTTTGACGACATTGAGCAACGTAGATTATTCTCACAAACATGTTGAATTAATGACAAAAGAAGGTATACTACGTGATTCCATTTTTTTTTTTTGAGACAGAGTCTCGCTCTGTCACCAGGCTGGCTCACTGCAACCTCCTTCTCCTGGGTTCAAGCGATTCTTGTCCCTCAACCTCCTGAGTAGCTGGGATTACAGGTGCCCACTACCACGCCCAGCTAATTTTTTGTATATTTAGTAGAGACGGGGTTTCACCATGTTGACCAGGCTGGTCTCGGTCTCCTGACCTCATGATCCACCCGCCTCGGCCTCCCAAAGTGCTGGGATTACAGGCATGAGCCACCACGCCCGGCTATGACTCCAGTTTTTAGAACTTCAAAACTCATCTACGATTTTGGTTCATATTCCTCATATTCATGGTATTGGTGTATCTGTATCTTTGGGGAGATGATTAATGACAGAAAGAGGGCATGGCAGGGGTGCTTGCAGGGGGCTGGCAATATTGTTTCTTGATGTGAGTGCTGGTGCCCTATTTATTTATTTATTTTATTTTTTGTTTTAGAGATGAGGTCTCGCTATGTTGACCAGGTTGGTCTCAAACTCCCAGCCTCAAGCAATCCTCCCATCTCGGCCTTCCAAAGTGCTGAGATTTCAGGTGTGAGCCACCATCCCCGGCTTGGTTCCCTATTTATAAAGTAGGGATAATATGGATCCCTATCTCATAAGATTATTGTGAGGAATAAATGTTTTAATCCATGACATGTAGTAACTGTTCAATAAATATTAACTATTCTTATTACAAGCTTTCTAGGGAAGGAGAGATCCCTGTCTGGGAAGTCTCCTGGAAAAAATTGAGCCCCAGACAATTTCACAGGTCCAGGATCCTGGATGCTGTCCTGTGCCTTGCTCCTGTCTCTTGGATTGTTCTCGGCGATGTTTGGTTGCCTGTGTGACTCACCTGCAGCTCCTTGTGGGCTTTCAAGGTCTTGTGTTTTATTCATCGCCGTCTTCTTTCTCTCCTCCTAGTCCCTGGCCCTGCCAGCTGCTGGCGGTTCTGTTTCTGCTCTGTTCCCTTCCTCATGCTGACCCTTCTACCTGGCCTGCCTTTCCTTCCCCTCCAAACTGGGAAAAGTCTTCTTTCGGTATCCCCAGTGCCATCTGCATAGTAGGTGCTTTCTGCTGTGCTAAAAACCAGGCTGTACACCACCTGGCCATGGCCCCAGTGCTGTGGGCTGACTCAGGCTGAGCTAAGTTTCTATTCAGGGATTTAATTTTCCTGGTAGGCCTGGCATGTCAAGGGCCATAGTTTTCCTTACCATTCTGGAGCCACCGGGCCTCTGGGTAAAACTGTCTGGCCAAGAGACACAGGCTTTCATTTTTCAGAAAGGAAACCCTTCCCAACTGGTGGAAAATAAGCTTTTGCTTAGTGACTAATAACATAAACACAGACAAGATTTCTGGGCTTATAAATAACCAGTTGTAAAAGTGCCCAAGGGAAGCAGCCTTTTTTTGCTAGAAGAATGGCCAAGAGTATCCCTGTCACCTTGTAGATAGTGACCTTAAGCACGGGCAAAGGAGCGTTGGGCCAAGGGTGTGGAAGCTGCTCATTCTTCAGTATTAATTCCCAAGGCCTTGCTCTTATACATTATAAATCCTGGACTATTCTGGAAAAATAACACCCAATCTCTAAGGTCCTTTCCTGCTCGAAAATCCTGTGATTCTGTGGCAGCCACAACATGTTTTAAAGAGCGATGCCAGCAGGGAGAGGAAAGTCTTAGGGTTTTGTTTTGCTAGAGCTGCCTAAGTGGCTGATGAAGTAATTATGAGCACAGCTTCCATTCGTTGAGCACTGGCCGGGGCACCGTGCTGAGGGCGATAGACCTGTGAGGAAATTACTAGTCTCATTGGACTGATGAGGAGGCGGAGGGTCAGAGGGGTTGATATATATGAGTAGTAATGGAATGGCTGAGAGCTTGGGGGTAGCAGTCAGACTGCTGGGCCCAGTGCTGGCTATGCCTCGTACTCTTTGTAGTTATGGGAATTATTATTCACCTTGTCGCCCCAGGTGTTCTCATCTGTAAAATGGGGATCCTCATAGTACCGAATCCTTATGATGTAATTCATGCAGAATGATTATTAGCATGGTGCCTGCACATGGTAAGCCTACAGCAAATTTTGCTGTTATTAAGAAAGGCTTCAAGAAGCTTCATCTGTAACAGCTCTGGCCTCCTTGATGAAACACTGAGGCTTGAAATCTAGAAATCTTCTTTGCTCTCAATTAATTTAAGGTGACAGGGCCTTGACCGTGAGACTTGGGCTTCTTCCTATGGGGGACTGGGGGATGGTGTCCCAGAGCCAGGCCTGGCTGCTCGGACAGTTCTCTGACCAGATTGCTCACTGGCCCTGCCTGAGAGAATGAGGGGCCAGTTTTATCCCTCGGGTATCATCTCATTCATCCAGTGTTTCCCAAACTGGCTCCATATGAGTTCTTCTGGATGCCAATAGGAGGATTGAAATGGCCCAATCAACTGGCAGAACTCTGAGTTAAGGAAACCAGGCTCTCTGAGGACCATCAAGTATTAATGTTTGGCTTGGGTTTGACTGTGGAATTTTTTCTTCTTCAAGATAGCTTGCAGAATGAGTACTCCATGGAATATGCATTTGGAACTATTTCTTGACCCCTCCAAATGCAGTCAGCAGGGAGGCAAGTGTGAGGTCTGGCAACCAGAAAGGATGGGGGTAAGGGATGTCCTTGGAGGTGAGACAGGTGGACAGATCTGCGATATATTTTATTTTATTTTTGAGATGAAGTCTCACTCAGTTGCCCAGGCTGGGGTGCAGTGGTGTGATCTCGGCTCACTGCAACCTCCACCTCCTGGGTTCAAGCTATTGTCCTGCCTCAGCCTCCCCAGTAACTGGGGTTACAGGCACCTGCCACCACACCCGGCTAATTTTTTATATTTTTGGTGGAGATGGGGTTTCACCATGTTGGCCAGTCTGGTGACTTCTGGCCTCAAGTGATCCACCTGCTTCAGCCTCCCAAAGGGCTGGGATTACAGGCGTGAGCCACCGTACCTGGCCAGACTCGGGATATATTGTAGAGACAGGATCAGTAGGACTGATTGATGGAAGCTGCTTAGTAAAATATTTGGTGTATTGGACTGTATTGAACCGAATTGTGTTTGTGTCTCCTTGATACCAAATCAGCCAGTTGGAGAGGGAAGAATCCAGCCACTGAAACAGCCCTTCTGTCTGTGTGAGGCAAGTGGCTCACACCTCCCGACAGTCGCTGAAGGGCCAGAGGCTTTGGCTCCCTTAAAGACGTGCCAGACTCTTTGGGGTGTGAGTCTTCTTGTTTATTTACCTGTCAAAGTACTTTCCTTCTTCCTACATCCCTCCTTTTTAAAATTAGAAAACCCGCTGCCCTCTCCAGGGCCTATCACTCTTTCATTTTTGGGGCCTGGGCCATGCATCCCGAGGCAGTCGGGGTGTTTCCAGTTTCCAAGGTTTATTGTTAATGAAAAGTGCACAACAGGCTGAAATCCCTGGCAGGAGCCAAAGCTGCAGGGTACACCGAGGCCAGCAGACGCTGGAGCAGCCAATTTTATCTGGATGTTCTCTCCTCCTCCTCCTCCCTACCCTCCTCCTTCCCCCTTCATTTTATCAGGGAGGTTTGGCTGGACTTGAAGGAGCCAAAAAGGAACTGGAGGGGTCTGAGCTTCTAGCAGCCAGCAACAAGGTATGGGAGGACAGGGGACCCAGGCCTAGGGTAGGTTCCAGGTCAACTCAGTTCTTCATTGAATGTGTGTCTGCCTTGGTGCTAGGCTCTGGGGATGAATTAATATTGATAGCAACAATAATAGCTAACATAATTGAGTGTATGCTGTAAGGGGAAGGCCTTGTAAACATTGAACAAACTGGTATCAATAAGTCCTCCCAGCAGTTCTAAGTACTTGCTAATATTATTCACGTTTTGTAGTTGACTAAACTGAGGCCCAGAGAGGGCAAGCAACATCCCTAGAATCACACAGCCCTAGGAGTATCTCATTCCAACACTATAGTTTTTAGCTCTGTCCGTCTAGGCAGAGGACCTGGGTATGTAAACCAAGAAATAAACCTGCACAGTTTGCACGTGCTATGAGGCAAGTATTGACTAGTGCAGTGGGAGGGGCGCTGTGGAAACCACATATGAGCACAGTCTTGGCTAATGAATTAGGGTGCTGGGCATAGGGGGCCTGATGGAAATGTTAGAAAAGTGGATGAGATGGAGGGAGGTAGGCAGGGGACCTTCAGGGAGGGTCTTGGGTAGCCTACAAAGGTTTTTGTACTATATCCCTTAAGAGTGATGATGGATTTCAAAACAAATATTGCTTATTTTATCCTTGCTCAAAGGACATCTTATGTGAAAGTCCAAAGTATGAAACAGGTGGCAATGGAGTGGCTTTGGACAGCCTGTCATTTGTGGCCTCCCTTCTCCCTGCCTCCTTGCATGGGTCCCTGGCCATCTGCCTGGAACCCTGACTTTGAACATAACGGCTAGAGAGCATCAGCATTGGGTAGAAAGAAGCATTTACAAGCATTTGGGAAGACTGTTTCCTTGGTGGTGTGGAGGTTGAGTGAGAAGGGGCTGGACCTGGTGGCCGGGAACCGGCTTGAGATCATAGTAGCAGCGGCCCTGCAACCTGCGGCATTAGTTCCCCATCCATGCTGGGGACTGGAGCCCTGCTGATTCCAGCCAGCTCTTTGGGAGGCCATCTCATCTGGTAGTTCTGCACTTGATCTTTGACGCCAAACTGCCTGATTGCAGGCCGTGCCAGTTTCTTAACCTCCCTAGGCCTCAGTGCCTTCATCTTTCAAATGGTAAAATTACAGATATTTCCCTGATTATTTGTCATAGGGTTTAAATGAGTCAGTACATGTGAGGTACTTAAAACCTTACACACAAACTTGGTGCACAGTAAGTGCTATATTGTTATTTATTATTAATGTTCAGAAATGCCTTTATGTAGTTTGAGTTTACTCATTTAATAAATATTAGCTGAGCTCCTACTATGTTACTCTGTGCCAAATACTGTTCTGGGTGCTGAGGATACACCAGTGAGTGAAACAGGACAACCCCCTTTTACATTTGACTGGGGGAGACAGAATAAATAAATACATGGAATGGGTGTGTAGTAGGGCTGAGAGGGGCCCATGGGATCGTGCACGACTTGGTGGGCCACATTAAAAGCTTTGGGTTTTATTTGCCTGAGATGGGAAGTTATAAAGAGATGACAAGATTGAGCACCCATTTTGGGGTCAGAGTAGCTCTGTCAGGGCCGGCTACCTGGTCCGTATCCAGTGGTTAATAAATTATTGGTTGTGTTTGTTGTTACCCATCATCCTGTCTACAGGAAAGCCGTTCTGGGAGAGGGTATGAGAAATGATCTTGACAAGGAAAGTGGGGTCCTCAGAAAAGGGAACCACATTTCCCTTAGCATGACAAAGGCGTGTCCAGGAACAGTGGTGGTGACACACACCATTTTCCACCTGGCGGGACAGCACGCCCCACGCCTCGTGATGCTGAATTGGCTGATTTGTGTTCTGACCCATCAGTCGATCCTCTGCCTGGCGACATCTCCGTTGTCCTCTCTCGCATTCTCTGTAGCATAAGTGAGCTTGTTGGCTAAACGGGGTGTTTGTGTATTGCTGTTTTCCCTCTGCAGTGTTTGAGAACAAAGATAAGATTGTGATCATCATGGAATATGCCAGCAAAGGGGAGCTGTACGATTACATCAGTGAGCGGCGACGCCTCAGTGAGAGGGAGACCCGGCACTTCTTCCGGCAGATCGTCTCTGCTGTGCACTATTGTCACAAGGTATGGCTGCGCCTGGCCCGCAGCTTTGGCCGTAGATGGTTTTTATGGCACTGCATGATTTTTTTCCTATTATAAAAGTGATATCTGTTCATGGGAGCATGTATGGAGAATTTATGAACTAGAAAGAAGAAAATTACCATCACCCGTGATTCTGGAATCCAGGGATAATCTATTTTTGACATTTTTGCTTGTTTCCTTTCAGTCTTCTTCCTCCTCCTTCTCACATTTATTTTTTTATGTAAACTTTTAATTTTGAATAATTTTAGATTTACAGGAAAGTTTCAAAGGTAGTACAGAGAGTTCCTATCTATGCCTTTCTTAGTTTACCCTAATATTAACATCTTACATTTCTGTGGTACATTTGTCAAAATGGAGACACCAATGACCTTTTTCTGTTCCAGCATCCAATCTAGGGTACCACGGTGGATTCATTTTTACATCGTTTGTGTCATGCTTTTTTACTTAATACTTTAATCTAAATATTTTCCTATATTATTAAAAATTCTTTGTAATTCTTGATTGTTGGACATTGAGACTGTTTCTAATTTCTGATTATGACAAATAGTGATCAGTATCTTTATATATGAATATTTTCCTCTCATGTGAATAATTTACTTAAGAGAGATTCCAGAAGTAGAATTACTAGGAGAAATGTTCTTGAAACCTTTCTATGCTCTTGGTGCCTTTTCTTGCATAGGTTACCTACATGCACGGATGTGCTCAGAAGATGGCCGCAGACAGGCTCATGCCTATAATCCAAGCTAGTTGGGAGGCTGAGGGGGGAGGATTGCTTGAGCCCAGGAGTTCAAGACCAGCCAGGGCAACATAGCAAGATCCATCTTTAAAATTTTTTTTAAAAAGTAGCCAGGCATGAGGTTGCGCACCTGTAGTCCCAGCTGTTTGGGAGGCTGAGACAGGAGGATCCCTTGAGCACAGCAGTTTGGGGCTGTAGTGAGCTATGATGGTGCCACTGCTCTCCAGCCTGGATGACAAAGTGAGACCCCATCTCCAAAATAATAATAATAACAATAATAATATAGCCACAGTAGAGCCACTCTTGGTTTCTGGAAAAGGCATAAAGTACACAGATAACTACAAGCCATGTCTCAGCCATTATTGTTATTCATCACTTTGGCCATGAATTTCATCTCATTCAGACTTTCTCCAGATCTGTCACACCCTAAACAGTCATTTACTTTGAGGATAACGTGACTTGAGTCCAACAGGGCATCCAAAACAGAGTCAACTTCTTCATATAAATGATCTCAACATGGGGCCTCCTGGTTTGTTAAATATTATGTTTAATTGAGAGTGGCTCTGTAAGTAATTAGAGAACAGTTACTCAAATCTAAAACCCTTAACTCATGTGAACATTATTTGACCTCTCTTTGTTGACTCAAAATGTGCTCATGATTTGAATCGTATAATATTTTGTATTTCATCATGAGGTATCATTGTAAATCACCACAGAGGTGATATTTTTGATATTGGAAGTGTGTGAACACTTGGATTCTGTATGAATGAGGCTTTATTAGACTCATTCCATCTTATTACAAAAACCAGGAATGCAGCAATGTAAACCAAACTGCTCCTGATGTTTAAAATTAATGGAATCAGGTGTCTTGTAGTCCACATCTTTCTTCTAACAGACTCGGTTTTGTGCATTTCTGAATTCAGAAGACCTCATTGCAGGCTTGAATTAGAAAAAGATTAGTAGAAATACATGTTTTCATTTCTCCCTCTGAGCAGTGCTTTTGGAGATATTAAGAATGGTCAAATGAAAAGGAAAATAAACAAGAAAGAACCACCCATAAACATGCCTGTTGGTTTGCTCAAAAGAGCAGCTTCGATTGCAGATGTCCTTTATGCTGAATGATGTTCAGAATCATTCAATGTCCCCTGTTACTTGTCCACTCACCCCAAAATAGCCAGTTCTTTCGGGCCCACTGCTCTTCCCATGCCCACCCACCCCCTAAAAAGATAATCGGGTCTTAAAAAAGAATGAAGAAGGCTAGTGTTTACTGCTGTGTAGACCGACAGCCTATTGGCTGATGACTGCTTTTCACGTTTCAGCTGGCTGGCTGCTGGTCATTGAAGTTCAGCCTCCAGCCTTGCCAGAGTTTGCCTGAATGGAAAGGTCAGGCAGGATGGCAGCCACCTGCTTTGGTCAGGCCAGTGGTCCCAGTCTCATTGGTCTGCTCTCATGCTTCATCTTTCACCCAGCCCTGAGTCCTGCTGAGCAGAGAGGGACTTTCTGAGTCTTCTCTCCAGGTTGCTTAGGAAATGTTATCCTCAGGACAGATCAAAACAGGTCGGAATAGATTGAGCCAGATGTCTTTCCAGCGTTGAGTAGGCAGGCAGGCACACAGACAGACAGATGAGGAGTGCCTGTGAGCCCCACAATCTTGAGTCCCCAGTAGAGAAATCTGCTTCTTCCCTGGGAATCCCGTCCAGACAGACATTGTTTGCTGCTGCCTGGGATTATATTGCTTTCACACAGTGGAATTACATTCCGACAAAGAATCCCCCTGCTGTTTTACAGGCTCTGGGGGAGAACAGATTCCAGTCATTTTTCCCTTAACCACACAGCAAGTGACTAATGCTCTCCTGTCGCTGGTTGGTCGCTGGCGGGGGAGCGTCAAGACAGTGAGAGCAGCCTGAAGGATGGAGGTGAAGACCACCGGGCTGGTGCATTTCTTTAATCTGTCAGACATTTCCCTTTGCTCACCCTCCTCCTTCCTCTTTCTCTCTTGTTCTCATCCCAGCCGCTCCCATTCAATTCCCTCTTTGTCTTCTCATTTCAGAACGGTGTGGTCCACCGGGACTTGAAGCTGGAAAATATACTGCTCGATGACAACTGCAATATTAAGGTAAAGCCCTTGCGTCGTCGATTGATATGCAGGGCCTGGGTCTTGCAGCCGGATGGAGGCTTAACCTGCTCCAAGCCGCAGCCTGGAAATAAGGCAGCCACTTCCTACCTGGCAGGCTGGTGGGGAAGAGTCTCTTTGCTTGAGCTCCAAGTCCAGTTCAAACAATTAAATGCGACAAGCAGTTATTGATCTCCTACTATATGCCGGGCATTGTTCTTCCTCCCTGGGTAAGATGAGATGACTGAGATACAGTGTCTCTCCTCAGGAAGCTCATAGTCTAAAATCATCACCATAACAATACTTTTAGCAACCAATACATATTTCATATGTATTTTATATTTTTGCCTGCTATCACTTAAATTCAATCTTTACAACAACTCTACAAGGTAGGTACTGTTATTTACATAATTTCACAGATAGGGAAACTGAGGCACAGAAAAACTAAGTAATTTGCCCAAGGTAATCCAGTGGTAAAGAGTAGAGTTGGGATTTGAACCCATGTCTGTCTGATTTCACGAGCCCAAATTCAAGTCGCTTTGCTTGATTTGCTAGCAGGATCCTAAATTATTTTAGAGCTGGAACTCTTTGCCTGGCTATTTCTTTGTCACTCTCCACCCTGTCTCCTACTTCTCCCTCTCCACCTTCCCACCCCTGAAACCAGCCATAGACCTGGGAAGCTGACTAAAATGGGGATGGTGCTTGCTGTTGGGAAATAGCAAGTGCTGGAGTTTACTTGCACGGAGAGTATTATTGCTGGCTGCTGCTGGAGCTGGAGAAAGTTCTCCTGGCCCACAGGGTTCAAGTGCCTCCCAGGGAGCCCTCTGAATGTCCTTTTGACCACGTCTACAAAATAAGCAAATACGGTTTCAAAATAAACGGAGCTCGCTGCATGGGTTTCATTATGAAACGGCCTTAGTACTCCCGGCACCAGCAGGAGCCCTCCAATTGGCCGCTGGTGACGTTAGTGGCTTATCCCTGGTCCCTGGGCAAAGCATGGGAATGATTTTTTTGTTGTTGCTGCTATCAGTGGAGGAGCGTGTGATGAGACTTGTTTCCTTGCTTGGAAGGATGGAGTTGCTTTGGTGTTGGGATTCTCTGTACAGATCATGGCAGCAACCATTAGTCACCATCATCCTTTGAGAGGCCCCTGGAAGCCATGACCCAGTGACCTCTTGCTCTTGCAGAGTGTTTGACCGTAGTCACATGTAGTCTATAGAATAAGCAGGAAATAGTTGGTCAAAGTAGTTCTCCATGGGAATAGGAAGTGGAATCGCAGGGTCTATTTCTGGCAAAGTGGTTGGATTATTCTAGAAGGAGCACTGGTTGTAGAGTTAGGAAATTCCGGGCTGTATGGCTTACTAGCTTCTTGACACTGGGAAAACCACTTAACCCTGTTTCCTCAGCTGTAAAACGGGGTAACAGTACTACTCACAGGCCTGCTTAGAGCAGTGAATGAGACACTCTGTGTTTAGTTTTGTAAACTGCTAAGCACTCGTGTCCAAATGAGTCAAAGTTAAAAGCAGTGGCTTTGGAGTTAGATATTTCAACCCTGCCCCTTAGTAATGGCAGGATTTGGGGTAAGTTTCTTGATGATTTAGGCTTTAGTTTCCTCATCTGTCAAGAGTTGCCAGTTCCTGTCTCTGCAGATTATTGTTTATTTGTTCATTTTTGTTTCAAGGAGTATTTTCTGAACTGTTACTGTGTGCAATGCCCTGTGCCCAGTCCTGGAGAGTCAATAATAAACGTGAAGATTTTAGACAATACTACAATCAAAGCAATTCATGCTTAACTGTTACTATACTGGGAGCCTTCTTAAGTGGCTGGCCACTGGAGAGGGAATTGAACCGGAAGTCAGCTGCTCTGAAGGTGCCTACCTAGGTCCTGGGGAGTGGTGGTCAGGCCATGGCTGAAAAATTGGTCTTGGTTTGAGGGCCACCACATTTTTCTAAGGGTTTGTGTCATCAACCTTATTGACTTCCTCTCCAGATCCTTCCTGCCACCTGCCCCCAGAGCTCTCAAAACTAAATGTCATCTTTACAAGGCCTGGAATGTAAGCCTCTTGCCTAGGGGTTGGGTTCTATGGTGCAGTGTGACCTCTTGGTCCCATGATGTATTCCCAGAAGTGATAAGACACATAGCTTTCTATGAAATCATGTAATTCCCTAATGGAGGAAAAGAATGATTAGAATTCTGAAAGCAATTGTGCAGGGAAACAGTGAGGCAGGAGCCCAGGAGAATGGCTTCATTTGTGTAAGCAAAAGGGCAATGATGTTGGGCCTGACAGTTCCCCTGCACCAAGTTCTTCAACCTAGGGTGCCTGTGCATGATGGAGGGAAAGAGCACACACACAAAGCAGTATTATCAATTAAGGCTTAGGCATATACCTTTCCTTAAGAATTTCTAATCCTGGCATTTCCCAAGGTAAAGCACGGGTGTGCATGCACACATACGTCCCAAAGAGAAACCAGATCTTCCCATTATCAACACTTTTAAATTCCTTTCCTCTTTGTTCAAGGAATCCTACTTAGGTCTGAGAATCCTACATCTTTAAAGAACTTTGGGAGTCATTTTTCCAACCCCTTGTTTTAATGATTAGACCCAGAAAGTCTAGAGGATAATGCCCACGATCACACAGTGAATCAGTCTGGACTAAATTATTGTGTCTTTGCTTCCCCAGAGTGTAGACTAGTGCTTGGCACACAGTAGGTACTTCAAAATGGTTTGATTTTGGAATAAAGGAATGATGAGCCAGGATTAGAACTCATGTGTTTGACTTCCAGGCAAATTATCTTTTCATCATCTCCCATCCACTTCCAAGGTTTTAAAAAAATGTGATTCAGCTGGTCTTGATTTGTCTTCTGGTGGTATATTCTCAACTCTTCCTGACTCAGCATTTTGCTGAAACATATTTAGAAAGGACCCATGCTGGCAAAGGCAGGCAGATACATGGCCACAAGCCGGCCTCTGTGCTCAAGAGAGCCCCTGCCATCCGTGTCTGGACCTGGGGGACCACAGACACACGAGCCACGAACCAGCGGGACATGAGCAGCAAGATCCTCTCTTGGAGCCCCCTCTGGTGCTTCTCTAAATGTGGATCCATTTTCCACGTTTCAAGGGTGGAGGACTTTGGCCTAGGAAGCCTATATAAATGCTACTGGTTTAAACTTGTCACATGTCGCTGCAGTGGTGGGGAGAGCCATGTAGCTCATTCCTCTCCCCTTCCCTGCCTGATGTTGATTTGCAGAGCACACATCTGGCATTGGAAATTATTTATCTGGCACTGCGAGAGGGTGTGGTTTCTAAAAATATTCACACAGTCGGTCAGCAGAAAGAATGAGAGCAATGTGCTGCTTTGGGCTGCATTCCGTACTCTGGAAGCATGTCTACTAAAATAGACACCAAGCACAGCACTAATTTGCAATTAATAAAAAACGGGCCAAATTCACAGCCCACTCTCTGGGAGAATGGAATGCTGACAATTCCCATAGAAGGCTCCTGTAAAAATGTCTTACAATGAGAAGAGGTCCAGGCACCAGGGTCAGCCGACCTCCTCCAAGAGGGCTGGGAATCTGGTGAGCTCCCAGGGCTCAGAGTAGAGGGGCATAGGGGAAATGGCCTGCTGCCCCTTAAGACAATGGAAGCGCGGCTGCTGTGGATAAGAAAAGAAGCTTTGAATGGCCAGGGCCAAGATGAGATAGAAACCTCTGAAGCTTAATAAGACCAAGTGGGGCAGCTGAGAGTCAGCCTCTGGGCTTTGATGATATGAATGGGAGAGCTCTGTGTTCATGCATGAATTAATCAATTCATGTGTTGTGTGTATATATCCACGCATACCTGCATTCACTCATCCATTCCTGCATTTATTCACTGAGGAATTGAACGTCTTTTCTGGGCAATATTTATTTGATCAGAAATATTCATTAAGGTCCTACTGTGTACTTGACCCTGTGCTGGGGATTTAATAGTGAACTAGATGGCCAAATTTCTGTCTTGGAACTCAGGATCTCGCAGTTGTTAAACTAGCAGTGATAATGAGCCGTGAGGAGGATACAGAAGTCAGTGAAGAAGAGAAGGTACCTGCTCTAGTGAGCTTAAAATTCCAGTTGGAGACACAGCAGTAAACAAATAAACACATAATGTAATTGGCTGGCAGTGAAGAAAATCCATGCAGGATGAGAATGAAGAATAGAGTTGCTCTTTTACCTAGAGTGGTCAGGGAAGGCCCCTGGTATAGGACTTGAATTCCTGTCATCCACCAAGCTCTCTCTGGCTTCTTGACCTTGGCACACATGGTTCACACTGTCTGGAATGCTCTGCTCATTCCTTTTTGCCTGCTCCTTCTTTGGGGTCTCTGCTTGACTGCCTCTTCTTCCAGGAAGCCTTCCCTGATCCTTCTCCCTTGGCAGGGCCAAATGGCCCTGTGTAATGTATTCTGGAAGTGCTGAGCAGGAAGCAGTGGGTCTGTCTGGCTGGATGGACCAGAAAGCTTTCATGGAGGAAGAGGGATTGAATTGGGTTTTGAGGGATGGGTAGGAGTTTGATAGTAAGGAGCATGATGATGGCTTTTCAAGAGGAAGAAACAGCAAGCACAGGAACACAGCATGGAGACTAGAAAAGGAAAGTAATGCTTACTGAGCCCCTGCTAGAAGCTAGAGCCCCATGTCAGACCTTCCACACCTTATTTCATTTGGTCCTCAGAATGTCTCCACCGGGGTGGGTGTGATTACATCATTTTACAGAAGAGGAAGCTCTTGCAGCTAATAAGTGATGGGACTGGCTACAAACCTATGGCTATTTGACTCTAAAGACCAGACACCTGATGAATTCTACTCTCTACTCTTACTATCCAAATTTGCCATACATCTAAGAGCACATCAAATGAGGGCACTGTTTGGTCCATGCTTTGGTCAGCCTTACCTTGTCTGCAGGCAGGCTTGCAGACAGCTATCACTGCGAGAGACTCTCCAAGTGCTAATGGTGGCTGATGGCCAGGCTGAGTCATGGTGGCCAGAGTAGCCATGCGGGGATGCCAGGGCTGTGTGCTGTGAGCTGGCACTGGCTGCTAATTAACATCCATGGGAGCTGCTGCTTGGACGCGCCCTCTTTTAAGAGCCTCCTCACATTGTTCCTGGTGGGAATTTCTTTTCTTTTAAGAGAGGCAGCATGAGCTTAGATCCTCTGAAGACAGAAGCCGACCCCACTCACTTCTGCTCCTTGTTCCACTCCCTGCCTTCACTTCCTGGCAACTCAGGAGTGAGGCTGTCTTGAGTGAAGCCACAGCGATCAACTCCAAGGCCGGAAAGGAGTTATGGAGTGTACCTTCCTGGATGGAATTGCTGTCTTCCCGAAGAGTTACACAGAAAGTGCATTTCCTCGTCAGCCACCTGACAGCAATAACTCCCCTTTATGTAGAACTTTACAGCTAAGGCAGCTGTTCACCGATGTCTCAGGCAAGCCAGTTTACCACCCTGTGCCTCAGTTTTCTTATCTGCAAAATAAGGATAATTTTAGAATTCCACTATCTGCAATCTTCCAGATAGGGTTGTTGTGAGAATTTACTACATCAATATATGTAGCACTCACAGAACCGTGCCTGGCATATAGCAATGCTGCTACTGTTACTTTTATTTTTAGAGACAGGGTCTTGCTCTGTCGCATAGACTGGAGTGCAGTGGCACCATCATAGCTCACAGCAGCCTTAAACTCCTGGCCTCAAGCAGTCCCCCTGCCTTAACCTTGAAAAACACTGGGATTGCAGGCATGAGCCACCACATCTGGCCTATTTTAATTCTTTTCTTGTTTAATCTGGCTTTGATTTTCACAGCACCAAGTGATTGGCGGTATTGCAATTCCATTTTCCAACAAAGGAATCTGAGACTCAGAGAGGTTAAATAAAGTAGTCATAGCTAACATTTACTGAAGGCCTACTGTGTGCTAGGTAGGCATGGTGTAAGCACTTCCATGAATCAGTTTATTTGGTTTGGTACCAGCACTTCCAGGTAGGTGACATTATTATCATCAACCCCACTTTACAGATGAAGAAATGCAGGCTTAGAATGGCTAATGTGCAAGTGCGTATTATACACTGGGGCTCTTGTGAAAATGCAGTTTTAGTGGATCTGGGGCAGGGCCTGAGTGTCTCAGTTTCTGAAATGTTCCGAGGTGATGCTAATGCTGCTGGTCCGTGGGCCAGATTGGAGTGGGGTGGGATTATCTAAAGCGCCTTGGGTTAGATGCTGGTACGAGGCAAGGCTGAGATTTGAACTCAAGTGCTCAAACCCTGAATCCTTTCCTTTTCCCATCCTATGATGCAGCTTCTCACTCTGAACGTGACTGTATTATAAATGAGTGGTAAGATCTCCTGGCTCTTTAATGGGCAGTGGCTTTAATGCTTTTGGTTCCCTGTTTGCCTGGTCTAACAAACGATTGTTAAGTCGGCCAAACCATCAGCCTTACCATAATGGCTGTAATTTATAGCGTCAGCTGGTCCCAGGACTATTCCAGGAGCTTTACATGCGTATTCTCTACTCTTCTTACCTATGTGAGGTGGGTTCTAGTCTGAGTGCCATTTTGCAGATGAGGAACTTGAGTGACTTGGCAGGTCCCACCCATCACCTAGTAACGACAAAGCCATGATTAGCCCCAGGTTCTCCTGGACCCAAAATGTCTGATCTGTGGAGTGCACCACACTTCCTCTTAAACACTGCAGATGACTGTTAGACCATCACTAATTATTATCATTGCCATCAGCATCCTTTCCTATCAGTTAATGTCAGCAAGGTGACACTTCAGTTTTCACCAGATGAGCTCATTATAAACAGTGTTCTGGAGTTAATCCTTTTATGGTGGTAAAATATATGTAACATCAAACTTACCAGTTTTAGGTACACAGTTCAGTGGCATTAAGTATACTCATATTGTTGTGTAGGCATTACCATCATCCATCTCTAGAATGTTTTCACCTTCCCCAGCTGAAACGCTGTCCCCACTGAATAGTAACTCCCCTTTCCCCCTCCTCCCAGCCACTGGCAACCTCCATTCTATTTTCCATCTCTGAATTCGACTACTCTAGGGACCTCATGTACATGGAATCATATATGTCCTTTTGTGTCTGGCTTATTTCACTTAGCATAACATCTTCAGGGTTCATCTGTGTTGTAGTGAGGTTAATCCTTTTGAAATGTGAATGAATAATTACTTCCTCATTTATCTTTCTAACCCCAATTTTCATGCAGTGGGGAACACCTCTGGAAAGGCTTGATAACAATAAAAACTCCAAATATTAAGGACCCGAGCCTTGAGTTCCGGGGCTCCTTTCGAGAATTGAGGCTGAACTGAATAGCACAGGGCAGGGGCAGAAGGTGGTTCTGAATCAGTATGGGGCAGGGGAGCAGTCAAAACAACAAGCAAAAATGCCAGCTAGGTAGGTACCTTTCTCCAAAGCTTGCCTGCTAGTGTGTCAGCAAAATTCTTCAGCCCAGTCGCCTCCTTGCTGGAAAGTCATCCTCTCCATTTGCAGCTGATGTTCTGTTGGAGAAACTGTACGGCTTGGGAAGACCCATGTGCTCCTTCATGTACTTGCTGCTGTTCTTTGCAACCTTTAGCAAAACTTCTTATGCCCTGGAACCTTCAGCTGCTTCACTTTTAGAGCGAGGGGCAGGATTAACATCTGTTAGGGCTCTTTCAGGTCAAAGTAATTCTGAGATTTTGTTTTATGATGTTTAAAATCAGTATTTCTCAAATTTCAGTTTGTCATCCTTTTCATGGATTTTTGCCTTTCCGCAGTATCCTCACTGCTATTTTACTTAATATTTTTGTTGAGTTCAGGTCACTTTTTAAAGTTCTGTCTATTTGAAAAAGAAGCCCTAAATAATTACCTTAAGTGGAAAACCAGTATCACTTACCATGAATAGAAGATAAGCTCAAAACTAAGTATAATGGAAACCAAATAGCATTCTGAAGTTCCAGCTTGATGTTGGTTGCTGCTGCAGGCTAGGCCGGAGGCCTGGTCTCTTTGATAAATGCTAAAGAGATACTGAAGACACACCAGTGCCCAACTGAGACCTTCTTCTTGACTTAATCCAAAGAACTGAAGGTGAATCCAGAAAGGAATGAATTTTTCATTTTATTATTCAAAGTTATTTAATTCCATTATTATTTGGCATCTGAAATTTCTCTATTTCTTCACTGTCAAGAGTCCCTGGCATTGGGATAAACTCTGCTTCTAGTATAACGAAGGTAATTAACTCCCTGGATTTAAAGTTGGGAAGCAAATATATATTGAGCTCCAACTCTGGGCCAATTACTGTTGTAAGGACTTTACATACTTTATGTCATTTAATCTCCACCATGACACAGTAGGGATAGACACTCTTCCTAACGCTATTTTACAGACGAGAAAACTGAAGCTTCAGAGAGGTTTCATAACCAGTGGCCATTTCCCCTCTTATCAATAGTTGATATAAGTTCCGTATGGCATTAAATCTTAGAGCCGAAGCCTAAGTTTGAATGGCTCAAGATCTGAGAACGCTCTCTCTCTCTCTCTGTGTGTGTGTGTGTGTGTGTGTGTGTGTGTGTTGATTAATACTGCTTTCCCATCGAAGTGCCAAGAACACAGGCTAATCTAGATTTCTATTAATCTTGTGTCAGTGGCAATGACAGTTTTACTGGGAGAGGCTGATAAACATCAGTCTGTGAGGATAGGAGTGGGCCATAACATAAACACACTTCTCCAGAACGGCTACAGAGCAAATGAGGCTGCCCAGACTTGGAATGAAAACTCCTGGTGTGAGTGTGTGCATGTGCAGCGGGTGCCTCTCACACGCACGTGTATTTGGAAGCTCATATGGTGCCCCAGGCACTGCCAGGCGGGAAGAGAATGCATTTTCCTGTGCGTAGCCATTCCATGCCTCTTCTGATTGACAGGGCACACTTCATAAAGCTTCCAACCAACTTCCTGCAAGCAAGTCAGGGGCCTTGATAAGAAAGTGGAATTCAGGGCAATGAAGTGCAATCTGAGCCCGGAGAATGCATTTTCTGAGGCTGGTTGTACACCAGCTGCTTTCAATGACATTCCATTCATTCAGGGATGACTTTTACAAAATAGGCTGCTTCTAGGGGCTGTGACCACCACAGAGCCTCGGTGGTATTCAGGCTGGGCTCTCTCTGGGCATGTGAATCATGCAGCTCATTTCCAAGCCTCAAATGGAAATCAGCTTGGAGAATGATGGAAACCTACAGGGGCTCAGCTTGCAAGGCTGGCTTAGAGTGGAGTGAAATATACAGGTGACCCAGGGACAGGGTGGCACTGTGGTTTGAAGCTTTAGAGACACGGGGGTTTATATTGCTGCATATTAGTTACTCATCTCCTTAAATGAGTAACCTCAAACTCCTTAAACCTCAATTTCCTCATCTGTTAAATGAGTTTTTCAAAAAATGTGTGGTAAAGTGGACATAACATAAAACTGACTATTTTAACCTTTTTTAGGCATGAAAGGCATTCACATTGCTGTGTAAACCAGGTTTTTGTTAAGATTAGATTAAATAAAGTGTTTGGAGCAGTACCTGATAATTGGAAGTTGTTCAAAAAGTGGCAACTAAGTTTATTATTATTATTATTATTTTGCATTATATATTAATTATCTTGTGCTTTTCAAAATATAATGCCTGTACCAGTGACAAGTGTTTCTTGGGTGTGGGCAGGTGCTAAGCAGTGGATGATACAAAGATAAGGGGAGGATGTGGAACCTGCCAACTGCCTCAGGAAACTCAGAGTCTGGTAGGGAAAGCAAATATATATATGTATATGTATGTATATATGTGTATATGTGTATATTTGTACATATGTGTACATATACATATACATATATATGTAAAAGTGCTGTCATAAATGATAACACATAAAACACTTCAAGAAACCAAAGGAGAAGAGAATGACTCCAAGGTGTGTGGAGTACAATGAAAACAAGGCTAGATGAAACATTTGCATCAAACTTGAAGGTTATGAACCACTGTTACACTCACGGTGTCATCTTATTTTTTTTTTTGAGATTGAATCTCGCTTTGTCGCCCAGGCTGGAGTGCAGTGGTGTGATTTTGGCTCACTGCAATCTCCGCCTCTCAGGTTTAAGTGATTCTCATGCCTCAGCCTCCCGAGTAGCTGAGATTACAGGCATGCACCACCACGCCCGGCTAATTTTTGTATTTTTAGTAGAGACGGGGTTTTTCCATGTTGGCCAGGCTGGTCTCGAATTCTTGACCTCAAGTGATCCGCCTGGCCAAGGTCTCATCTCGATTGATTTCTTTTTCTTATTATTCTCATGATGATCCTGTGAGCTAGAACAGGGAAGGGATCATGGATTCCCATTTTCTGGTGGGTAAACTGAGGCTCAAGGTCATTAAGTGACAGATAGGAGCAGAGTTGGGACTGAAATATGATGACTCAAAACCCAATGCTGTGAGTCAATTAGTCCATTTCATCTTGAGTCACAAGACAGGCAAAATACAGTTCTGATCAGGGTGTGAGTGGATACAGAGGTGGTATCACCAGTTGTGTAGGTCAGGGTTTTTCCGCAGTGTGATATGCACACCACCGCAGATGCAGCATAATTGGGTAGACCACAGAGGGAGAATTCTTAAATTAATAGTTACACACTTTAATGTTCATCAGAAACATCAAGCCAGTGATTTTGTGAATGTTATTTCTCAAAGCAAGTCTAAATTAAAGTTTAAATAGAGCATCCATTTAAAGAGTAATTTCTAAGTAAGTTGCAGAGCTTGTAGTCTGCAGATTTGGTAGAACTTGTGATGGATGCCAAGGACTGCAGCTAGGAAACACTGACCTGCTTGGGCTGAGTGGTCCTTTATGAAGACTCAGGGCTGGAGAGAAAATGGCGATCCAGCCAGCAGACCCACCCAGGTGCCCTTCATCCACTCTGTGTGCTGTGTGGTGTGAACTGATCCAACACAGACATAATCTGGAATGCTAACAAGTCTCCCTGGGTCTTGCTTCTCTTTGTAGATTGCTGACTTTGGGCTTTCCAACCTGTACCAGAAGGATAAGTTCTTACAAACGTTTTGTGGGAGTCCACTCTATGCATCTCCTGAGATTGTCAATGGGAGACCTTACCGAGGGCCAGAGGTGAGCAGCTTTCCCAATGTGTATGGGGCAGGGGAGGGGAGGGAGAAGAGGGAGGAAGGGCAAAAACTGGATTCGAGAAATGCTTAAAAAAACAGAGCCTAAAAAAGCCAGCAAGGAAAACGTTTCCTTATACGATTATAAAAGCAGTTAATGTATACTCCTGGGAGGAAATTTGGGAAACCCAGAAAAGCCTAAAGGAGAAAATAAAGGTACCTGCCATCCCCCTAGAAAAGATAATCACTTAAAACTCTAGTGACTTTTAAACTTTTCCCAATGTAGATCTCTGCATTTCAAAAATAATTGAGATCAAGTTAATAAAAGGCAAGATATACATATGTATGTGACACACGTATGTATATCTTGCCCTTTACTATGAAAACTATCTTGTGGCAATTTCCAAATTCATTATTAAAAACATGATTTTAATGACATTTTATCAATGAATATACCAAAATTTATTTAGTAATGTCTAGATGTGAACATTTAGTTTTTTCCCTATTATATCAAAACAGACAAAACAAACAAACAAAAAATTGCCTCACTCTGGGGTAAATATCTTTTTTGTATATATTTTTGGCAGCATGCATATCTGACTAAGGAAATACATTTTAATGACATCTTCTAATTCATGAGAAATACATTTCCCTACATGCTAGCGCTTTCAAGGGCCACTGTAAGATATGGGTATATGGAAATTTTATTTTGAAAATGAGTGAGTTGTGAGTGATGATTCTCTTTTTGAAAGATGGTTCTCTTTTCAGAGTTCATCCACTCAGTATCCTTTAAATAGCAGCTGCTCAGTGTGTTGAAATGTTTTCTTTCAAATATTTATGTGTTTGAGAGTGTTTGGGGGCAGGGCTGAAGGGTAAAGAGAAGGATGCCAAGACCATCTATTAACTGCAATGAAGAGAAAGTCTTTCTAAAATAAGAATGTGAGGGAGGAGCATAGAACTCAATTTACAAACTTGTAGAAACTCGACACGAAATTTCTCATAGATAATGAATATTTTGGTCTTCGATGACCTGTTTTTGAGGTTCCAGGCTAGCAGTCTGTGATCTGGTCAGCAAACTCCTTTATTTGGCCACCTTAGTTTTTATTAAAAAAATTGAACAAACATGTAATAATTGGGAGATTTCATGTAAAAGTTTGGTTTCTGACTTCTCTTGTAAAACCAAAGAATCGAGCAGTGCTGGGCCCATGTTACTACATGGCAGCAATTAGCTAAGGAGAGGCTGTCTGCCTAAGACGGGTGAATGTACTGTACAGTTTGTCTCCATCCCCAACACTCTATGTCATAACCCCAATTCTTTCTTGCTTTGTGTATATCTGTTAAGATTTCAGTTTGTAATTCCTGATTCATTTGAAGAAAGTGCAGGAAGGAATTGATTCCTGGATTAGGAATGAAGAGCCCCGCATCCCAGTTTTACCTCCGTCACTGGGGCAGGGCCTCTGGAGAAACCATTTAGGTTCTTCGTGCCTCAGTATTCTCATCTTTTAAATGGGGCTGAAAATAGTCCTGGCTCTAACTGCTTCACAAAATTGTAGTGAGGATTAAAGAAGATAATCTGTTTAAGAAAGTTCTTTACTAGTTGGGACCACTGGCCTCTGTTCAGAATGGAAAGGTCAGGCTCTGTAGCAGGTCCCAGCTGCATTGCTGTCAGGTGTCAGGCTGCACTAGGAACCTATCTTCCAGGTGCTAAATTCAGTTCCTGGGGCTGCTGGGGGTGGCTGCTCACAGGCTATGATGCTAATGGTTTGGAAGGCATCTTGGGATCTGTTTCCCAGCTCTCCTATATGTGCTGTCTCTCTGCTCCAGGTGGACAGCTGGGCCCTGGGTGTGTTGCTTTACACTCTTGTTTATGGAACAATGCCCTTCGATGGTTTCGATCACAAAAACCTCATTCGGCAAATCAGCAGCGGAGAGTACCGGGAGCCAACACAGCCCTCAGGTGCGTGCCCTGTGGAGGGAGGGTCAGAGGTGGAGGGGAGAGAGATCTGCTTACCCAACTCTTATTTTCTGCTTTTGTTTTAGTATGTCTGTCTGGAGTCACCTGGTTTTCCTCTTTCTTCTTCCCAGAAGTGTCATCCTTGGCAAAACTGGCTTATTAGGCTGCTTTCCCCAAACCTTCCCAAAGGAAATTTTCAGAGCACACCTTCTAGGAGTCCTGTTTGCTTGCTTTGTGGATCTGGACAAGTCACTTAATCTCTTTGGATTCAGATTCTCCACCATAAATAAAAACGTTGGAAAAGATATTAGATGAGGTCTCTCCCAGTCTGAGTAGACATAGAAACCACTCACCTGAGAATGTAAATACTGTGAGGGTGGCCACTGCTCTGTCTCTCACTACTGTGCCACTGGCATGGGGCATGGCTCATGGGTTCTGTCTCATTATTGATTTCTGTGTAACAACTCTACCCCATCTGCCCCTACAAAACAAACTCAGTGGCTTACACAACCATGAAATCATCTCTTTCACCCCTGTGGGTTGGGAAGTGCTCTTATGGCCTTCCTCTCCTACAGTTGTAAGCAGATGGCAGTTGGGGCTGCTGCTGGGGCTGAATGGTGGACCTTCCTCAGTGCTCTCTGAGGTGCCACCCCACAGTGGCAGCTTGGGGTTCTAAGAAGGAGGAATAAAAAGTTGCCGAGCTTTCTTTCTTTTTTTAAAATTTTTCTTGAGAGAGTGTCTCGCTCTGTTGCCCAGGCTGGAGTGCCAGTGCCATGTCCATGCTTGTACCCAGATTGTGTCACATCTGCTGTGTTCTATTGGTCAAGACAACCACGGTCATGAGCTTCATCTCTTGATGGGGAATATCATGCCTGTATAGAGAGTGTGTACAGCTGGCCATCATTGGTCATTTTTGTTAACAAATGAAGTTAACATTGGCACTTCATTTATATACATACTATACACACGCATATATATATATGTATATCTGTATACCTACACATACACAGTTGATTCTCATTCATAGTAGTTATGTTCTACAAAGTTGCTACAAACACTGAATTTGTGAATATTGAACCATTGCTCTTAGGGGAAATAGAGGGTTAGGTTCCTGAGAGCCTCTGCTCACAATATTTTTGTTAACTGATTGATATATAACCTTGTTTTATGTGTGTCTCTGTTTAAAGACACCTTATTTAATCTATATTATTAATTCATTAACATCAAACTCAACAGCCAACAGCACTGTAACTCATGCCTAAACAAAACTGATCTAAGACACTTATCTTCTCCATAAGGCACATCACAGCCTTCTTGAGCTTAGGAACACTGAACAGTGCTTCAGCACTGTTTTAGGGAGGCATTTAAAAAGAGGAATCACCAATAAAAATTCCAAAAAATGTGAGAAATACAGCACTAAATAGACTGAGAAAAGGACAATTTGTATAATAGTATGAGAACTGAAATAAGAAGGCAGAGTGTTGCCTTGTTTGACCTCCGCTGTGAATACATATGTGTGTTGGGGTGACTCAAACTTTTTGCTGCTCTGTGCATATGCAAAAATGACTGCAAAAGAGCTGCGAATATTGATTTTGAGGTTACCAATAAATTTTAGCAAGTAGGCAAATTTGCAAATACAGACTCTATGGATAATCAGGCTAGACGGTTGTATGTGTATATATAGATATGCATTATCTCTCTCTCTATATATAATTTTTTCAACAAGCCAGCCTGTTCTTTTTGGAAAAATTCAGAGTGACCTCTAAAGTGGTCTTCTTTGCCTCACCAGCTAACTGATGCCAATGCGGTTCCTGGCACATTGTAGGCGTTCAAGAAATACTTATTGAATGACTGAGGATGATCA
Source organism: Homo sapiens (assembly GCF_000001405.40). Taxonomy (NCBI): domain Eukaryota; kingdom Metazoa; phylum Chordata; class Mammalia; order Primates; family Hominidae; genus Homo; species Homo sapiens. The sequence goes on along the minus strand of NC_000012.12, from coordinate 106,068,912 downwards.
TCTTGGTACTTTTCAGGGGTGTTTCTTGCCCCAGTCCCTATTACCAGGCCTTTGCCAGCTTCTCATTCGCTTACATAAGCAGCTGAGGGGAGGTGGCAGCTTCCAAGAATATAATTCACCCCAATTGGGGGAACACAGTTTGAACCTAAAAGTCAGTTTATAAGCTGTGAGAGTCAGTTGGTTCCTGTGGCCTTCTCAGCATCCCTTTAGGGGTTTTCCCTAATTCTCTGGCAGCAGAAATTTGCAGGTAGAATTTCCAGACAGGCTGTGAATGGGAAGCAGATATAGATCACTTCTCTGATCTGATAGCTCAGTAGAAGATGGCTTATGTCAGAGAGGGAAAGAAGGCAAGCTCACTGAGTGTTGGTCTCAGAACCTGGCCTGGACCTTGGGGCGAGGCCAGCTTTGGAGATGGCCACGCTTACTGCCCAGGTGTTCCAGGTAAGTGCCTCTGAGCCACACTCCATGTTCTGTCTCTGGCATGCTTTCCCAGTGACTGCAGGTGCTGTGTGTTTATACAAGCCCACCTTTGGAGGAATAAAGAAAGCCATGGTTATCTACACCTGTTTTTCCTCTGGTAAAATGATATTCGCCAAAGGAATGGTGGGGCACCTCTCAGGGTCAAGTCTGGATTCTTTCTTGGTTACCTGACCTTCCACATTTTCTAAAGATTCAAGATGATGAAAAGCTTAGTAGTTCTATGACATTTTCTCACTTACAGGGAAAACATGCCATGATGTGATGGCACCCTGGCCTGTGGTTCCAAGTCTTGATTATGCTTTTGATGGATGATCTGAAAGGCTGGGGCTTCCTGCTCCATAATGTGGCTGGACCAGGTCTCCAGATGGATTTGTCCTAGAGGGAGTGTGTGTCTTTCGTCACTCCTGGAGGGTCCCACTATCACAAAGCCAGAAGCTCCCACATAATGCCCGATTCTTTTTGTCCCTTGTCCCTTAGATGCTCGAGGACTCATACGGTGGATGCTGATGGTGAACCCCGATCGCCGGGCCACTATTGAGGACATTGCCAACCACTGGTGGGTGAACTGGGGCTATAAGAGCAGCGTGTGTGACTGTGATGCCCTCCATGACTCTGAGTCCCCACTCCTGGCTCGGATCATTGACTGGCACCACCGTTCCACAGGGCTGCAGGCTGACACCGAAGCCAAAATGAAGGGCCTGGCCAAACCCACGACCTCTGAGGTCATGCTAGAGCGGCAGCGGTCGCTGAAGAAATCCAAGAAAGAGAATGACTTTGCTCAGTCTGGTCAGGATGCAGTGCCTGAAAGCCCATCCAAGTTGAGTTCTAAGAGGCCCAAGGGGATCCTGAAGAAGCGAAGCAACAGCGAGCATCGCTCTCACAGCACTGGCTTCATTGAAGGTGTAGTTGGTCCTGCCTTACCCTCTACTTTCAAGATGGAGCAGGACTTGTGCAGGACTGGCGTGCTCCTCCCAAGCTCACCAGAGGCAGAGGTGCCGGGAAAACTCAGCCCCAAGCAGTCGGCCACGATGCCCAAGAAAGGCATCTTGAAAAAGACCCAGCAGAGAGAATCAGGTTACTACTCTTCCCCAGAGCGCAGTGAGTCTTCGGAGCTGTTGGACAGTAATGATGTGATGGGCAGCAGCATCCCCTCCCCCAGCCCCCCGGACCCAGCCAGGGTAACCTCCCACAGCCTCTCCTGCCGGAGGAAGGGCATCTTGAAACACAGCAGCAAATACTCAGCGGGCACCATGGACCCAGCCCTGGTCAGCCCTGAAATGCCCACACTGGAATCCCTGTCAGAGCCTGGTGTCCCTGCCGAGGGCCTCTCCCGGAGCTACAGCCGCCCTTCCAGTGTCATCAGCGATGACAGCGTGCTGTCCAGCGACTCTTTTGACTTGCTGGATTTGCAGGAGAATCGCCCTGCCCGCCAGCGCATCCGCAGCTGCGTCTCTGCAGAAAACTTCCTCCAGATCCAGGACTTTGAGGGGCTCCAGAACCGGCCCCGGCCCCAGTACCTGAAGCGGTACCGGAACCGGCTGGCAGACAGCAGCTTCTCCCTCCTCACAGACATGGATGATGTGACTCAGGTCTACAAGCAAGCGCTGGAGATCTGCAGCAAGCTCAACTAGCATTCCAGGGCGCCCAGGGGCGGGCGGGGGTACGAGGGAGGAAGGGGAGCAAGACTTGGGCTCACAGGCTGGTTACCTCTTTGCTGGCTGTGACAACAGACTGAAAAAGGATTGGCACTGTCTCACTTGGCCAAGTTTGCAGCCTTGAGCCAACACCTAAAAGGGAGAGGTGGGCTCTTCTGCCAGTTCTGTCAATTGTCAGTCAGAATTTGGGCCCTGTTTGGCATTTGCTTTATGGCACCTCCTAGAGGACCAGCTGTCCAGGGGAGGTGGTATTGACCGGCACTCAGTGGGTGGAGAGGAAGCATATGTGGAAGGAGCATTTCCTTAGAAGTCATCCAGATGCTTCTGGAGGAGGGGCAGGAGACACTTGGGCTGTTTGCCTTGGGTGAGCCCAAAGAACTTGCCCCTTTTCTCCTTGTATTAGCAAGCTAGGTCTGGCTGCGTGGAGCTGGCAAGTAGATTTCAGCAACTTGAGCTTGAGTTGACGATCAATTAATAGTGGCTGCCAGTTGTGCTGGCGTAAGTGGCCCACATCATGGGGAAGGAGTGCTGTGATTGACTAGTAATGGCTACCACGGGAAAGGGAAGGGGAAGCAGTAGCACTAATGCTATGTAGTTGTCATCTTTGATCTGGCTAGGCCCTGGGAATCGGGTTTAGTCATCCTGTGGGATCTATGTTAACTCTTTCATGCCACTGGTGAGGCATTTGTTAATTTGCTACTCAACTTTGAGGAAAGACAGGGCCTTGGTCAGAGAGAGAATGCTCTGAACTCTGCTAAGGACATAGAGTCAGCCCATGGTGATTTAGCTCCTTGCTGTTCACCTCCTCTTTCCTGATGTCTGCCTTGCTCTACAGCACAACCTCTTGAGGGTGGACAGGGAGAAAGATGATGGTGTCAGAGGTCAAAACTATTATATATGACAGGGCACAAGATGGTCTGTGATCTTTGCACAGATGAATGGAAGTTGATGCACACCAACAAGAGGCAACTTGTCACTTTCTTTCTCAATATTAACTGGAATGCTGCCTCTTGGGTTCTCACCTGCATGGATGCTTTGAGTTGGACGTGATACTGTCCATATTCTCCAGAGGATTACCTGGCTGAACCATTGGCTCTGTTCACCAGTGACAGATGGTTTCCCCATCCACTGAGTGTAGCATCCTCAGAGGTAGGCAAGTTTGCTTCTAGGGAGTTAGCATGTAGATGGGATATTGGGATGAGGAAAGGAAAATCAGGTAGATGGTGCTTTTTTTCCCCCAAATCTAAGTATTCTATGTCATGGTTTTAAACTTTGCCATGAACTCCTGGGCTTTGGGGGAAGAGAAAGTTCCATTCATTTAAATGAATAAGGTGTTGAAAGAGTGCAGGGGGTTGGGAGGAAGCATGTAAGAGAGGGAACATTTCCTTAGATGTTACCCAGATGGTTCTGGGGGAGACAGAAAAGAGGTGCGGCAGGACTCTTATCTTAAAAAGTAAACAAAACAAAACAAAACAAAACAAAAAACTAGATATGTAATTTCTAAACACCCAGATCACAATGACAAGATGCCACTCCAACCATGGGACACCTTCATGATACTAGGTTTGTACTTCCTGGTCTCTGGGATGACTTCAGATTCTGCTGGCCAAGGCAAATTGAACTCAGTTCAAGATGGCCACCACTGGTAGACGTGTAGATAGAAAAGAGGACTGGTCTTGGGAACATCTTTGGAAAAACCAACAAACAATAGTTCTAGGGAGATGAGAAAAAAATTCACCTTACAGTGCTAAGAAAGTGCATTAGAATGGAATTGCCCTTTCCTTAAGGAGACAGTTTGGGCTCTCCCCTTGCCACCGGCTCTGGTGTTTTGGCTTATGCGTTCCTTCAGGTTGAGCTGAGCAGTGTGTTATGGGAAGCTGCTCAATTTCCTTTCATTCAATTCCACCTCCTTCCTGAACTCTAATAGAGGTTAAAAGGGAAAAAAAAAATTCTGTAGATAGCAAATTGTGTGTGTGGGGGGGGGTGGGGGTGTGGGTGCATGGAGGACAACCTGCAACTCTGAGCTCCCTACTTCCTGCCTCATTTCATGCAGTCTTTTCTGAACAGCCTATGCTGCTGCCCTGCTGGCCCCTTGTGCACGGCAGCTGGCCGTGTCCGTAGCTGTCAGTATGACTTAGATCTAGCTCCTACCTACTGGTTGATGTGTTTTTTCCTTTTGCCAAGTGATTGAGTCTGTTTAGTAGTTTCCATCATTCTAGTCTTTAAGTAAAAATGACACTATTGAGGAAAGTCAGTCTACTCCCTTCTTCCTCCCCCCAAACACGTGTTCTCTTTTGTCAGGAAACTCAGCCAGTGGACTGTGGCAGAGAAAGTCCTCCACTCAGAGGCAGAGACTGAGTTAAGTCATAGGTGGCCTTAGGCATCTGCATTGTTTGCAGGGGTTAAGTTTTCCTTCCAGTGAGGGCTGGAGGGATGAATTAGCTGGTACCTGAAGCCCCGCTTAGCTCTGACACTCTGCCAACATCCTCTGATTCTAGGTGTGGTGTTGACTGTCCTTTCAAGGAAAAACTTGCAATAGAGGGAAAAGCCATTAAAGCAGCTCCCTGCTTCATCATTAAGTCCTGTCATCCCTACCAGCCAATCCCAGTCAAAGAAGTTATGCTTTATTCACTTCTGTGGAATTACAAGTGAGAGACACTTTTAGGACCTGATGGACAAAGCAGGAGATTCACTGTCAGCTTTCCTGGTCCTCTCCTTACTTCTGTGGGCCTTGCACCGTCTTAGTTTACACATCTGCCAAAGGGGTAGAATTACACTTCTTTTTACAGGTAAATGTCAAGGCACAATCAGTTTTCAGGAAGTGCTTCAAGACCCCAGGTGAAATGAAAATGCTAAGTACCCTCTGAATGGCCATGCCTGTTACCAGGTGCTGCTTCTTCAGATGATGGGGAGCACTTTTCAGGGTGAAATTCAGGCGAGTTTTGCCCAGGCCTGCTGTCTTGAGTACAAATGTGAATGATCGACTGACTGCTTGTTGCCAAACTGGAAATGTTCTGTAGGGATTTACTGGCATGGTATCATTCCTAGAAGAAAAAAAGAGAGAAACTTGACTGCACATTAAAAAAAAAAAAAAATCCACATTGTGACTTTTATTTAATTTCTATTTTTTTTGGTAATAAAAAGTTGACTTTTTTATTTGAATTTGTCTTTTTTATTTATTGGTCTGAAAGGCATTTCAAAGGTATTATAATAATATATTGGTGTAATTTAATTGGTGCAACATGCTTTATGGCTCCTGTCAAAATTGGTTTTCACTCATTTGATTGGTTTGAGCCCAGAACAGCCTACAGGGGAAAAACAAGCTGGATAACCACCCAAAGTGTTTGTATTTTCGTTGGAAACTGATTTTTGTTTCATTTTGGTTTTTGTTTCTGTTTTTATTTTTAAATTAAATAAATTGCAATGAACTGAACCAGAGACCTTGCTTCTTTATTTGGTGGTTTTTTCTTAGTCAAGTAAGTGACAGAATCAATATAAGTAACAGAGACCTACCCAAATGAGCTTAAGCACAAAAGGGAATTTATTCGAAGTTCTTAGAAGAGGAAATGCATCTTGCAGTGCCGCTGGAATTAAGAATTGGAGTGGTGGATTGAAGAGGACAGTATACCCTCTTTTCTGCTTCTCTTTGCATATCAGCTTTCTTCTCCTTTTATAGCCTGGCTTTCTTCTCTCTGATTGTGGAACCCACCTTGGCTTATCCCGTAGCTTCCAAATTTACATGTTCTCAGTCTTGGTTTCCAAAAGAGACTACTCACCAGGTTCCTTAGTTCTGAACTGGAGACGTCATCAAAGGCTAACACTCAGCCACGCTCTTTCTCCACATTTCAGTTTCCTGTGCCTGCCCTTTCCCTAGGCACTCCCCTCTATCCCAAGGGCAGGAAGTTGCTAATCTGATTGGGATTAATCAGAGTCCAAGATCAGTGGGTCACGATTTCCTAATGGGGAAGGCCACTCACGGCTCTGCCTAGAATGACAGTATCTTGAGTCCCATTTTGCCACTGTTTCTTGTGTAAATAGACCCTCCAGAAAGCTCTTGGAAGGAGAGGTGCATCATAGAGCAAGATTGAAGAGTTCCTGGATCCTGGCCATAATATCAGGTGACATCAAACCCTACCCTAGTATCAAACATTAGAGAGTGATGCTGTGCACAGAATAGTAGTGTTTTAGGATCCATGCCAGAAAAGTCTGACTTTCCAAAGAAATTACAACTTGCACCCCTTTTCTAGTTTACTGGAAGAACATCTGATGTAGCATTGTCACATTTAGCAAATAAAACTACAGAATGCCTAGTTACATTTGAACTTCACATATACTATGAATAATTTTTCAATATAAGTGTGTTCCAGACAATATTTGGGTCATGCTTATACTAAAAAAAAAAAAAAAAGAAATTCAAATTTAACTGAGCATACTGTATACTATCTGGCAACCTAACCTGATAGGGCTTAGTTGTCCAAATTGACCAGGTGCTGGGTGTGGTAGGAGGTTGGGGAATGGATGCTTATAATTGTGGCTTGCCAAATTAGAACACGTTGGTGCCTCTCAGGTTGGGCTGAGGTTGGAAGAATTCCAAGTTCAGTCTGGACTTGATAATTGCAATTAAGTTGCTACACCTTTTTGGAACTCAGCTTTCTCAGCTGTCTAATGGGTATATTAATTGCTCTCTTATCCAACTCTAACAGGGCTACGAAAAAGAAGGAATGAGAGAAATTCTATGAAGTCACCTTGAGTATAAAACTCAATATGAATGAGAAACAATAGTCCTTTCTTTGCAGGGCAATAGTCACTGACTTAAAATAGGACATTTAAAGGCCTGTGGGCTTTTAATTCTTGCTTCAACCCCTGCCACCACTAGCAAATGGGCAGTAAGTTGCAGTTAGAGGGGCTGTAGGTCATTTGTGGAGTACGTTTACTTAGAAGTGTGACCCTTGGAAAATACATAATTCTGTATCCAGGCAGAAAGAATAGCCTGTGCATGGCCTAGAGGCTGGACCAAATGTGACATAGTAAGGGTAGTGAAAAAATAGGGGTGACTGTAGTGGCAGCAGTTGACATGTTGACAACTGTTGTGGGGTTAATGGGCAGTGGTCACTTTAAGGAGGAAAGTTGAGAGAACTAACATGTATTTAACTTCTACGTAATGCCCACTCCATCTTTATTCAGTAGCAAATGGCAGAAATCCACTCAGACCATATTAAGTAATGATTAATTTACTGCTTCATGGAACCGAGAAGCCCAAGTGTGTGTCTCAGGCACAGTTGGATCCAGGAGTTCAAGGGATCTCATTGGCCTCTTTTTCACTCACTCTCCCTGGATGAGGCTTTATTCTTAGGCAGGCCCTCTCCACATGGCAGCAAGACAGCTCCTGGCCAAAGCAGGGTTATGACGCTTTTTTAGAGTGTGATCCTCAAACCAGAGAGGTTCTTAATGTCCTAGCATTTAGGGAACAAGGAAGGACTGTGATTGGCTTTGTTTGGGTCATGTGTCTCCTCCTGGCCCATCACAGAGTCTGGGTGGAGAAGTGCTCTGATTGGCCAGCCTGGATCATGTACGCACCTTGTGGTATATTTAAATGACACGGAATCACACAGAATGTGGGAGAACAGCTCCCCAAAGGAAGGAATGCAGAGCCAACGATGTTAGTTACACTTTTTGGGCCTCAATTTCCTCACCCATATAATAGCATTAAATAATCGCTAATTTTCAGAGTTATTGTGAAGATTAAATGAAATAAAGTTCCTAACGTGGTGCCTGGCACATAGTGGATTTTTAATTTATACAGATAATCTCAGGGAAGACAACAGTAGTAATACATTAGAGAGAAGATATATTTGTTAGGAAGATTTTAGATGTAAAATCAGCTATAATATCAGAAAATTCAGCTGAAATTGGCTTAAACACTACAAGGGCTTTATCAGCTCATACACCTGGAATTCTAGAGGTTGGGGAGTTTCCCAGTTACTTGGGTCTAGTGAAAGAAGTTACATACACACCCCCCACAATTACATATAGTAAGTTCTATGGAAGAAATGGATATGGTACAGAGATAGAGGAGTAAGGGTGGGAGCTACCTCCTGCAGAAAGAGCATTCAGGGAAGGCATCTCTGAAGAGGTGACTTTTGGGCAGAGATCTGAAGATGAAGACTAGTCATATGTAAAGTGAGCATTCTGGGCAGAAAGAACAGTATCTGCAAGGGCCCTGGGGTCTTCACATTAGAGCTTTACAGGATTAGTTTCTGGTTCCATTGGCATAGGACAGCCATGATCCAGGGAACGTGATGTTTTGTTAAACATGTGTGGCCACGTTCTAATATGGACTGAATGTGATCGTTTGTGACTTTGTGTACAGATGGCTGCTTCCTTCAACAGGTGGTCCCCAGACAAATATACATGGCTAGATGTGTAGTTTTAAATGAGAATTGTTTCCGCTGCAGAAATTCACTGCCAATTTATTGAAATTTATGGAGAGGATGTTTTTAATCTACAGAATCATGCAAAGTTTGGGGTATGGAAGTGGAACAGCAGCGTTGCTATATGAAGACCAGAAAGTGCAGACAAAGGGGTTTTCACGTCACAAGCCTTGTCTCCTCCTGGCACAACTGTCTGGTTCCAGTAGGGGGTTGCCTGGGAAATTTGCAATCAACTTTGTTGTAAAATCATGAGTTATTTTCATCCTGATGAAAAATTTACACAGCCCTTCTCTACCTGACTGGGAATATCCATTGTACCTCGACCAGCTGGTTCCCCATCCACTCCCTGTACTAGTGTTTGTTTGTGAATTAGTCTGGACATACTATGTTATGCTGAAGTAGCAGACAAACCCTGAAATGTCAATGGCTCAATATAATAAACAACAATTTCTCACTACCACTAAGTCCAGTACAGGGCTGTTCTCTTTTCATGTCACCTTCAAGCAGGTGCTCAAACATCTGAGCTTCTTCTATCCTGTGGTTCTGACATCTCCAGGTTCTTCATTGCTAGCTGTGCAAATGAAGGAAAGAGCAGAAGTCAGAACCTTTTAAAGATGAGGCCTAGATGTGGTGTGCATCATTTGTGCCCACCTCCCATTGGTCAGAACTCAGCCATCTGACCTCGACCTAATCATAGACAGTCCTCAAGTCTATAGTACTTAAAAAGTGAAAAGTAAAATGGAATCAGACGAACACTTAGCAATGTTTCTGCCACGGCTTATTTTTGCTTCCCGGGGGAACTCTCACCGTTAAGAAAAATAATTATTGTTAGTATTAACCAAGTGCTTACCCGGCAGCAGTCCGTATGCCTACCCTTTGCATATATTATCTCTTTGAATGTTCCTCATGTTCCTTTATCTCCATTTTTACAGATGAGGAAACACTTTTGGAAAAGTGCAGTAACTTGCCCAAGTCAACCAACTGTTAAATGTGCATCTGGATTCAAATATGGGCCTGGGTGACTGACTTTCAAGTCCAAGCTCTTAGTTGCTCTGTTGGGAATCAGGGATGATGATTCTGCAACTCAGTCTCCTCGACAGTAAGCCCAGCCTGTTGCCATCTCTGTTGATATAAACAGCATTTTCCTGCAGGAGCTGAGCAGATATCAGGAACAAAGACAGTTGCCCAAATCAATGCATTCTCCAAACAAACATGGAGAAGAGAGCAACTGTCCCCAATACCCCACTGATGTGAAATTCTAGAAGCTCCAGTCTCAGCAGATGGAATTAATAGAATGATTCATGTTTCTTCACTACTCTACTGTGGGATGGGATGGAGGTGACTCCATCCTGAGCACCTGCAATGGCTCAGAATTCAGTAAAGGAGACAGCAGGCCTCCAGTGGCTGTCCAAAGCTGTGCATACACATATTCCAACAGGGCTCAATGTGGTCTCTTCTGTGTTGTGGTGCCTCAGGGGACCCTGCTTCTAGAGGACTGAGAGCTCAAAGCAACCTGGTTGGTGCCATATGGAAACACAGGATGCCAGGCTGTGTTGCATGGACCTGCCTGGGGTCAGGCACTGCAACAGCAGCTTCATCACATAAAAATCTGTGGGTCATCATGTCTTCAAAGCCCAGTACAGGGCGATGACGCTGGCATGGCCCCCAACCAGACTTCCAGAGAAACACCTCACTGTCAGTGAAATTCAGGGTTGGGGACAGTTCATTTTGGAGGCAGCTGGAGAAAAGGGACTCCAAAAAATAGCTAGCTTGAGAATGTTCTGCAAGTTGGAAGTTGTGAATCACTGAAGCTGAAAAACATCTGATTCAGCAGTGCCTAGGGCATTCCAGAAGTTTCAGCTGTCAGGCTTTGGAGTCCAGACAAAAGCATGTGTGTGGAGCAGAAAGCCAGATGCAGACCTCTTACCCCGTCCTGCTGGTCATCTCCAAAGGCATGGTTGTGGGTTCAATTGCTAGGAAGTACAGATGGTCCCTGGAAATGGGTTCTGCTTAGACTGGCTTCTTATAAACACGTGTAGCTGAGCACTATTTTGATGAAGGAGAGAGACATGGTGGCTGGGGTAAAGTTGCCTCCCATTTTAGAGAAACAACTTATAATCACATTCTCAGGTCCTTTGGGGATCTAGAGTGGTGGGATCATGTTGCCCATGAAGCTACGTTGGAGCTAATAGGAGTGCTCCCTGTTGAGAAGGAGATTTCAAAGTGAAGAAACAGATTGAAAGAGGTGAGTTATCCATCAAGTTTGCAGTGCAGTCATGGCATGTCAGTGCTTTGACTAGTTTCATCCAAGATTTTTCCTATTCTTGCACCAGAAGAGAAAGAAATACATTTATTTTTGTTTTAAGTTACCCAGTCTCAGATATTCAATTATAGCAACAGAAAATGGACTAAGATAGTCATTTTCATATTATTGAGTTCTAAGAGTTTTTTGTATATACTAGACACAGGGATTTTGTGAGATACATTTTTATAAATATTTCCCCAGTTGTTGAATTTGCCTTTTATTTTTGATTAATAGAGTGCTTTGAAAAGCAGAGGCTTTGAATTTAGATAAAGTCAATTTTATAAGTTTTTTAATGGTTAAGGTTTTTGTGTCCTATCTCAGAAATTTTTGCCTACATTCATGTTGCAAATATTTTCTTTATGTTGTCTTTTAAAAGCTTTATATTTAAGTTTTTGCATTTACGTGTATGATCTATTTTAAGGTAATTTTTGTTTACTATGTGGGGAAAGATTGAATTTTACTTATTTTTTTCTGTATGAGATGTTAGTTGTTGGAGTGCTATTTATTGAAAAGATCATTCTTTCTCTGTTAAATTGACATAGCACCCTTGTAAAAAAATTAACTATGGATGTGTGGGTCTATTTCTGACCCTGTATTCCTTCCCATTAACTGGTCAATCATTTTGCCAAAATCACACTGCCTTGATTGTTGTAGCTTTTAGTAACTTTTGAAATCATATAACTTTGTTCCTATTTTAAAAATTATTTTGGATATTTTGGGTCCTTTGCATTTCCAAATAAATTTTAGAATCAGTTGTTCATTTCAACAAAGCAGACTGCTAAGATTTTGATTGCAATTACAATAAATCTATAAATCATCTGGGGAGAACTGACATGTTAACAATACTAAGTCTCCCAACTCATGGACAGAGTGTATGTATTTATTTAGGCCTTCTTTTATTTCTCTCAGCACTAATTTTTATTTTCAGTACGCAGGAATTACACTGTTTTTGTTAAATTTATTCCTATGTATGTTATACTTTTGAACTATTATAAATGGAATTCTTTACAAATTTATTTTCCAAGTTTTTTTGTGGCTAGTATATAGAAATATAGTTGAATTTTATGAATTGGCTAAATTCACTTAGTAGTCCTACCTACTAGTTGTTTTTAAAGATCTAGTAGAATTTTCCATGTGGGTGGATTTTCCATTTTAGGTTCTCTGTGTATAAAATCTGTTCTACTTCTTCCTTTTTAATTTGTATGTTTGTATTTCTTTTCCTCGCCTCATTACAATACAACAAAACACACCTAGTGCTAGGATATCCAGTATCATGTTGAATAGACATAGACTGAGCAAATGTCTTTCCTCATTCTGAATTTAGTGAGAAATATTAAGTCTTTCACGATTATGTATAATGTTAGTTATAAATGTCTTCTACCAAGTCGAGGAAGTTTCTTTTCTTTTCGAAATGGAGTCTGGCTCTGTCGCCCAGGCTGGAGTGCAGTGGTGAGATCTTGGCTCACTGCAACCTCCACCTCCCGGGGTCAAACAATTCTCCTGCCTCAGCCTCCCAAGCAGCTGGGATTACACGGGCCCACCAATATGCCCAGCTAATTTTTGTATTTTTAGTAGAGATGGGGTTTCACCATGTTGGCCAGGCTGATCTCGAACTCCTGACCTCAGGTGATCCACCCACCTCTTGGCCTCCCAAAATGCTGGGATTACAGGCATGAGCCACTGTGCCTGGCCAGAAGTTTCTTTACATTCCTAGTTTGCTGAGAGATTTCTTTAAAGTTATAAATGGGTAAAGAAATTTGTTAAATATTTTTCTTAAGTTTATTAGGATAATTATGTTTTTTCTTCTTTACTATGTTAATATGGTGATTGTATTGAATGAATTTTGAATATTAAACCAACCTTGCCTTCCTGGGATAATTTTCACTTCATGTTGTATTGTTCTTTAAATATATTGCCAAATTTGTTTTGCTGATATTTTGTAAAAGATGTTCTTTTCATGCAAGACATTGGTTTATAGTTTCTCTCTCTCTCTCTTTAATGTCTTTGGTTTTGTCATCAGGGCAATGGTGACCTTAAACGGTGTTTGAAAATCTTGTCGTCCTTTCTATTGTCTGTAACTGTTTGTGTACAATTGGCATTATTTCTTCATTAAATATTTGATTTAGTATACCAGTGAAGGTATTTGGACCTGGAATTTCCTTTGTGGAAAGGTTTAATGTCATTATTTTTTATCCTTTCTTCTATTCAAGTATAGGCACCGAAAGCTGTATGGTTTTGTCTAATAATTGCTGAAGCATCCCACAAATATTGACATGGTGTGTTTTCATTTTCATTTGCTTCAAAATATTTTCAGATTTCCATGTTGATTTCTTCTTTTCATATTTACTTATAATCTTATGGTTGCTGTGTTTTCACTCTTTTGTGTTCCAAGTCTCCCTCTGGTATCAGTTTTCTTCCTCATGAAGAACTTCCATGAATATGTCTTCTTGTGAAGATCAATTAGTGACTTCTCTCAGCTTTTGTTTGTCTGAAAAAAAATCTTTATTTCAACTCTAAGTTTGAAAGATATTTTTTCCAGTTAGCAAAATTTACATGACATTTTACGTCTTTATCCCTCAAAGATATCAGTCCCCTGTCTTCCGGTTTGCATAGTTTCTGTTGAGACATCTGAGATAATTTTTCTCTTTGTTCTCTGGGTTTATCATGTCTGTTTTTCTGTGCAACTTTGCATATTTTTCGTTTATTACTTATTTCTTTAGCAATTGATTGTGATTTCTCTTGGTATGGTTTTCTATGTGTTTATCTTTCCTTGAGCTCATTGACCTTCTTGCATCTGTAAGTTTATAGATGTCATAAAAAATTTAGATTTTAAAATTGTCATTATAAATTCAATATTTTTTCTGTTCATCTTTCTCCTTCTGGAACTCCAGCAACGTATATGTTATACCGTTTGATATTGTCCTACAGCTCAGTGAGTCTCTGTTTATATTTTTCAGTCTTTTTCTTTTTCTTTGTGGCTCCTCTTGAAATTCTTTCATTTCTGAAAGTGCCATTTGGCGTGTGTGTGTGTATGGTGTGTGTCACACACACACACTATATACACTATGGATAGATCTATCTATATGTGCACACACTACATATATAGTGTATATATATGTTCCTTTATATATATATTCTTTCATTATACTCATGTTTTTCTTTAAATACTTGAGCTTGCATACCTGAAAGGTTTTAAAGTCCTTTGTTGATAACTCATTCATCTTTACAATGTATAGATGTTTCTATTGATTGATTTTTCTTCTTTTACAAATCATATTCTCTCATCATAATTACTAATTTTTTAATTGGAGGCTGGGCATTGTGTATTTTATATTGGTTATTGCTGGATTTTGTTATATCCCTTTGAAGAATGTTATGCTTTGTATTGGTGGGTCGAGTGACTTGGATGCAATTCAGCTTGATTCTTTTGAGGCTCAATTTTGATATTTTTAAATGGTTAATTTAATCCCTTTACTGAAGGGCTTATTTAGTCCCACTATTAAGGCATAAAGCTTCCGTAGTGTTACTAAATTTCCTGTGTATTTAGCAATGTCTCTGTGTTCTGGCTGGTGGGAATTTGAACATTTTCAGCCCTGGGTGAGCTCTGAGAATTGTTTGGCTTGCAGCTCTCCAGTGATTTTTTTTTTTTTTTTCTGTTAATATTCTTTGCCCAGCCTCATTTGCATGTGGAGATTAGTGTTTAGCTAAAGATCCAGAGTGCCCCTATGCAAATTTCTGGAGCTCTTTCTTTGTATAGTTCCCTTTACTCCAGTACTCTGTGCTTTCCAAACCTATCTACCCTGGCCTCCCTGATCTCTGTGACTTGCTCTGTTTGGGTTCATCTTCCTGGTGATTCAGTCCAGAAATTAATTCCAGGTTAAGATGGTGCAATTGCCTGGTTTACTTTAGTTTTTGCTTTTATTGGTGATTATGGTCCTGTGTTACTTGTTGTTTAATGTCTGAAAACACTTCTTGAATATATTTTGTTCTCTTTGTAGATTGTGTTTTCAGTGGGTCAGGGTGTATCCCATAGGAGTTTCTCCTTCATGGGTAGAAGCAAAAGTTGAGATTAAGTCTTTTGCCCAATTACAAATAGATGTTAGCAGAACTGGGTCTAAAATCCAAATATGATAGACTTCATAGCCTGTGCCCTTCATCATGATCAAGATCCCATTCTTCCCTTTTTTGGACCACATTCCAGAAAGAAGGCAGGTAAGAACCCAGTCAGTAAAAAGCAAACTGGCTATTCTTAGTGCTACAATTCCAGTAAGAAGGATTAGGCAGGGAGTTTGCTGTTATAGTTGGTGACTTCTCAGAGGTGCCCTGCCAAAGTTAGCTTTTATTTATTTTCTTCCTTGTGAGTGAATGGAGAAATTATGGGGCAGTTCTTCATTTATTTGTTTGCTGGTTCATTAACTCTATCATTTATTCCTCCATTTAAGATTATTAATGGAAAACCTACTGTGTACCAGGCACTAGGTTTTTGTTGTTGTTTTGGGAGGGAAATGTAGCTCCCAGTGGGTTTTCCTTTGCTTTCTTCCTCTTCATTCTTTTACTCTCTCCCAAACTTTCAATATGATCATGTGGGAAAGGCCCAGATGGTGACATTTTAGGGATGTCTCCCTGGACCCTAGTGGAGTTTCTGGGTGGTTAGGAGAGAAGTTAGGGTCTCCTTTCAAATTAAAATAAATGCCAACATCCCTGGGAGGTATCATACATTAAGCCATTGTCAGCTAAGGCTTGGCCAGCTATTAATGTTTCAGGAGAGACTTATTAAGTGTTAATTAAGAGTAATCATGGAGAACAACATAGGCCCCTTGGGAAATGGGACAGGATGAGAAAGCAAAGGAATTCTCACAGGAAATGTGGCAAGGATAAACTCTGAAATTTTGTCTCAAGCTGAGACATATATGTCCCTTGTCTTCTTTGGTCTGAGTGTCATAATAATAACAAAGTTGAGTGATGCTTTGTAGGTTACAGGTCCCCCCTGCCCACTCATTTGTTTTTCTTGAAGCCACCTCTCAATAGCCCTTGGAGGTAAACATTAGTACTGTTGATGAAATGGAAATTGGAAGAAGGAAATTCACTGGCTCAAGTTGCCCAGCTGATAAGTGCTATGGTCTGAATTTGAACCCAGGCCATCTAACTCCAGAGCTTCTGGTCCTAATTCTGCTCTGCCATCTAAGCTTGCAAAGCTGCTTGCTATGACCAAATCATCTCTGTCTTCATTACTGGTTCTATCAGTTCAGCATTTTCCTGTGCAACTCCTTCACAGAGCACCAAGTTTGGTGTCCAAGGTGATTTGGGCTTTTTGCATGCATCCAGATAACTGTTGCCAACCTCAGGAACTATTTCTTCCTCTTTGTGGCTGGTTGATTGGAATGGGAGCAAAAAAGCAAGTCTGGCCAGCTACTTCGTGGAAGACCAAGAAATGACAAAGGACACAAGGATGTTCTTCTTTAAAGCTCTGTACAACATGCAGCCAACTAAATGGGAGTGAAAGTGCTTTTGAGGAGAAATAGGAATTAAACAATAGTCTATCGTCAGGTTTACTGCTGCTGGTAAACAGAATTCAAACATATTTGCGGGGTAAGACTCTAAGGCTATTTTTAAGAGAGGCACTAGCAGACATTCAACGAAGTCTAGATGGGTTAATGAAATAAATGCATTTCCTGCTTCTCCATGATTTATATTTCTAAGGCTGCACTACATAGTAATTCAATAAAGCTGAAACGGCAGGAATGTCTGGCAGATTTTTTGGAATATGATACTTGGCTCATTATGGTGGTTCAATTTCAGTATCTGGATAAGGGTCAGATACAAAGGGACATCAAGAACAATCTTTTTTTCTCTCTCTCTCTTTCAGCCTCTACCACTTCAGCATAGCCTGCTCCATCTCAACCTTATTCATGTCAGTATAATAGGTTATTATTAAAGGCTTCCTGAAGCTTATGGTCTATTTGAGAACGATGAGGTATTCACCGCCTGCCAATCATGCTCTTCACAATTAGGAAGTTTATGCCTCAGTTAATGGTTTTTCTTTTCCTCATGATGTAACAAGAGAATTTATCCTGTGAGTAATACTGGAATTCATCCTTATGGCCATTTTCCTCTGTTAGTGCCCCAGGGACTATTTGAAACCACTTCTTTGTGTGTGTATGTGAATATATATGTGAAACAGAGAGACTCGGGGGAGAGGGAGAAAGAGATGGGAGTGAGAGGGCAGAGAGAGGAGAAAGTATTAATCTCACAGAACTCTTAGTTTCCATTCTGATAGCATTTATTGACTATATAGTCTGTGCCCCTAATGGTCCTATAGTGGAAATCTATATGGTCCTATATGGAAATCTGCTTTGTGTCAGTTCTGTATCACTTCTTTTGGGATTCTGTTTCTCCCAAGGTAATGTGATTCAGTGGGACCTCACCTGGCTGTAATTACCTTTCACACTACAGGGACAAGGTCTTCACTCACTCTGACTAGTTCAATTTTTTTTTTCTTCTAGACCTAATAATTGGTTCAGTGTTCATTCTAAAGCCCAAACACGACCAATCAATGCCATTTGGGTGATCAAGTATGGATGTTGACGGGGAGGGATTTGTGATGATTGTTGTCATCATCTTCTCTTTCTTTCTTTTTTTTTTTTCTGGAATCACCATGAGGATGATGTAAACCTAGAGATACTACTGGTAGCCATTTTTATCACCAAGTGATAACAGAGATGGCCTGAGAATGAAGCCAAGAAAGAGCACCACAGAACTAAGAGAGTAAGTGAAATGCGTATTGTAGCATCATTTGATCTTCTGAGCCAGGTTGCCCCCAAAGCAAACACTAACCTGAGACTTCACAGTGATGAGAGTTATTCTCCTTTTTTGGGCTGAATTAGTTTGATTTGGGTTCTTGTCACTTGCAACAGAAGAACAGCTTCTGGATACCTGAACATGTGGAAGTTCCTGGAGGGTGGTGCACCCAGGAACTTGCACATGTTCCAAGCAAGAGAAAGCATGGAAACTCTGCACCCCTTCCCCTCATTCCTCACCCTAGTATCTCTTCATCTGTATCCTTTGCAATATCCTTTATAATAAACCAGTCAACTTAAGTTATTTCCCTGAGTTCTGGCTGCCTTAACAAATTAATTAAACCCAAAACAGGGGTCGTGGGAACCCCAACTTGAAGCCACTTGGTCAGAACTTCTAGAAGTCCAGACTTGTGACTGGTGTCTTGGTGCAGGAGAGAAAGGGAGTCTTGGGGACTGACCCTATCTCCAGGTAGATAGTGTTGGAATTGAATTGGAGGATGCCCAACTGGTGTCTGCTGCTTGGTGTGTGGGGACGAATCTCCACATCTTTGTTACAAAAGTCTTCTGTGTTGATGATTGTTGTGGTGGTGTGAAAGCAGAAGAAAAGCAAAGTTTGAGAGAGTTTTTCCCTACACAGATAGTAATGACAGTGTGAGGAAGGGAGCAGTTGCTGGACTCTAGAAGGAGAGAGCTATCAAGAGGGCTTCCTTGACAGGAGCTGTCACCAGGGAAAGCAGCCAGCCAGAGGTGAACTTGCAGGGAGGGAGCCTGGGAAATGACTGCTGAACCTCTGCTGAAGTCAGAGGGTGGATATCCCTTCCTGTAGTTGACACAGGTCAGCTTCCAAGGCTCAGAGCAGGTGGAGAATGCACCTGAAGGGGCATGATAGGGTTTGGCTGTATCTCCACCCAAATCTCATCTTGAATTGTAGCTCCCATAGTTCTCACATGTCTGGGAGGAACTTGGTGGAAGGTAATTGAATAATGGGGACAGGTTTTCCCCATGATGTTCTGGTGATAGTGAATAAGTCTCACGAGAGCTGAGCTGATGGTTTTATAAAGGGGAGTTCCCCTGCATACGCTCTCTTCTTGCCTGCCACCATGTGAGATGAGACCTTACTCCTCCTTGCCTTCTGCCATGATTGTGAGACCTCTCCGGCCATATGGAACTGTGAGTCAATTAAACCTCCTTCCTTTATAAATTAAACAGTCATGGGTATGTCCTTATTAGCAGCATGAGAACAGACTAATACAGGGCAAATAAGAGATCCTCAGTGGAGGTGCATGCTGTCACTGTCCCTATATTATAGATGAGGAAATCAGGGCTCAGTGAGGCCATGGTGATAACGGGCCAAAGATTGTATCAATCAGTAGCAAAGACAGATGGCAACTCAGTTCCCCGACCATAAAGCTGTGCTCAGCGTAGTCATCCTGGCCCTGGGGGTTTTGGCTGGACCTGTTTGCCTCTGAAAACAGACCCACAGGCCTGTGTGCCAGGCTGGAGGATGGGGACAGACATCGATTGGGCTTCTCCTTCTTGCCAGGCACTGTGCTAGGCATTTAACCCACAACAGGCCTATTGAGATAGGTGTTGCTGATTCCATTCTATATGTGAACAATCAGCCTCAGAGACGCTAAGTAACTTGCTCAAGGGTACACAGCTGATGAAGATACTGACCTAGGTTCCAGAGGTCAGATTCCAGAATCCTTGGTCTTTCCATTATATCCTGGGGCAGAGACCTAAGGAGCAGAAAGGGGAAAGGAGAGGGAGAGAGGGAGAGGCTGCTGTGCGAGTCATTTCGAGATGGTGGGCAGGAACGGGGGAGAATTCAGGTGGCAGCATCTTTCTTGGGCCCAGGAAGCATAAGGCATGTAGGCAGGAATCCCAGGGTGCCATCTGGAGTTCCAGAACATCCCTAAGCAGCCTTTATATCTGCAGGCCTGTGCTGGGCCGCAGACTCACATGAAAGCATAAAAGCCTTCTGCAGCAGATGGGAATTTGAAATCACGTGTTGTGAGCAGCCAGAGCCGGGAGCTGTGACTCCTGTGCGGCGCTGTCAGTATGTCTGAGACACTGCTTCTCGTCCTTCCTCCCCTGCCTGTCCTTTCCACTCTGAGTTTCTCCTCCCTCTCTCTCCTTTGCTTTCACTATTAAAATTTTATTTTATATATTTTTTATTTTATTTTAGCTTGAGTTTTCTCAAGTTTCCTCTGCCTCCTCCCTGGACATGGAGACACATCTTCACTTTGTTCTTCAGGCCTCTCAAATTCAACGTGTTCAAGTAAAAATCCCTTTCTTCTCACTTAGCAAATCTGCCTCTCCTCGTTGTTGGTTTTGCATTTTGCCTTCTGGCACGGGATGCCTGGATGGAAGGCTGGGAAGAGCCAGCTTTGCTTCCTGCCTCCCCTCTCCTTTCCCTCCCTCCATCTCTAGTTGGTTTCCTCATCACTCTCGGTGCCCCTTCTGCTTTCTCTGCCTGGTTTCCGCTCTCTTCATCTTTCACTGAAGCTCTTTAGATATTTTTGGAGCCGAGTCCCTGACTGCTTGGTCTCTTCTCTGCTTCCTCCAGCACATTGCCACAGATATCACTTGAAAACATTGTCCAGGTGATACCAACAGTTTTAGCAAGAAGAGAAAATGGAGGCATTTTCCAGGTGACTTTGGGAAGGAGAGTGTAGTGGGCAGGCTCACAGCCCCCACAAGACTCCAGCCCTAATTCTGGGGGCATTGCATGTTAGTTACTTCCATGGCAAAAGGGACTTTGCAGAGGAAATCTAGGTTAGCAATGAGTTGACTTAAGATAGGGACATTATCCTGGATTAGCCAGGTAGGCTCAGTGTAATCACACAAGCCCTTAATTGCAGAAGGGGAATGCAGAAGGGAAAGTCAGAGAGATTTTAAGAATGGGAAGGATTCAAAGCTCTGTTGCTGGCTTGAAGATGGAGGGGGTCCCAGGTCAAGGAAATGGGAACCTCAGTCCTACAGCTGGAAGGAGCTGAATTCTTTCAGCAACCCGAGTGAGCTTGGAAGGGGCTTCAGCCTAGAGCCTCTAGAAGAGAATGCAGCTCTGCAGGCACCTTTTCAGCCTTGTTAGATCCTGAGCAGAGTTCAGCCATGCCATGCCAGACATCTGAGCTACAGAACCCTGATATAATGAATGGTTTTTGTTTGTAAGCCCCTAAATTTGTGGTACTTTGTTATGGCAGCCCCAATACAAACTAATACAAATAGAAAACTAACACACACAAAAAAGCCAGAAAGATAAATCAGAAACCAATAATAATGATTATGTTTATGGTTATGAGGGAACAGAAATAGGAAGGAGACATCACTGACACACAGGGAAATTAGCATACACTGAACATTTGCTGCGGACCAGACACCATGCCAAGTCCTTTGACTGCTATACCAGACCGGGATCTGAGTTGTAAGGAATAGAAAGGGTCTTTGGCTAATCTAAGCCAGAAAGAAAATTTATGAAAGAATATAAGGCATCTCCCAGAAACTCCAAGAAGGCTGGAAAACAAGGCTTGGGAAATAGTTGGGAATATAGAGGAAGCAAGGTGGCCAGAACTCAGCCAAAATTGGACCATAGAGCCAGGGTGTTGGGTGGACCACAGCTACCCTGGCTGTCCCCTGGCATTGTGGCGGCTTTGCTACCACAGCCAGCTCTGGCCTTTGGCCATTGGGCATTGCTAGCGGTACCACTGCTCTAGAAAATGGGATGGTTCTGGTGAATACAGTATTGCCTAAATGGATCCTGCCTTGTCCCTGCGTCTGTGGATCATTACTTTGAGATTTAAAACTCTGAGCAGGTGTGTCTGGCTGGGTCACAGGCCCAGAAGGTTCAACTGCTGTGCAGCCAAAAAATGACTCACAGAAAATGGCAAATCATCCTGTACCATCTCATTTAATCCACATAACAACCCAGCAGGGAACTACTATTATCCCCACTTAATAGATAAGGAAACCAAGGCTGCCAGGAAGGTGAAGCTCCTTTCCCAAGATCCTGAGCTTGTACAGGGCAGAGCTCAAACTTGAACTCAGGTCACCTACTTTATATGCACATCCTGTGGCCTCTTCTTGCAGTGACAGTCAAGTTTCAGATCCTTTCTGAGGAAAGAAGAGGCAGGTGGATTCTATCTGGTGCGTGGTTCAGAGAACTCTGGGGAGACAGGTTGAATGGGAGCAGTAGCTGGCCAAACAGCTCTGACCCGTTTGCTTTTGAGGCTTGGGCATGGCAGAACTTTAATTATTTTTCCCTATTTAGTGAAATATGCTTTCAGACATCTGTTCTGAGTTGGTCCCCTTTTGTTAGTATATATTGTGTAGCATGGCCTACTCTCTCTCAACTTGAAATTTAGACAAGGGATGTTGAGGCTCTGCTGATGAGACCACCACTGGGGAACCTCATCTTCTGTCTTGCCTCTCCTTGCCCCCTTTACTGTCCTTCTCCACCAAGCATTGCAAAGGAAATGAGATGGAATCCCACCCACCTGGGACTCTGCCTGGGTACAATGGACGCTAATCATAGAGACCAGTCTGTGGGTTAGGGGCTCCACCCAGTGCACTCAGTACTCTGAGCCCTATCTGGCATCCTTAACACAGCTCTCTTCTCCTGCCCCATTATCCTCCCAGCTCTGAGCCAGGCCAGTGACAGAAAGAACAAAAAGAAGGCCTCGTTTGTGATCTATTTCCTGATTTGAGATATCTGGAGCAGGTCCAGTCATAGGCCACTGATTAAAAGTGGTTTAGTTACTGTCACTGGTGTGAGGACCAGGCTAAATGGAAACAAGCCAAGCTCAGGCTCCACAGAGAGGAAACCCCAATTCAAAAGTTCCCTGGGATGACCTCCAATAAAAACCATCTGTGAAGGTGACTTATGAGCACTGACAAGAATTGGTTCATTTAGGCGTTATTTATGATAAATATGCAATATATACGTATACTCAATATAGATATACATTCAATATTCAAATATAGAAAATAAATATTCGATACATAAATATTCACTAGTTTTGCACACATGTAGGCCTATGCAGTAGAGTTTAGGAATTAAGCATGTGAACTCTTGATCACCTACTCTGTGCTAGGCATCTGACACACATGATCTCACTTAGTGTTCACATCACTCTCCGAGGAGGATATCGTTGTGAATATCACTGATATTTTACAGGTAGCAAAATGGAAAATAATAGCAGAGATAATGTAAGGGAAGTTGTTTTCATACATTATAAAGTACAGTGGGATGGTTGACTACAATTACTGCTAATTATGATTAATCATCATTATTAGTTTTAATAATTACTGAAATAGAGAGGGTTGATGTTAACCCATGTTACTAGGCCACAGCCAACCAGGGTGTCAGTCAGGAGGGACTGAAAGTTGAAGGACAGGGTCATTCCTGTCCAAGTGAGAACAAAACTCACTCCCTGTATCTATTTAGGCACACTCAGTCCTAGGTATTTTGCTCATATAACTCATCTGATCCTACAGCTGCCATAAGAGATAGAGACAATTATTCTTCTTTTACAATGGAAGAAGTTGACATGGAGAAAAAGAGTAGGCAGTTGTTCAAGCTCATATAGTCAATGGAGATTTGCACCCTGGCAGACTCCGGAGCCTGCTGGCTTTATCACTAAGCCAGTGAGCTCATTGCTGTACCACCAGCCTTAGTCACATTTCAGCAAGTGTGTAGGATTGCTAGACTTCACTCATAAAAGTATAGAATGCCTAATTAAACTTGGATTTACATAAGTGACAAGTAATTTTTTTAGTATAAGAGTCTCCCATGAGACATGGGCATGTGATAATGCGTGTAGAGTCTGTTAAACACCAGGCACATAATTGGTGTTCAAAAAGCCTCATTTCCTTCTCTTATGTCAGACTGCTAATTCCTACCCAACTCCGATATCTATGACTCTTCAGTATAAAATCCTAATTTCCAGCCGGGTACATCCTTTGATTATGTTCACCAGCCTCCCTTATTGCTTCCTTATAACTAGGTGCAGCCAAGTGACTAAGTTATTTTAAATGAAATGCAATCACAAGGGTGACTTAGAGTTTTAGAAAGTTTAGAAAGCTTTTAGAAAGTTAGAAAGTTTCCTTAAAAGGGAGGGGACAAACTCGTCTTCCTTCTTTTGGTCTTTCCCATTTCTCCCTTTATCTTGTCTGTAATGTAATGTACATGGAATGACTGGCATCTGGCCAGTCATCTTGGACCGTAAGTTGACCTTGAGGATGAAGCCATTGCATGAGGTCAGTGAAGCAGAAAGACAGATGCCTGTATCCCTTCCTAATGACCATGGATCCACTATCCTTGCCAGGGACTGCCTATCTCTAGACATCTTTTGTGCATGACAGAAACAGGCTTCTTCTTCTGAAGCCTGATCTCTGTTAGTAGCAGTCAAATGTAATTCATAACTGATATGCATTATCCAGTAAATATTTCATGTGTACCTATTATAAGCCAGACATTGTAATGGATTGTGGAAGTAAAAGAATGCCATTATGTAGCTCAAGGTCTTTTCAAACTTTCTTTATTTAAAATTTAGATCAGAGCCAGGAGCAACCTCAGCAACTTCTCAAATCAATTCATTCATTTTATATATTTAATATCTCTACTGCTTTTTGCCTCAGAAAATTTTGTAAGTCATTTTTCTCAGCTCATAGCACATAGTCATCATTAGTCCCTGTGAAGGCTCTCTCTCATTTTGTTTTTTCCCTTTTTTCTGACTTCTATGTCCTACTCTCCCTACAATAAGTACTAACCCTAAAGTGTATACATATACATATATGTGTGTGCGTGTATATATATATATATATATATATACACGCACACACATATAAACAATTAATGAGGTTGTGTTCTTGTAAAATATTACCAGTCTATGAGTCTGTAATTTTCACAAATGATAATATGCTCTAAACCTAATTCTTTTTAATTTTTTTCACTTAATACTATTTTTCTAATACGAATATATTACTAACAATAAAACTACTGAATGAAGTTTAAGATTTCTCTGCAAAAATTTTTGTTGTGTTGGTTTGTAGAGTATATCCCACTAAGGATGAATAGTTAGTATATTGTGTTCAAACATTTGTTTTTGATTTTGGAGTTAGTCTTTTCTCCCCTCTTTTTGGTTTAATTTATTTTAAATAAATTAAATAAACATAAATAAACCTAGTTCAAAAGACAAATCTAAATTAAAAATTCTATGCAGAGATGGCTTCTTCCCATCCCTACCCCTCCTTCCTATTTCCTTCCCCTCATAACCAGAAACATAATCATTATTACTGGATTCTGGTTTATGTTTCTGGCTTTTTTTGGATCAAAAGTAAACACACACATATTCTCATTTCTCTTTCTTATTTCATGAAATGTAGTGCACATATAAACACTGTTCTATACCTGGGCATATATATGCTGGAGTTATTCCAAACATATATGCTGGAATTATTACCAAGAATATATGCTGAAATTATTCCAAATCAGTAAATAGAAATTTTAAAAATCCTTTTTACATTTGCATAGTACTCCATTGTGACAATGTACAATAGTTTCTTCAACTAATTTCCTCTTGTTTGAAATTTAGGTTGCTTCCATTCTTTTATTACAGACAATACCACTGTGGATAACCCTGGATGCATGTTGTATTTGTGCAGATGCATTTCCAGGGTGGATTCCTGGTAATGGACTTGCAGGGTCAAAGCACAAATGCTACCTCACTTTATGAAATTAATATGGTTTTGCTGGGTCCTCATCCAAACTCATCTTGAATCTTAATCCCTGTAATCCCTGTGTGTCGTGGGAGGGGCATGGTGGGAGGGAACTGAATCATGGGGATGTTTCCCCTATGCTGTTCTCATGATAGTGAGTGAGTTCTCACAAGATCTGATGGTTTTATAAGCATCTGGCATTTCCCCTGCTGGCACTCATTCTCTCTCCTGCTGCCCTGTGAAGAGGTATCTTCCGTCATGACTGTAAGTTTCCTGAGGCCTCCCTAGCCATGTGGAACTGTGAGTCAATTCAACCTCTTTTCTTTATAAATTACCCAGTCTTCTTCATAGCAGCATGAGAATGGACTAATACAGAGATATTTTCAAATTCCCCTCTATAGGAGATGTGTCATTTGCATCTCCTCAGCAATGTATAAGATGCCTGTTAATCCATAGTCCTGCCAACAGTGAAGTTGAACTTTTATATTTTTAACAATTGAATAGGTGAGAAATAGTATTTCAGTACAGATTTAATTTGCATTTTTTTCTCGTTATGAGAGAGGTTGTACATCTTTTCATGTGTTTCTGGATTGCTTGCTTGTTTTGCATGTTAATACTGCACCATTGAAATCTATCCACATTGCTCTGTGGATATATGGTTTGTTTTGCCTTTTTTGCTCCATTGCATTCCATAGACTACATTCATTACATATAACTTTAACTTGGTTATTTTTCCTAGCATCTTCCGTTACCATAAGCCATTACCATAAAACATGGGGAGAGATAATTTCTCTGGGATATGCATCTAGGAGGACATATGCACATTTAATTTCACTCAGGGCTGACAGATTTTTGTGAAATGTCTGTAACCATCTACCTTTCCACCAACATGGCATAAGAATTTTTACTTCAAATTTACTCATGTTACAGATAAGGCAGTGTGGCCTAGATGGATCATAAATTTAGCCAATAAGAGCCAGGATTTGAACCTTGATCCTTCAGTCTACATTAATCATTGTTGACTAATGTCATATTCAATAAAAATGAATTAATTCAACAAACATTTATGGAGTGCTTACTGTACAGCAAGAAAGGTTCTGGGTACTGGAGATATAAGGAGGAGATTATAGTCTTAAGGTGTGCGGGGGGAGATCAGTAAATAATCAAATAGCGACAGTCAAGATTTGTATATCTCCATCTGCAAGTGTGCATATGTCACGTGGGTGGTCTGGGTGAAGTGGCCAAGCCAGCCTTTCTTCTGACTCTTGGCCAAGTCTGAACAGGATGAAGAGTAATTTTGCTCTTTTGCTTCACCAGATTCTTCTGCTGGTCACAGGCTCATTTTATAAGGCTTTGTGGGAACGTTTCCACATCTAGAAATGTTGGCCAACTAGTCTGCCATGTTAATAAATTCTTTGGAAAGCTCAATCCACATACAGTTAGAGAAAAAGAAATATATTTGGATGGGTACATCATCCTCTGGTTTTGTCCTCAGGACTATGAATTTCTGATGAGAATTTAGAGAAATCAAGTTTCTCCTTTTGTAGTTTTATCTAATTTGGCTCCCATCATTTCTCACCTCTGTTAAAAGCAACTAGTTTGGACTGGAGCAGTGTCCCACACTTTTCAATGCCTGGGCCTTTTTTTCTTGAGACAGAATCTTGCTCTGCTGCCTAGGCTGAGTACAGTGGTGTAATCATAACTCACCGTAACCTCAAACTCCTGGGCTCAAGCAATCCTCCCACCTCAGCCTTAAAGTAGGCAGGACTACAGGCATGCACCACCATACTGGGCTAATTTAAAATTTTTTATCTTTTATTTTTAGTAGAGATGAGATTTTGCTATGTTGCCCAGGCTGGTCTCAAACTCCTGGCCTCAAGTGATCCTCCTGCCTCGGTCTCCCAAAGTGCTGGGATTACAAGCATGAGCCAGCATGCCTGACCTCTTATTCCTTTTCTATCCATGTTTTCAAAGACATTATCTTCTGAATAAATCATTTGCTAATGACTACTGTTATTTTTCTGCTATTTATGATTCAGATATGTTTGATTATGCAATAAAATCACATTTTAGAAGTTCTTATGATGGCCCTGATAGCCAATCAGAGCTTCTAATTGGCGCCTGGTCATATGGTTTGGCTCTGTGTCCCCACTCAAATCTCATCTCAAATTGTAATACCCTCATGTCAAGGGAGGGACCAGGTGGGAGGTAATTGGATCATGAGGGTGGTTTCCTCCATGCTGTTCTCATGATAGTGAGAGAGTTCGCACGAGATCTGATGGTTTTAAAAGGGGCAGTTTCCGCTGCATGCTCTCTCTCTCCTGCTGCCTTGTGAAGAAGGTGCTTGCTTCTCCTTCACCTTCCACCATGATTATAAATTTTCTGAGGCCTCCCCAGCCATGTGAAACTGTGAGTCTATTAAACCTCTTCTCTTTATGAATTACCCAGTTTTGGGCTCCGTATCTCTGATTATCTCTCTCTCTATATGTATGTGTTTGTGTGAGTGTGTATACATATGGAGAGAGGGAGAGAATTGCATCTCAGGAATTCCTCTGATGTCACCTATGATTATCATCCAATGAATTCAGCACTCCATTGATGGAATCTCAGAAAAAAATCTTACATTGTGTTAAACCTATGGGCTGTGAGGTCAGACTGCCTATGTTCGATCCCAGATATGGCTCTTGCTTTCAGGTATCGAGTAACTACTGTGTGCCAGGCATGGCTCTAAAGTGATGGCAGCAGTGGCCTATCTGTAGTGGCCGCTGCGAAGACACCAGCTGCAACGGGGGAGGTGTGGCTGGGGCTATGGACTCTGTGTGAAAGAGTCTGTGCGAAAGAGCCAGCAGGAGCTGGGAACTGGTGGGAGCCCTGCCCCCTGCTGAGTGGGTGGGGCGGGAGCCCCATGCTCCCTGGGTGCATGCTGCAGACCTGGGCATCCCTTCTTGGGGCCCAGGAAGCTTTTTGCCCCCACAGGCTTGAAAGTGACTGCTCCCACTGCCTGGCCTCTCCCTGCTCCTGGTGCCCACCCTGGGGTGAAGCAAAGTTGTGGCCAAGCCTGAGTGCTGTCACAACCCTGCTGGGTGTGTGCACACTTGGGGTGGTGCTGATACACCAACCCCCTGCTGCCTTGGCCCCTTGTGGACTTTGGGCACCGATGAGCATGGGAGGGAGGCTGAGGTGTTGAGGGCAGCTCTGTATGGGCCTGCAGGTGCCTCTTGGCAGGAATAGCCTGGGTACTTTAGACAGCATGTTGATGGCAGGAGGCAGATAGGTTCCTGGGCAGAAAGGGGTGGGTCCTTGGTGAAACACCTTCAAACCAGGGAGGGCCTGAAGCCTGGGGGCTGGGCTGCCAGATCTGGGTGGAGTCTGTGGCCCAGAGTGAGAACTTATGGTGCTTTTTCTGGGCTGCCCATGGGCCAATCAGCATGCACTTCCTCCCTTCTGAGCCCATAAAACCCCCAGATTCAGCCAGACTCACACAGATGTTGGGATGTGTGAGCAACCTGCCTGCAGATAGGAGCTACCTACTGCAGGTCTTCTCTCTGCTGAGGGTTTCACCTTCATTGGGATGACCTGCCTGCAGATAGGAGCTAACCACTTTGGATCTCCTGAGAACTGTACTGTTGCTCAATAAAGCACCTCTTTGCCTTGTTCATCCTCTAGTTGTCCGCATACCTCATCCTTCCTGAATGTGGGACAAGAACTCAGGACCTGCTGAATGGTGGGACTGGAAGACCTGTAACACAAACAGGGCTGAAACACATCCCCCTGCTTGCCACATTGCAGGTGACAAGAAGGAGAGTAGAGCTGTGGCCCTTCAGGGAGCCTAGACCTAGGGGCTCCCCAAGCCAGAGCTGTAACACCCTCTTCAGGGCTCTGTAGTTTCTGGCATCTTTGAGCTTTCAGGTGCTATCATGTTCCCCCTGCCCAGACACTGGTGCCTGCAGCAGAAGCCACTTGTGGTATGTCTGGTTCAGCTGCAGCCTTGCATGGAGGCGGTGCCTGTGCCAGTGCCTGGAGCTGCCTGCGCCACTGCAGCAGCTGGTGTGCCTGGCTGTGTGCAGTGGCCAGACCCTGCCCTTGCTTGCTCACACAACCCTTGCTGCTTCATGCCTGGCTCGCCCTTGGCAGGTGTGGAATCTGGGCCAGTAGTGCAAGCCAAGCGCAGCCTGCTGGGCCAAGTGGGTGGAATTGAGTCCAGCGGGCACAAACAATACTCAGGCAGAAGGCACTGCTGGCTGCAGAGGTTTCCGGCTGGTGAAGTGACACCCCAAGGATCCCGTGACATAAGCACTTGGAATTTATTATTAAATTAAATGCTCTATTACTTTTGTTTACAGGTGGCACCTTAAATTAGCTTCCTCAAAATTAAAGTAACTTATTTATTTATATCCAAAAAGTCTAGGATTTCAGGTCTGGCTGGATCCAGGGTTCAGAAGATATCAAGTCCTAGTCCTATCTTCTTGTACTTCCTCCTCAATCAGGCTGCTTGTTGTGGCAACTTTTCTTATGACAACTCCAGTTTTATAATTTACCCACTTCACAATCTGAATAGAAGAGATTCTCTTTTCCTGAGAGTTTCAATAGAAGTGTCAGAATGAGGACAGATTTATTTGTCCATTTCAGAACAACCCACCGGGCTGTGGGAGTTTGATGCTCAAACTGCACAGATCTGTCAAATGCCCATGCTGGACCTGGGGGAGTGGTCTGCTTCACAACATCACCTGAGAGTGGGGAAAGGCGGCTCCTCAAGGAAAACTGGGAGGCCATGGCCAGAAGAGGGGCATGGATGCTGGCATGCAGATGAGCAGATGGCCCGTCCATTTCACAGATGGGAAAACTGAGATGAATTTAGGCCCAAAAGCTAGGAACTGGCTCACGTCACAGCCAGTAAATGGGGCTGCCAAGATTCTGACCCAGTTCTCTCTAACTCCACGGCCCACCCCCCTTCTGCTGTGTACTGCTGAGGGCAGGCTGTGCCTCATGTCCCTTTCTGTGCCCTCACACTCTCTGGCTATTCCTGGTTCTGAGATCCTACTTGTACTCTCAGGGTGTCTCGATCTCTGTCTTAATCATGTCCACCACCCTCTATTCTAATTAACAGGATTTTGTGGTTTTGGACCACCTTGTCATTCACTGCCTTATCTCAGCTGGTTCTCATAGTAATCTAGGGAGTTACTGTGGGCTAAGACTATTGCCTGTTAGTAAAATAAAAACTATAGCTTTATGGTGGTATGCAGTGGGCGCCTAATACTGGTGACACACTCTCGAACATAAATTGTTCCCCTACAAGTGTTTCTCCCACTGTTAGTTCCTCAAAAAACAGCAGGAGGTGAGTTAGCTGTGGATCAGATTGTGGGCTAGTGGATGTGTTAATACTAACCCTGGAACGGATGGACTTGCTGACTAGGCAGTAGGCAGCTCTGAACCTCCTGTGCCAGTGAGGTCAGAGCCTGCCCCTAGGACACCCTCAGTGTGAGGTAGGGAGCAGAGCAGAGCATGTGGGCAGCAAGGTGCCAAGAGGAAGAAAAAGGAAAGAAAGGGGAGGGGAGGGGAGGGAAAGGAAGAGAAGAAAAAGGGAGGAGAGGGGAGGAGGAGAAAGAGAAGGAGAGAGGAGGGGAGGGGAGGGGAGGAGAGGGTAGGAAAGGGAAGAGATAGGAGGGGAGAGGAGGGAAAGGAAGAGAAGGGAAGGGGAGAGGAGGGGAAGGGAGGTGAGGAGAAAGAAGGGGAGGGGAGGAGAAGGAAGAGAAGGAGAGGGGAGGAAAGGAAAGAGATGGGAGGGGAGACGAGGGAAAGAGAAGGGAAGGGGACAGGGGGAAAGGGAGGGGAGAAAAGGAAGAGAAAGAGAGGGGAGGGGAGGAGAGAGGAGGGGAGAAGAGAGAAAGGAAGATAAAGAGTGGGGAGTGGGGGAGGGAAAGGAAGAGAAGGAGAGGGGAGGTAAAGGAAGAGAAGGGAAGGGGAGAGGAGGGGAAGGGAGGGGAGGCAAAGAGAAAGAAAGGGGAGAGCAGGGGAAGGGAGGGGATGGAAAGGAAGAGAAGGAGAGGGGAGGAAAGGGGAGGGGAGAGGACAGGAGGGGAGGAAAAGAGAGAAAGAGAAAGGAAAAGGAGGGGAGGGGAGGGAAAGAAAGAGGTTGGGACAGGAGGGGTGGGGAGGAGAGGGGACAGGAAGTAAGGGAAGGCAAAAGAACTTGCTTTTCAACTTCACCAATCAGGTTAAGTCTCCCCTCTTCCCTGGGGGATGATATGGTTAGGCTTTCGGTCCTGAACTAAATATCTTCTTGAATTGTAATCCCCATAATCCCCATGTGTCAAGGGAGAGACCAGGTGGAGGTAATCGAATCTTGGGGGCAGTTTCCCCCATGCTATTCTCATGATAGTGAGTGAGTTCTCACAAGATCTGACGGTTTTATAAGGGGCCCTTCCCCCTTCGCTCAGCAGTTCTCCTTCCTGCTGCTTTGTGAAGAAGGTGCCTTCCTTCCTTCCCTTCACCTTCCACCATAAGTTTCCTGAGGCCTCGCCAGCCATGCTGATCTGAATTAATTAAAAACCTCTTTCCTTTATAAATTACCCAGTCTTGGGCAAGTCTTTATAGCAGTATGAAAATGGACTAATAAAGAGGGTGAGAAAGGGGGCAGAAAGAAGCCAAGAGTGTCACCCCAGGAGAGCTCCTGCTACTGCATGGAAAAACACATCAAGAGAACAAAGATTTCCCTTCCAACATTGCTTTGCTGACACAGTCCCGGGCTCTGAGACTCATGGAAGGTTCTAGGGAGGCTGTCTTGCCCTGGCCCTCAGATTGTTCACATACCACAGGTGTTTGAGAGAAAGAACAGAGCAAATGAGGAGACACAAGCAGTTGGGGGTATGCAGAGGAAGGAGGAGAGGGGAGCCTGCAGAGGCACCGTAACTACTAAACTCCTAACCTTTCACCAAGCGTGCTGTCGTGGTGAGGTGCATGGCTTTGGAGTTGGATGAATATGGCTGTAAATTCCAGCTCTGCCATTTACTGTGGGACATAAACACATCCTGGAATCTCTCTATGTGTTACTGTACTTATGCATAAAATGGCAGTCATTTTATCAACCTTGTGTGGTTATAAAGATAATTTAAAGAGTGTAAAATGCCTGGAACATAGTAGGTGCTCAATAAATAATAGCTATGAGCAAAATCCTACCTCCTCCTCAAGGTCTACAAGCCCCTCCTTTCTCTCCCACCCCATCTCCCACCCTCTCCCTGCTGTACATTGCACACAGCACAAATGCACTAATCTTCTTTCAGCCCCACAAACACGCCAAGCCCATTCCCATATCAGGCCTTGGCCTGTGCTACTCCCTTTGCCTGGAGAACTCTCCTCATGAATCTCCAGCCTCACAGCTCTTCCTTATCTCACCTGCAATGGTGCTTGCTCTCATTTTCTTATCTTACCTCCTTAATTCATCCAAGTTCCTCCCTACCACACCACCCTGTTGCATCTCTTACAAAATGTATCATTGTCTGAAATGGCTTGGAGTTTTTTGATGGTCTCTCTTCCGCTAGGATGGAACTTCCAGGAGGACAGAAACTTCCACTGTGTTTCTCATGCTATATTTCCAGTATTGGGGCCTAGTAGATGCTCAATAAACTCTTCTGAAGGAGACAATGACCATGGTGATGGTGATAGTGACATTGACTATGTGGACTCAATAATCTCCTCTTTCCCAGCCTTCAGAAATTTTTTCTTTTCTAACCTGCCTCAGCTTCAGAGCTTCTCCCTGTGTCTCGCAGGAGTTTTGTGGGTCACAGGCAGTGCCGGTTGTAAAGAACACAGCCCATGGGGTGAGGAGATGACACAGCCTTTGGGAGGAAGACAGGGCTCGTGAAAGAGAGAGACGTGAAACAGCAGAGTTTTCTTGGCCTGAGGCCTGAGACGCTGCAGTGAGTTTATAGAATGCTAGCCAGTTATGATTGTTTGTTAAGGGACATTTACATATCATTCAATGTTGGCCAGGATCTTTTACAATCTTTTAATCAAATTTGCAAAGAACATTACAAACTTTTAAAAAAATTTACTATTAGTTATTAAACTGGCAGGAGTGTACCTGCATCAAAAAAAAAAAAAAAAAAGGGAACGCTTGATTTTGTGGGACTGGAATTGCTTTTCATCCTCTGATGCCTGGCTTCATGTCAGCTGGTTGTACTGAGGGTTAGGCCTTTAACATAATTTCTTTTGAGGGAGGACACAAGTCAAACCATAACAGTTCCTAATCATGACCAAAAAGACATTAGGAATCTCCACACTAAATTAGAAATACCATTTGATCCAGCAATCCCACTACTGGGTATCTACCCAGAGGAAGAAAAGTCATTATATGAAAAAGATACTTGCACACACATGTTTATAGCAGCACAACTCGCAATTGCAAAAATATCGAACCAGCCCAAATGCCCATCAATCAATGAGTGGATAAAGAAATTCTGGTGTATACATATACCATGGAATACTACTCAGCCATAAAGAGGAATGAATTAATGGCATTCGCCACAACCTGGATGGAACTGGAGACTATTATTCTAAGTGAAGTAACTCAGGAATGGAAAACAACCAAACATCGTATGTTCTCACTCATAAGTGGGAGCTAAGCTATGAAGATGCAAAGGCATAACAATGATACAATGGACTTTGGGGACTTGGGGGAAAGGGTGGGAGCGGGTAAGGGATAAAAAACTACAAATTTGGTGCAGTGTATACTGCTGCGGTGATGGGTGCACCACAATCTCACAAATCACCACTAAAGAACTTACTCATGAAACCAAATACCACCTGTTCCCCAAAACCAATGGAAATAAAACATTTTTAAAAAAGAGGACATTAGTCCACATGATTTCTTTTTGATTTGTTTTTTTCTGTGTGTTTGTGTTTGTGTTTTTGTTTTGTTTTGTTTTGTTTTGAGACGGTCTCACTCTGTTGCTCCAGCTGGAGTGCAATGGCGCAATCTTGGCTCTCTGCAACCTCTGCCTCCCACGTTCAAATGATTCTCATGCCTCAGCCACCTGAATAGCTGGGATTACAGGCACAGGCCACTACACTCCGGTAATTTGTGTATTTTTTGTAGAGATGGGGTTTCACCATGTTGCCCAGGCTGTTCTTAAACCCCTGAGCTCAAAGTGATCTACCTGCCTTGGCCTCCCAAAGTGTTGAGATTATGGGAGTGAGCCATTACACCTGGCATGTTATTTGTTTTGATGGAAGAAATGATGTTTTGCAATTGTAGCTTGCTCTGCAAAAAAAATAATGATGTATGTTAGGAACTTACAAAATTAGCTAATGTATCAGAAAGTCATATACAGTGGAATTTCTAGGCCAAAAAATAAGAATATTTTTAAGGATTTTGATTTTCATCACCTAATTTCCTCCAGAAAGACTGAGCTGTAATGCTCTCCATTAGAGCAATGGTAGGTGTTCCTCAAGGGCTGACGTCAGGCTTTATTATCTTTGTTTACTGGGCCATACCTGGCACCTATTAGGTGGGCAATACATATTTCAATGTAAAACACAATTTCTTCATTGTATTTCATTTCTCCATTAGTATGTGTCAAATATTGCATGGGATATACTTGAACTGAAAGATTATCTATTGTTTGAAATTCAAATTTAAGTAGGCATTTTGTGTTTTTATTTGCTCAATTTGGCAAAATCCGTTTGTACAATGGGAATAAAAGCAATCCCTCTCTCATGACCAGAATATGATCACCACAATCACTCAAGGCAGTCCCTAGCCCAGTGGCTGGCATGGAGTAGGCCCTCATCAAAAGATACTAAACAGAGACAAACATTTGTTTCTCTGTGCACTACTTGCCTTTGCAAGCAGCTGCCATTTATTTAAGCACTTAAGAAATCTCAGGCATTTTAGAGACATTATCTTAATCTTGTCCTTGCTCACTTAGCTTCAGTCACACTGGTCTCCTTTCTGTTACTCAGACACAAGCCAGCCTGTCCTGGCCCCAGGCTCTTTGCACAAAGTTCGCTCTGCCTAGACTGCTCTTGCCTCAACCCCTTTGCATAGCTGCCTCTTTTCACTGTTCAGGTCTTAGATCGAATCTTATTCCTCAGGGAAGACATCATGCTCAGCCCATCAAAGCTTCCCTCTTCTTGCCCTCAAGCCACATGTGTGTCATCTCCGTGTCTCGCCATCTGCCTAACACTGCTTATTGTCCAAGGCAGAGCCCCAGACAGAGAGGCCATGGTCACAAAGTAGGTGGGAAAGTCAAGGGAACACTGTCAGTGACTCTTGTCAGACACTGGTGGCTCCAGGTGGCTCAGCTCTGTAGCATTTCAGAGGGCCTGGAATGAAGAATAAGTCAAGCTGTGAGCTCACCCAACCTGGGTAGGATGTGAGGAGGGCAGGAGATGTCACCGCGGGCACAGGAGAGAAAAGCAGCAGCGGCTGATGCCTCTTAGCTGGGAGGGGACATTGGTGAGCATAGTTGAGCCCCTGCCACCCCTGACTCCTCAAACTCATTGGAAGGAATGTGATTGGAGTTGGAGCTTCCCTGACTGTGTGAGGATGAAGCCAGATAAATTCTGTTTGTTAAGGCACTAGGTAGTGTGGAAAATTGTGGCTAAAATTATGACTCTTCTTCTTTAAGGGAGGAAGAGCATGGCTAACTGGACTAAGGCAGAGAGAGAGGTGAAGAATGCTGATTTCACTTAGCCCTCCACAGCAGCCCCATACAACATTTTTGTGGACTAAGGGTGATCTTAGCCAGTGAAAGACTTTTGGTCTTATCAGTCTCCTGGCTGTGTCAGTCCTGAGAGCATTTGGTGGTGGTGGTGGTGGGGTGGGGGTGTTGGGTATGTTGTAGTGTGGAGAGGAATCTTCCCTCCAGCCAACTAGTAGCTGGGTGCTTTGACCCAGACAGTTCTTTAGGAGAAATTTCTTCCCCTATTCTCATGTTTTCATGAGGAAATTTTGCCCCACTTTCCAGGAGGTAAAGAATTTGGAAGTAATGCACTTCCTACTTTTTTCTTGCTGGATCTTCCCTCAAGGGATGAGGAGAGCTTAATCTGATTGATGTTCACCTCTTCCTCTCTTTCTCCTTTCAGTTTGGCCTGTCTGCAGGATGTAGGCTTTCTTCCAGAGCTCCCATAGACAGCTGCTCAGGTGGTGCACTGCAAAACTCCAGGAGTGCATTTGCAGACAGGGAGCAAATGGCACCCTCTAGAGTGCAGAGTGCAGGCCCTGTATTCTCCTGCAACTCTAGCCTCCTGCCAAGGTGTAAACACCTTGGGATCAGATATGGGACATTTTCATCATCACAGAAATTTCCACCGAAGAACTTTGGGCTGGATTTAGGGAAAAGTTGCAAGAACCTATTTAACCAGGGGAAGTCGGCTGTGTCCTCTAATTAAGCAGTACCAAGATTATAGGTGATAGTTTATCCTCCATCGGACTTCTGTATTTATAATTTTAGATGTGCCCTGGGGGCAGTGAGGCAGAGGTGAGATTAATCCCTTTAAATCCTAACACAACCAAGTAAGGACAAAGGTATAATAGAACTGAGCCCTAAAAGAGGCACTGAAAGGGAGGGGCCCAGCTGCCAAGGGACTTGAGGATGCCACACCCAGCACACATTAGGACTGACCACCAAGAGAGATCTGAGGGAGGGAAAGTGGTAAAGTCTTTCAGAAACATAACCCATACAATGGCTCCAGAACCCTTGAGATCCAGATCAGATTGACTTGAAACCTCATTCCATCCCCTCAGCAGTTCGACTCTCTTCTCCAGGTTTCTTTTTTTTTGAGATGGCATCTCGCTCTGTCACCCATGCTGGAGTGCAGTGGTGCGATCCCAGCTCACTGCAACCTCCACCTCCAGGGTTCAAGTGATTCTCCTGCCTCAGCCTCCCAAGTATCTGGGACTACAGGTGCATGCCATCTGCCCAGCTAATTTTTGTGTTTTTTTAGTAGAGCTGGGATTTTACCATGTTGGCCAGGTTGGTCTCGAACTCGTGACCTCAGGTGATCCACCCGCCTTGGCCTCCCAAAGTGCTGGGATTATAGGCATGAGCAACTGCGCCTGACCTCTTCTCTAGATTTCTGAGTATTCTTGACATTCTCAGGGTCCTTTTCTGCTTGAGACTAACCTATCTGCACTACGTCAACCCAGACCTGACTTTCAGCCCCTTCTTTGATTTTGATGCATCCCCCTCCTATCCCCATGCCAAATATTTGAGAGGAAATATGGAATGATGGTGAACAGTGAGGACTCTGAAGTCACACTGCCTGGGCCTGTCACTTACTACTAGCTTTGGGACCTTGGGCAACTTACCAAACTGGTCTGTGCCTCAGTTTCCTCATCTGGGGAATTGGAATAATAATTGAGTTATTGTAAGAATTAGATGGATTAATTTGTGGAAAATCCTAGAACAGTTCCTAGCACATAATAGCCCTTTTAAAAGGGTTAGTCAGTATTTGTAGGTATATCGGATTTCATGAAAATTTGGAGTCGACAGAGAGAAATCAGACTGTGTACACTGCTGTAAACAATTCAAAATATGCAGTTAGCCATTCCTGGTGTTAAATGTCTGTTCAGCTTCCGGCAAGGAAAGTTCTGATTAGCCTCCTACTGTATATGGTACTGATCTCCCCTATGTCCCCCTTTTTTCTTCTCCCTTCTTTGGCTGGGCGTCTCCAGAGTGGGGGTCCCAGCTGGCTGGAGCAGGGTATGGGGTTTTATCATCCAAATCCCTGACTGCTATTTTACAATGAGTTTTTATCATTCCAGATTTACGACTTTTCATGCGTTTATGCCAGTGGCATTTCAGGCTAAAATAGCTGTTGTTATCTATTTCAGAGGAAGTGGGAGATGGGAGCTTGCATACGTCGTCTGTGAGTAATCGACTGCGGCTTTGAGTCAGTAATTCCTGCTCCCCTTTCTGCAGGGTCTAGGCTGGGGGCTGTAGTGCAGCTGATCTGAGGTTTATTCTGGGGTGTTGCCTAAGCCCAGTGTAAGCACCACTCCTCTTAGCAAAAAATAAAAGGACCTGGAGTGGTGAACATGGGAGGAACTGGCACTGGTCTTAGAGCAGAAAAGACACAGGTCTCATGCTAGCTCTGCTACTTACCAGCCCTGTGATCTTGGGCCGTTTACTTCACTTCTCTGGGTTTCAGTTTCCTGACATGCAAAACGCTATAGCAACCTTACAAGGCTTTTACTACACTGTAGTTCAGTAGAATAGTGTATTTAAAAGGCAATAGTGCATTTTAAAAACCTGGTATACAGTGGGTGCTCAATAAGCAGTAGTTTTAACTTACTTTATTCATTGCTCATACAATGTTTATGAGGTAGGTGTTCTTGCCTTATTTTGATAGGCAAATTGCTGCAGGTTAGGAAGCTAATAAACACTTGAGCCGGGCTGGCAGCTGAACAGTCTAATTCCAAATGTTATGGTTTTGCCTTTTATATATCACACAAAGAAATCCATGAATACATTCTCTTTGTCAAAACTCAACAATTCATAAGCATATAGAGTGAAAAGTTAAATTCATCCCTCATCTATTGACTCCATTCTCCTCCTTAAATATAATCACCATTAACAGTTCATTATGAGTATAGTTCATTTTCTATGAAGCTTCATAATTTTTAAACACTTTTAAAAAAGGAATGGGATCTATATCTATCATCTCTCTCTCTCTCTTTCTCTCTTTCTCTGTTTGTCTACATATCTATCTATCTACCTATCTAATCTATCTATCTACCTATCTATTTAACCAGTTTTGTGACTCATTTTTGACATGTAGCTCTATGTCGTGGAGACTTTTTCATACCAGTACATGTAACTTTGCATCATTCTTTGTAACCACTATTTAAGAGTCTGTAAAATGATTGTATGATAAATTATGTAATCAAGTTTAATTATTATAATCAGGTGTTAATGTAATCAGGTATTAATGATTTATCTATTGAAAAATGTTTGGATTGTGTACAGTGTTTTACTTTTTAACTTCACTTGCTGGTTTTAATTTGACAGGACTTGATTCTGATGTAGTTCACATCTGTCAATCTTTCTTGTTACAGCTACTGCATTTTGTGTCTTGCTTAGGAAGGTCTTCTCCCTGTCTCAAGGTTGTAAAAACATTCTCCTATGCTTTCTTCTAGAATGCTAAAAATCACACCGTAATGCTAGAAGTGAAACCCAAAACATACTTTGTCACTTAAAGTGTGGGGTCAGTGTTATCGAGCTGTTGAAGATGAGAACTAATTGCCAGCCACTGGTCATGTTGTGTCTGAATTCATTTGTTATGGAGCATACTTCGTAGTTTTGGTTTCTATGTTGAACTCTAGTGCATCTGGGATTTATTGTTTTGAATGGTGTGGAGTAGGATCTAATTTTATTTTTTCTTTTGTAAGAGGGCAGTCTTGTCAATACCATGTATTGGATAGTCTTTCCTTTCTCTTCTAATTTAAATGGTCACCATTATTATTATTATGGGTCTATTTCTGAAATCTCCTCTTCCATTTATATATATATCCATTTTGATATATGTATATATATAGGCTTAGTTATATTAATCATTTATTCTGTTCCATTGTTCTATACAGAAGCCAATACTATATTGGCAAAAAGTAAGTGTTCAAATAATGCTAAATATTTTTGACTGAATTAATGTAGTGAATTAAATAGATGCCTTACTTCATGATTCTCGTATTTCTTTGATTATGCTCCTAAATCTGATCTGTTAATATTTATTTGGAATTTTCATTAGTTTGGTGAAGATGGACTATGGTTTCTGAAATCTTACCTGCGAATATTTATTTGGAATTTTGCATTAGTTTGATAAAGATGGACTATAGTTTTCTAAATCTGACCTGTTAATATTTATTTGGAGTTCTGCATTAGTTTGGTGAAGATGGACTATGGTTTTCTAAATCTGACCTGTCAATATTTATTTTGAATTTTGCATTAGTTTGGTGAAGATGGACTACGGTTTTCTAAATCTTATCTGTTAATATTTATTTGGAATTTTGCATTAGTTTGGTAAAGATGGACTGTAGTTTTCTAAATGTAACCTGTCAATATTTATTTGGAATTTTGCATTGGTTTGGTGAAGTTGGACTATAGTTTTCTAATCTGACCTGTCAATATTTATTTGGAGTTTTGCATTGGTTTGGTAACAGTGAACTATTTTGCATTGGTTTGGTGAAGCTGGACTATGGTTTTTTTATTTGCGTGCTCTCCTTGTCTGGCTTTGGTATCAGTGAACGAGTCCCATAGTCTTTCACCAGATCACAACTCCTGTTTATTGAATTTCTACATATGTTAGTGACAGATTTTATTTCGGCTGTTGTGACAGTACTATAGCTCTGGAGCATCCGTGAGAGAATATAACTAAAGAAAAATTCAGATCTTGATCTTGGATGAGATTGCTGGAATCTGGGGGGTGTTGCAGACTGGATGGCTCGGCTCAATGGAGGAATCCAGGCATCAGTTCTAGGAGTATTGTGAACTTGCCTAAGGAGGGTGGCAGGGTATTGACTCCACCGTGTGTGTGTGTATGTGTGTGTGTGTCTTCATGCTATGTGTATGCATGAATATTTGCATATGCGTTTGTGTTAAGCCTGTATGCTTGAATGTACAGCATACACATGCAGGTATAACATGTGAATACGTGAATGAGTCTACATGCCTGTGAGTAGATGTATGTGTGTATGAATACATGTGTGTTGGGGTGGCTTGCTTGTGTGTGTATTGATGAAATTCCTGCCTCATTCCAGGGCTGGGCAAGATAATGCAGGGACTGCTTTGGCCTTCATGGATTTTGGGAGTGGGTGGATCAGATGGTCAAGGTGAGACACAACTGGGAAAAGCCAAAGCAGGGGAAGTAAGGCCCAGGGCTTCCAATATGGCTTTGCAAAAGTGATTTAATTTCTCTCAACCTCAGTCTCCTCACATAAAACATGGGAGAGACTCACCCCTGCCCTGTCCCCTCATGCCCTCGTGCTCAGTGTGAGACTCAGATGAGTTGACGTCTGTGAAAGCCCCTCACAGGTCAAAGCGGAAGGAAATGCCATCAAGGTCTGTTTTTTTTTTTTCCCAGATGTGCTGTCACTAACAAGGCTGGGGCAGTGACATGGTGACCCTAGTGCTGGGCTGTCAAACAAACACGTAGGAATGTGCATTACCCCAGGAGCCGGTACCCTCAGTGGCATGTCACAGGGCTTGGATACATCAAATGCAAGCCAACTTCACTTCTCTTTGTCTGTGGATATCAGTGCTTACTCTTCCTTCCCAACCCTCCCCTTGACACACAGATGAGCCAAGGCAGACAAGCTGCATCTCTCTCTGGAGCAAATGCTGGACATGCAGAACCAGCTTTGGAAGCTGCCTGTCAGGGCAACAGGAAAACTTCAACAACTCCCTCTTGCTGAACCTGCCCTGCACTGTCTGCTCACTTTCCCTTAGATAACTGTATTTGTCAGTTTAAAGGTGCCTGGGCTAGACTTCAGCAAAGTGGCCCCAACTGTGGTTCTCCTGCCCTAAACACTATGGCATGGTCATTGTGCTCTGCAGGGGTCTGCAGGAGTGAGGTCACCCATGCTGTCTGGCAGCTGAGGGTCAGGCAGCCAGAAGATGAGGGCAGCAAGGAAGACCTGCCACATGTGAGTGTGGGGTAACGTGGGAGAGTGCTGCCTTGCAGTGGCCCACCTGAACAAATGGTACCAAAACATCCAGTCAGATCATATTTTATGGGGAGTGTATTAGCACTCTTTCTGATATAAATGACGGAAAAGCAAAACAAAACACCCATACCAAATTAACTTAAGGAAAAGGCAAAATTTATTGGCTTAAGTATCTGGGAAGTCAAAATGTAAGTTTCAGGCATAGCTGGATCCAGGCATCAACCATCTTCAGAGTATACTCTCTCTCTCTCTCTCCATCTCTTTGCTCTTTTCCCCTCTGCATTTGGCTGCATTCCCTCCTCCTACAGACAGGTTAACTCTCTGTGATGGAGGAAGATGGCCACTAGAAGTTCTGACTTCACATCTTCCCAAGACCCCCTCAAACAGATAAACTTCCCAGACTGCTTTAGCAGAAAAGTCTCAATGAAGACTAATTTGCCTGACTTGGGTCATATGTCTATTGTGGTCCAATCACTGTGGCTGGAGAGACAAAATCTGACTGGCCATTGTGGATCACTGGCTCACCCCTGTAGCTGGAGTAGGGGGATTAACAGTTCCATGATAGCACTTGGAGTGGGGGATCCATGCATCCCCAAATGGAAGGGATGCTGGACAATCAAAATTTTCTTTCCTACAGAAAGAACAAATGCTGGTTCAATTGAAAGACTATGGGTTCCTTGATTTAAGCTACTTCCTGAGTAGCAACATTTTCCTACGTAGGCAACATTTTCCATTGCTTTGAAACCATCTGATAGTAAAAGGAATAACATGGGGTTATGGTCCTTACTGTTTATTAAGAGTATGGTGATTTCCCCCCAACATCTTACATTTCTAAGGCTGCTTGCAGTGTCATCACTGGAAGTTATTTATGCATGTCTATCTCTTTCTTGAAGTCTCGAGAACCCAGACTGGAAAGACGAGCCTAAAGATTCCGTGGATGTTACCTTCCTTCTGCTCTGATCATATTTGGGAAGAGGAAGTTCAATGTTTGGAGAAAATGCCTGAGAGGATCATTGATATGGTTTATAAATCTAGTAGAGCCAATATATTTCATTAGATTCTGGAGAGACCCACCCAGCTGGTAAAAGTCCTAGACATTTTATTCTTATGAAGAATCATTAAGAAAACTGGAGGTATTATTTATCTTGAAAAACAGAAGACATACTGTTACTAAAATTGCCTGAAATTATCACAAGTTGTGAGTCAGTGATGTTAAAATGAGTCTGTGTCATGGGTCAATGTTTAGGACCCTTATAGACCCTAATATATTTCCACAGATTAGTCCTCCCTATAGACAAAATTACTGCCAGTAGATTCTGGCCAGTAATTTTATCTATAGGGAGGACTAATCTGTGCAAATATATTAGTCTGCTCAACAAAATACCGTAGACTGAGTGACTTAAGCAACAGAAATTTATTTTCTCACAGTTCTGGAGGCTAGAAGTCCCAGATCAAAGTCTGGCAGGGCTGGTTTCTGGTGAGGGCTCCCTTCCTGGCTTGCAGGTGGCCACCTTCTTGCTGTGTCCTCACATGGTGAAGAGAGAGCAAGAGAGCTCCCTGGTGTCTCTTCATATAAGAACACTCATCCTGTTGGATCAGGTCTCCCCAGGTATCCCTGCTTATGATCTCGTTTAACCTCAAGTACTTCTTATTACATAAAGGTCCTGTCTCCAAATACAGTCACATTGGGGATTGGGGTTTCAACATATGAATTTGGTGGGGGAGGGCATTTAGTTTATAATAGGAAGGAACAGTAGATTTATTCTTAATCCTGGTGAAGCTCATTTTCCTTATCTTAAAAATGGAGAAAAAGAATATATTAAGATTAGCTCAGCTTTGAGTGACCCAAAATTCAAACTTAAATTAATAGTTGCTTAAACAAGATAGAAGTTTAATTCTTTCGAATACAAAGAAGTCTAGAAGGGAGCAGGGAGGGGTAGTTTGGCAGCTCTATGATCATAAGGAATTCCAGATTCTTCTTCTTTTTTTTTTTTTTTGAGACATAGTCTCATTCTGTCACCCAGGTAGAGTGCAGTGGTGCTATCTGGGCTCACTGCATCTTCCACCTCCCTGATTCAAGCAATTCTCCCACCTCAGCCTCCCAAGTAGCTGGGACTACAGTTGTGTGCCACCACACCCAGCTAATTTTTGTGTTTTTAGTAGAGATAAGGTTTTGCCATGTTGACCAGGCTGGTCTCGAACTCCTGACCTCAGGTGATCTACCCGCCTCAGCCTCCCAAAGTGCTGGGATTACAGGTGTGAACCAATGCGTCCAGACAGGTTCTTCATTTTATTGTTCCATCTTCAATGCACAACTTCTACTTCATAATCCAAGATGCCAGTTTGAGTTCCATGCCCAAAACATTTCAGCCATCAAGAAAGAGGACAAAGATGAAGAAGAGTGTGCCTATTTTATTTAAGTATTTTTTTCTGGATGTT
This sequence comes from Homo sapiens, assembly GCF_000001405.40. NCBI lineage: Eukaryota > Metazoa > Chordata > Mammalia > Primates > Hominidae > Homo > Homo sapiens. Next base: position 106,024,423 of record NC_000012.12, on the reverse strand, counting down.
GCGCATGTAATTTTCTTTTATGTCTCCTTTGCCAGAACTCCTACACTGAGCTAACTTGGATTAAATGACTGCCAAAGTGACTTCCAAGTCTACAGTTCTATTATGCCTCCTAAAAGTGAATGGAGGACTCACTGTGAGGGTTCTGATTATTGACTCGTGATACAGACTCCGTTTTAACATCACTGACTCAAAACTTTTGATAATTTTAGGCAGAAGCAGAAATGAAATTAACTTCTTTCGTAAGCAAAGGATAAGTTAGAATGTAGTGAGATGATTAATATTTTGAAAGAAAAACATGTTTCAAACACAACTCAAGGAGTCACGGACTCAAGAATAGTTGGTAGACAAAGTAGAAAATAATCTCATCTACTGATCAAAGCAGGTCTCCTAAGCTTTCATTTCGTTACTGAGCAATCAATGGACTGGCTTCCAGATGTGCATAGAAGACAATACTATGGCACCAGCTTTTGAGAAAAGAAAAGCTTTATTTTGAGTCAACTGGCAAGGAGACAGGGGGAAATGCTCAAATCTGTCTCCTTGAGCTGAGGGCTTGGGTGGGTTTTATAAGCATAGGGTAATGAGGTATGATCTGATTGGATCTTGCAATGAGGTGATGCCAGGAGGTATGATCTGATTGGATCTTGCAATGAGGTGATGCCAGGAGGCATGATCTGACTGAATCCTGCCATGGGGTAATGCCAGGGTTTGATCTGATTGAATCCTGCCATTGGTGTCCACCTCTTAATTCAGTCCCTGCTCCTCTGCCTAAGCACTTAGGTTCCCCTCATGGTTGTACACTTGGTTCATCTGGGCATGCTGTGGTTATATGACCTTCCACCTGGGAGTCCATGGCATGTAAAAAAACTCACAACTTTGTTACATAAAAATTGAAGCAGATTGGTTTAGTCTAGTTACAATTTTAGTTAAAAGTCAAAGAATTTGATGAAATGACCTCCAAGTTACCTTTCCAATAATTCTATAAAAATTTGAGTGCATAATAAAATAACATTTCTAGGTTTGCCCCACCCAGTTAGCAAAATGACCTTGGTATCTTCCTTTTTTATCCTCTTCCTTCTACCAGTCATCTGCTGCCACGTAACAAATTACAGCAAACAGTGGCTTAAACACACATTTATTATTCACAGTTTTTGAAGTCAGGAATCTGAGCATGGTTTAGCTGGGTTCTCTGCTTGTGTCTCTCACAAGGCTGTAATCAACATGTCAGCCAGGGCTGAGGTCTCCTCTGAAGGTTTGACCATGCTTTCATACAAGGTGGTGCTGGATGGCTGAGCATATTTTCTATGCAGTTTTGTTTGATTTTTCTCAAAGACGGTCCCCCAATTGTATAAGCTTCAGCTCCCTCAACCCTCTAGAAGGGACCTGCCTCTGCTTCCCTCTCACTATTGATTCTGTGACTCAGGATCCTCTTTCTAAGTAGCTAAGTGCCTGTGAGCTCTCAGTAGGATGGAGATCATAATGCCTCTGCCTTCATGTTGCCCTTGGGATCCCTTTCAGCTCTTACAGCAGGGTCCACAGTAAGCAGGCCCAGAGCGACCGCCTAACCTAGGTGCCTCTCGGGAATGAGGCTATTATTCATTAACAAGCCTGGTTATTTTATGGGCCGATTAACTAGGGAGGCCATGGAAGGGAAATTCCAATATTGTGCAAGTTTACATCTCCCCCTCTTCATCTCTCTTTTCTCCCTGCTGTAGTTTGGGTTTCTGCCACTGTTTAAATTTAAGCCGATTTGCTATCCCAGCATCTGCAGTTTGATTATTTGACTATTGCCTGGCTCTTGGTGAAACCACTGGGGAGCCCACTAGCCAGAGATTAAATCTGGGCCATGATTACAATGATTTTATTTTAGCTGGGCCTCTGTTTATGGGCCCACTGGTGTTAGAGTACAATGTTATTGTAACGAGGTATTAGCCTCATAGAAATAGTCATGTGAAGCAAGTGGCTGAGGCACGCCAGACAAATGGAGTCGATTATTTGGCCAATACATCTTTGCTTGATCTTCCATTTGGTTGTGAAAGAGAGACTGTGTGGAGAAATTGCAGAGGAGGCTGGCCGTTATTGAACACTTACTGTGTGTCAGGCAAGACCGAGGCACTTATCAATGTTATGCATTTTATTTTGAAATGATCCAGCGAGGTGGGATTATTAGCACATTGATATTTACAGAGGAGGCACAGAGTAGTTAAGAAACTGCCCTTAGTCACACAACTAGCAAACGGAGGAGGTGTGTGCTAACCAGTCTGTTTGACTTCAAGGTTCTGTTTCTTTTACTGGATGATGTGGATGTACTTGGATGGGCACTCCCAGCTCCTATGGGTCTTTTTTTGTTTGCTTGTTTGTTTCTGATCTGGTAGTCTCAGTTTCAGAACTGCTCTCTGGTGGGTGCTGCCTGATGAGAGGAAGTCCTGAGAAGTAAGAATTCAGGTAAAGCCATTATAGGAAGAGTCACCAAGACTGTTTTTGCTATCCCAAGAGCAGGGTCTCATTCCAGCTCTGCCACGGGAGTTTGTGTTTTCTTCAGACAAGTCCCTGCCTCTCTGCCTCTCTGTTCACTGTTTCTTTCTCCAGCATTATCACCTACCACTTTCTATCTCGCTCATACTGCATTAGCTTCACAGGATGCAATTCGTTTATTTGGTAAGTGTTCTCAGGAAACACTGATAAGGGAGAGAGAACATGAGACAAAGGAGGGAAGTAAGTCAATATCGAGTGAGTTACTAAGTACAATCTCTTATGGGCAACTGCAGCTTAGTCCTGCTGGGGACTCCAGGGCCAGTGTAGAACACACACGTCAGAGTTATGCCACCTAAGGGCAGGTAGATCTTCTGTGACTTTGGAGAAAGCAGTCTAAAAGTGGCAAGTTTTGGCAATTGGAAAACTGGCTAATGTGCACAGAACTGCCCAGTGCCAAGAGGCTATGAGAATGTCACTGATGCTATTCTTATACAATGAGAAAAATAAATCACAATTTGTTTAAGCCACTGGAGTAGGGTTTTCTGTTGCTTGCAGTTAAAGGGATTCCTAAGACGAGCTCTCGTCTAAGGACACCTTACTTTCTTTCAGTCCTGTGGACATGCTGCCTGTTTTTTGCATTAGGCAGGGACCCCTTTCATACCCTTGCCTCTGTCTCGTGTTCTTTCTCCTCCTACAGCCCCTTTTCATCCTTTCAGTGTGGCTGCGTCTGATCAACCAGTCAAAAGTTGACTGCTCTTTGAACCCAGTCTATTCATTTTTTAATGATTAGATTCAAGAATCATACATTCACCCTGTTGAAAGATTCTAAATACTCCCAATTTCCATACTGACTATTGTGAAAGCAAATAAACCAGAGGCCATCAGCCCGGGGCTGTCCCTATGTTTTTGTAACAAACTGCAACCTAACTTAGTACTTGAACAAGCTAAAACCTATTTTAGGAGTATATTTTTGTAACAAATAGCTGAATTTCAGCCAATCACAGGCATCCAACTGACCAGACCATGCCCATGTAAGGCAAATGCCTTTCTGTAATGAATCAAGTTATTTCTGCACTTGACTTTTGTGTTCAGCCTATAAAAGCTCCCTCCCTACGCTGCAGAGCGCAGCTCTCAAAACCTCTTCTGGTTCTGAGTGTTGTCCCATTCATGACTTGTTCTTTGCTCAAATAAACATTGTTAAATTTATTTTTTCTAAAGTTTTCCACTTAACATTGGTAACAAACAGTTCATTCTCCCCAGGGACTACACTTTGAATAGTATTGCTTTGTACAATTCTGGCCATTTGTACCTATTGAATATGGTTCTGTTTAGCTATTGCTGCATTAAAAAAAATGAATCACAAAACTTTCTCGCTTCAAACAACAACTATTTTATTATCTCAGATAATGTATTTGGGTCATGAATTAGAAAAAGGCTCAGCTGGTCAATTCTGGTTTGGGATCTGTCATATGGTTGCACCCAGTGGCTGGAGTTGGACTAATGCAGGGCTGGGGAAGAGGGGGGCTGATTGGACATCTCTCTCTTTGTGTAGTCTCAGGGCTGTTCCATGTTGTCCCCCTGCATAGGCTAGCTTGGATTTCCTCCTAGAATGGCAATCTCAGGGAAGCTGACTGTTTACATGAGGGCTTAGATGTCAAGGGTGAGTATCCTAGTAGGCAAGATGGTATGTGAGTCGTCTTCTAGGAACTGGCCTAAGAAGTCATGGAGCATCACTTTGAATACTCTATTGGTTGAGATAGTCACAAAAGTGAACCCATATTCAAGGGAAGGGGAAATACATCCCTCTTCTTGATGGAGGTAGCAAGGTTCTAGAAGAACATGTGAGATGAGAGATATTATTGCAATCAACTTTGGAATATATGATCTGTCTCCTCCTATGGGGTGGTATACAGAAGGGTTGGGGATGGGGAGCAAAGAATGAAGGCAGAAAGCCTTTTAGAAAGCTGGTCTAGGTGAAAATGGAATGGGATATTATATAAGCAGTGGAAAAGAAGAGGAGAAGCTGGTTTGTATTATTTAGGAGGTAGAAATCACTAGGAAATGGTGACCAGAATGTGAAGAGTGAAGGAGAACATGGACACAGATATACCAAGGATCGTTGGTGTGGTGGTTTGGGTGGATGGTGGGTCATTCACTAAGTTAGAGAATGTAGGAGGAAGAGCAGGAAGCAGGAGTGTGGCTGTTGATGGATTTTGCCTTGGACATGCTGAGTTGGATTCATATTGTGTCATTCATTAAAACTCTTCCAAGTACAGGACTGAGTGACAGTGTGGAAATTGGAAAAGGCTATATCCAGTTCTTCAGAGTCTCTGCACAGGAGTGTGTCAGATGCTACAAGAAATTGGGAAAGAGACGGGCTGGGTTATAGGGTAGATTGATACATTTCAAGCAAGGAAGCTGGTCGAGGCAGCATAGTGCAGTGTTTGCAAAAGTTGCCTGATTGTCAGAATCACCAGGAGAGCTTGTTAAAAATAAAAATTCCCAGGCTCCACCCCAAACATACTGGATCAGAATCTTCATGGGAGAGGCCTGGGAATCCCTCTTTTTAATAAATGCCCCGGGTGAGTCTGATCAGGCAAGTTTGGCAAATGCTAAGGAAGTGATTACAGGGCTCTGCATTACACAACAACAGCAGGAGTGTCATTCACTTACACAAAATGTGAGTGGTCCTCCCTGATATTTACTAAACTGTCACCCTAGATTAAGGGCTCAGACTCTCAAGTTAAACAAGTATGTGTGTCAATTTGAGCTCTACTGCTTCCTCCTATGTGATCATGGGAATGTAAAACCACTCTTAGTCTCAGCTTCTCGTCTGTAAAATGGGAATAATGATCTCCTTGATAAAGCTGTTGTCAGATGATTATATGAGTGCATTTCAACACCAATTATCCCACAACTGGGTGTCCAACAATTCAATTTAATTCTGACACTAACTACCTGGAGTTCGGATGTCAGCTGCACTTGGGGTCCCCAGGCTACTCATACTTTTGTCCAACTTGGCTATAAATGTGGGGGCTCTCATGACCCCTTCTCAGGTGCGATAATTCACTAGGACAACACACAGCTCAGGAAAGCATGATATTTATGATTACCATTTTATTATAAAGGACACAATGAATAGCCAGATGAGGTGGCACATAGGGCAAGGTCTGGAAGGGTCCCAACCACAGAAGCCTCTGCCCTGTGGCATCCAGGGAACATGTTCACCAACCAGGAAGCTCCTAGAGCCTCGTTGTTCAAAGTTTTTATTGAAGTCTCAATTCTGTAGGCATGATTGATTGGATCAGTGGTCAAGGGATTGGGGATTGAACCCTGTCTCCAGTGCCCCTCTCCTCTCCAGAGGATGGGGAAGAGAGTGCTGAAAGTTCCAGCTCTATAATCACATGATTGGCCTTACTGGTAAGCAGCTCCCATCCTGAATCTATCTAGGGAAACTGCCAGGAGCCACCTCATTAGCATAACAAAGACTTTCCTATCACTCAGGAAATTCCCAGAGGTTTTTTTTGTTTTTTTTTTTTTTTTGCACAACAGAAAATTTATCATTTTGTTTGTCAATGGAGGGGAGGGAAAGAAAGCAAGCAGAGGTGGGGGTATGGTTACACTATTTAAGGAAGAGCTGAATACAAAGACAATGAGTCTTTCGTAGTCTCAACAACTCCACAATGAATAACTGTGGATTATCTCACTTATAATTCACATTGGATCAAAAAAATTGGTTCCCCTCTGTGTATATCAATTTAATTCATACCTTATTATCTTCAGAATACAAAGATGAATACTACAAGATAAACTTTTTCTAAGTAGAAGACCAAACACCAAAGGGAATCCCTCTTTCCAATGTCTTCTGATATGGCAAGATTTTGCCAGAAGGGAAGTCTAACACTTAAATAAGCATTCTCATGGCCAAGTAAGAAGCTACAGTTGTTGCGGGTATTACCCTATCATTACCATATGTATTACATATTAAATTAAACTCAGCATTAAATATGCTTGCATAATTATGCTGTTAATGATGATAGCAGTGATGATGCTGGTGGAAAAAGCCTGTCTTTAGCCCAAGAAAAGTAAGGGAGAAAAATGTGACAAGCAGAAAATAAACACAGAGTTGGGCAATTTTTGACTAGGAAAGAGAATTTTAAGCATAGAAATGTAAAAAGAAAAGTACTCCCTTATTTCCCTTATGTGGAAATAACATGAAACACTTATTAGATATACTGAACAACAGCAGAACTAAGTACTCCAACTTTACTGCAGCATTACCGAAAAAGTCATCCCTTCACCACAGTGTAAGATTTAAGGGCAACCTGCCCAAGGATGCATGTTATATAAAACACAGCAAGATTGCTGCCCTGCCAAGTACTTCCAATCTCTACCCAGGTCCTACTGAAATATGGGTGGTCCCAATTAGTTTTATTGAAATAAATCTTTAAAGAAAAAGATAAAGCATTTAAAAAGACAAGTCAAAATGCATCAGGAACCACATTTCCAATACAAACTTTATCCTCAGATGAGTTATGTTTGCCTCACACGAATAACTTTTATTTCACTCAAATTAGAGCAATAATCTTCCATACATAAGTATCTTCCCTGCCCAATAATTCAAAGAAAAAAAATCCAAAATTAGTAAAGAAAAATATAAGAATTAACAGATCCTTTAAATTTGTTTTAAATATTTTTAAGATTTAAAAAGTATTTAGAGTTTGTAATTCCTAGTAGGAAAACATTATTTGAATGAATACCCTAAAGGCAAACCACTGTAAAATGCTTCAGCTGCATTTGGGGGAGAGGGGTAGGGATTATCTTCAAAGCACCCCAGCTCTCTTGATGAGAAGGTCAAAGATACATTGGTTTGTATTATTGCGACATCCATAAGGTGATCTAGGTTGCTTTTCCTTCAGCAAGGGCTTTATTTATCAGAAGGGCATTACACTTGACCTCCAAATTTGACTGACAATTTACTGATGAGATTCATAACCTTTGGGTTGCTCTGGTATTTTGACATATTTGCTGGGTTCTGAGCCACATCCTGGAAGGCCACCAGAACTTCTGGATCCTGCATGGCTGCAAGAACCTCTGGATCACTAAGAATTTCATTGAGTCCAGGCATTCCGGCCATTCCAGGCATGCCCCCTCCCATTCCAGGCATTCCTCTGGGAAAATTAGCAGGCATTCCCCCAGGAAAGCCACCCAGAAAAGAGCCATACTGAGCTCCTGACTGTCATCTGGCTTCTTCCTCCCTCTGGGCTCTCTCATGCTTTTCTCGAGCCTTCTTAACTCGTTCTATTCTTTCTTTGATCTCTCGCTCTTCACGTTTTCGCTCATACTTTCTCCGATGTTCTTCAATTTTCTGTGCCCTAGGTTGAACTTCTTTCAGCATTGCACTAACATCTTCATCATAATCCAATTTACAGGCAAGGGCAAGATCATGGGCTGCTTCTTCCCAGTGGCCTAGAAGTCTGTGTGCTTTCCCTCGCCACTTGTAAGGCTGAGCTGAATCAGGATTTATTTCAATGGCTCTGTCACAGTCTCGAATGGCAGCATTTGGCTTCTGTAATTTGACGAAGACACTGGCCCTCTTGGCATACAAAATGGCCAAGCGAGGATTCAGCTTGATGGCATCTGTGAATAAGTCAGTGGCTTTCTGGAGTTCACCATCATTTAGGGTTTCAATAGCAGCCACTTTCTTATCATTTGCCTGATCCATCATCTCCTCCATTATCTCTGCATTTTAATCTCCCATTTCTTGAGGGGCATCAGTGTCTGGTTCAGTCACACCTTCTTTATCAATTTCTAGATCACTTTTCTCACTTGATTGTTCGTCTGCCTTTAAGTCTTCCTCCACCCTCTTACTATCAGGTTTTTCTTCCTTGGTATTTTCTTCTGATTTAGCTTTCTGAGTAGCAGGTGGTACTTTACCCACCGTGCTCTCCACCCACTCCCTCAGGAAATGCATTTCCTCGGTGTGCAGAATGCTCGGATCCTGCTTACACATTTTCACAAAGGCCCAAAGCTCGTTCACTTTGTGGGGGTCCATGGTAGGGAGGTGGTTGTCGAAGCTGTGGGACTGCGGCCCGGTTCCAGGCCCAGGCGCTGGCTCCGCATGACCGCGCAGAAGGGGTGGAAATTCCCAGAGTTTTTAAAGTTCTGTGCCAGGAACTGGGAACAAAGACCAGATATATTTTTAAAATTATACCACAGTGCTCAAGTGAGCTACCACAATAGCTCACTTTACACGAGCTAATGATGTCAAGTGTTTTGCATAGTACCCAGCATATGGCAAGAGCTCAATAAATAGTAAATGTGATAATAAAGAAATAGATACAACAACAACAGTAATAATTGTAGTTAGCAATTATAGTAGTAGTACTAAAGAAGGAGTTAAGTTGTCAGGTTTACAGCATACATGGAGTCTGGATTTGGGGATCCATATAGTTAAATTTGAAACACAAGCTCTAGACCAATAGTAGAAGCGCGTGATTTGCAGTATCCCTGGGCTTCTAGCTGTAAGTGCTCAAACCTCTTTAGCTGAGGGTCAAGATTTTTACTAGAACTGCTATCCTTAGACTTTGGTGGGCACCAGGATCATGGGTGAAGCTTCTTAAACAGAGACCCATGGATCTCATTATTCTAATTGGTAGGGCTAGTGTGGGAACAGAGCACCTGAATTTTTTTAACAAGTTTTTTAACAAGTTTTCCAGGTGATAATAATTCATGTTAAAGGTGGAGAAACCACTGCCCTAGAGCCTCTATGTGAGAATCAAGTTGTCCAAGCTGTGAGAGAAGGCTGGAGAAACTGGACGGAGATGTGGCAGAACTGTTGATTTCCTGCCTGACAGCCATTATTTGTCTTTTGTACTTGCCACCAGGACAACAGTTTGGTCTTAGGTAATGGCAGCCATACTGCTCTGGAAAGGCTGGGTCCTTCTCCAGCCCCAGGGGTAAGTTGTGATTTGTGAAACCCACTCAGGGTACTCTCCCTTCACTTGCCTCCAGAAAGTCTGTGTGGCCAGGTGATGCAACGCTGGCCAGCAGGCATGAGGGGAGATCATTTGGGGGATGGGAATGGCTATCATTGTTGGTTAGATTAAAAAGATAAGGAGGAAGATTTCCCCTTTCTGCCTTCAAACCTATAGTTGGCAAGTGATACCTGGAGGTGGATCAGTTATCTTGGAAACATGAAGGAAGCAAGCCTAGGAAGATGGGCTGGCATAGTGAGCATGGTACAGTGGAAAGAAGTCTTTGCTCTCAAAAAAGGGTCCTTGAAGACATCATTGAGCTAATGGGAGAATCTGTCCAGGAGCCACTCTCCCTCAGGAGTTCTTAATACAACTAACAGAAGCTATCTAATGGGATTTTTTTCTATTCTCGAGTAAGGCCCCAAAAGTTAGTCCTACAGGCTCCTCTCCCCTCCTCTCAATGTTATATCAAGGGAAGTCCTAGGCTAGACTTCTCAATCTTGGAACTATTGAAATTTTGGACCCGATGGCTCTGTGTTATGAAGGGCTGTGCTGTGCATTGTAGAATGTTTAACAGCATCCCTGCTCCTCAGCCTCCTAGATGCCAGCAGCACCCCTCTAGGTGTGACAACCAAAAGTGCCTCGTGACATTGACAAATGTCCCCAGGAAGCGAGTGAGGGAGACAGCACTATCCCTCACTGAGAGCCATTGCTGTCTGTGGACAATCCTGTTTAGGCCCCCTTCCCTTGGTTTAAGATGGAGAGAATTATTCACAGACACTAATATGTCCCCACTATGCCCACACTGGCAGCTGTGCAAACTTGTGGGCTCCAGGCCTCCACTGGGTTGGAGATGAGCATAATTAGAGAGTTCTTGGGAGAACTTTGGGATGCCTGGATGTTTTGGGACACCCAAGGACTGTTGCCAGACTCTGGCCTGGAGAAGTTTAAAGGCAAGAAATTGGTGGAGTGTTATGTGGCAGAACAGCAAGAGCGGAGGCCTCTGTGGCAGGGGACGGATGGGGAAGCCATGCCAGATCATCATGGAAGGATTCACCCCTGGAAGTTTGAGGCAGGTGAGGGCTGTGTAGGGTGTATGGGGGAAGGTGGTGGTAATCGGTCAGTGGCAGGTGGATTATCTTTGCTCAAAAATGGTGCGGTAGGAAGTAGCTAAGGTGAGAATCTCCAATAACCACAAAAATGTCTCCATCTGCCATCAGATGGCCACAATGCCAGGTAACAATGGCACCAACTGATTAGGATCTTCCTCTTATTCCTGTTCTGCCCTGTAGAGATCAGAGAAGCAACATTAGCAAGCGAGAGACAGCTGGAGCAAGGAGCAGAAAGATACCCCCTGTCCTCCCTACTCATTGGAGGCTTTCTAGCTTCAGCCTAGCATGAACTGGGTAAAAAGGAGGGGCTGGGATATGAGGAAGAACCTTTAACTTGGATGAGAAATTGAGATTTTGATATTAGACTGGGCTGGACTTTTATCACCTGGTAAATGAGATGATTAGTTAATACCTAATAGTAATCAGAAAAACTAAGGACTCTTCCCAAGCTATCATATATGGCAGGGTCAGCAACTTTTCTGGAAACGGAATATAGAGTAGACATTTTAGGCTTGGTGAGCCCTGGGGTCTCTGTTGCAAATACTCATCAATTATATCTGTTTCACCTACTCCATTCTACTACTATAATGTGAATGCAGCCACAGACAATATGGAAATGAATGGGCATGGCTGTGTTCCTATAAAACTTCATTTAAAAAACAAGCTGCTGGTTGGATTTGTCCTATGGGCCATTGTTTACCTAATCAAGGGGTTCACGGTTTGGGGTTGGGGAGCTGTGAGCTGTTAGTGAAGTTTTGAAAGACTAAATGTGTCTTCTGCTTAGCACTTACTGAATACAGCATGTTTGATAAACCAGTTACAAATACCTGTCTTAATTCCTTATTGCTGAAGCCGCTTTTCTATTACTTGTGGCTGAATCAGACACAGAAGAATACCAGGGCACCTGACTTGTAGCCATCGTTATCTTCATCATCCATCTGAATGTTTTGTTTGACAGGGATTAACTTGGATCTGGGTGGGAATTCAGTGATTGGTGGTGTTGTTGTTGTTGTTGTTGTTGTTTAATTGTGGTAAAAACAACAACAACAACATGAGGGCAGGGCGCGGTGGCTCACACCTGTAATCCCAGCACTTTGGGAGGCTGAGGCGGGTGGATCACCTGAGTTCAGGAGTTTGAGACGAGCCTGACCAACATGGTGAAACCCCATCTCTACTAAAAGATACAAAAATTAGCTGGGCATGGTGGCGTGCACGTGTAATCCCAGCTATTCGGGTGGCTGAGGCAGGAGAATCACTTGAACTTGGGAGGCAGGGGTTGCAATGAGCTGAGATGATGCCATTGCACTCCAGCCTGGGTGACAGAGCAAGACTCCATCTCAAAACAAACAAACAAACAGACAGACAAAAAAACCGTGAAATTTACCATCTTAACCATTTTTAAGTGTATAGTTCAGTAATGTTAAGTATTAAATAGATTCATGTTGTTGGAAGTAGATATTCAGAACTTTTTCAACTTGTAAAACTGAAACTCTATATGCATTAAACAACGCTCCCCCTTCTCCTCTCCCTCAGTCCCTGGCAACCGCCATTCTACTTTCTGTCTTTATGAATTTGAGTATTCTAGGTGCCTCACATAGGAAAATCATGTAATATTTGTCTTTTTGTGATCTATTTATTTTGTGATTGATTTAGCATAATGTCATCAAGGTTCCTCCATGTTGCAGCATGAACCAGGATTTCCTCCCTTTTAAAGGCTGACGAGTATTCTGTTGTGTGTATAAACCACTTTTTGTTTATCCATTCATCTATGGATGGACACTTGAGTTACCTCCACCTTTTGGCTGCTATGCTATGCAAATACTGCTATAAACACAAGTATGAAAATATATCTTTGAGATTCTGCTTTCAGTTCTTTTGGTATATAACCAAAAGTGGGATCATGGAGTTCATACAGTAGATCTATGTATTAGTCTTTTCTTGCACTGGTATAAAGAAATACCTGAGACTGGGTAATTTATAAAGAAAAGAGGTTTAATTGGCTCATAGTTCTGCAGGCTGTACAGGAAGCACAGTGATATCATCCTCTGGGAAGGCCTCAGGGAGCTTACAATCATGGTGGAAGCCAATGGGGAAGTGAGGCATCTTACATGACAGGAGCAGGAGGAAGAGAGAGGGGGGAGATGCTATACACTTTTAAACAACCAGATCTGACAATAACTCAGTCACTCAGTATCATGAGAATAGCACTGAGAGGATGGTGCTAACCCACTCATGAGAACCCCACCCCTGGGATCCAATCACCTCCCACCAGGCCCCACCTCCAACACTAGGGATTACAATTCAACATGAGATTTGGTGGGGACACAGATGGAAACCATATCATTCTATTTTTAATTGTTTGAGGAACCTCCATACTGTTTCCCACAGTGGTTGTACTATTTTACAATTCCATAGACAGTGCTATTATTTTTGTTTTTAAAGAGAGTATGGGTATTTATTTTTATGAGTAAAATCATTCTTTTTCCTTGGCCCTCTCCAACTTCCTTTGACCTAACTGACACAAGGCCATCCTTCTGGCGTAGGATTTTCTGTGACCTCTGCAGATTAAGTTGGCTCCCTTCAACATACCCCCAGCACCCTGTACCTCCCCTTCTAAAACACTCTCTATGCTTTGGTTGGCAGCTTTCACCTGTCTTCCTCAGTGAAAACTCTGTGAGGGCAGAGCTGGGCTTGCCTTCTTCCCTGCTGGGTGTCTGGCCCAGTTGGCAGCACATAGTAGGTGCTCATTAAATGAATGCTTCTTGACTGAATGAGTTGCAGCCTCCCCTCTAACCCTTGCCTTTCCTTCTCTCCCTTTCCAGTTCTGCTGTCAAGTGGCCTGTTGGAGAAAAGGGCATGGATGATGAAAATACAGATGAGAAAAAGGGGTAAGGAATTCTGTGCAAATGAACTACATTCAGCAACAGCAAATTCACTGCATTCTTTAGAAGCCTATGAAAATCTGGCAGACAAAAAAGGGTCTTGTGAGTGGGTGTCAAATGATGAGTGTAACCATGGATGGACATTTTTTAGAAGTGGGGAAAGAGATGAGGAATTGCTATGTCCTCTTAGACAAGAGAGAAGAGTGTCTTCCAATTTTAAAATGTCTCTCTTTTTCTATAAAAGGCTTAATTGATGTTTTAGGGGGATTTTCTTCCTTGGAAAAGCAAATTCTGCTGTGTTAGCATCAACAAGGAAGCCTTCCCTGGAATGAAGCAGTCTCTTGCAGGTGAAAACATAGAGAAATTCTGCTCCACACCTTGTATGCTCAGGGGCATATATTGACAGAGAAAAGATTGATTTTTTTTGTTCCTTCTTTAAAAATATTTTTATTTTGAGTTAGTACCAGATCTACAAAAAAAGTTGCAAGAATAGCACAGAGAATTCCTGACTATTCTTATCTAGACTTCCCAAAGGTTAACATTTTTACCACATTTGCCTTATTATTCTCTGTCTACAAGTTAGCATTTCTTTTTCTGACTTGCTCAAGAGGAAATTGTAGACATGATGTCCCTTCACCTCTTTTTTTTTTTGAGACAGAGTCTCACTTTGTCGCCCAAGCTGGAATGCAGTGGTGCTATCTCAGCTCACTGCAAGCTCTGCCTCCCAGGTTCATGCCATTCTCCTGCCTCAGCCTCCTGAGTAGCTGAGACTACAGGTGCCCGCCACCACGCCCGGCTAATTTTTTTGTATTTTTAGTAGAGACGGGGTTTCACCATGTTAGCCAGGATGGTCTCAATCTCCTGACCTTGTGATCCTCCCGCCTCGGTCTCCCAAAGTGCTGGGATAACAGGCGTGAGCCACCACGCCTGGCCGTCCCTTCACCTCTTAATACTTCAGTGTAGATTTTCTCTAAGAATCCAGAGGTTTTTTTTTTTTTTTTTTTTTTTTTACAATAATGAAAATCAGGCAACGTACGTTGATATAATTCTATTAACTGTAACTATTATGAAAGAAAACTATTACTAATACTGTTAACATAGATCTTATTTAAATTTTGCCAATTGATCTAACTGCTATCTTTTATAGTAAAAGAAAAAACGTGTTTCAGATTCTCGATCCAACCCAGGATCAGGTGTTGAATTTAGTCGTTATATCTCCATTAGTTTCCTTCAATATGGAAGTCTTCATGACTTAGACTTTTTTTCAAGAGCATGGGCCAATTATTTTTTAGAAGATCCCTCCATTTAGATTTATCTGATGTTTCCTTATGGGTTGGTTGTGGTTTGTGTTTTTGGTAGGAATATTGCAGGAATGATGCTGCATCCTAAATACTGATTTTTAAAAGGTGATCATTTCAAACAGTTTGGCATTTAGGAATATTTGGAAGCATCACAGAGTGGTCATAATCCCAGGCCTTAGGATCACTTGCTGGATATACAGTTTGGGAGCGTGAGCTTGAGAGAGTCGCTTTACCCCTCTGAGGTTTACTTTCCATCTGTAAAATGGAAAGAGTGGCTTACATGTATTGAACATTTACTATTGTCACAGGTTTCTTCAAATGCCTTATAGGTAGTGGCTTATTTCATCCTAATGACAACTCTATGACAGAGGTATTTTAAAAATGTTATCCTCCTTTTACAGATGAAGAAAATGAGGTACAGAGAGGTTAAGTAGCTTGCCCAAAGTCACACAGCTGATACATGGTAGAGATGAGATTCCAACCCAGTTGCTCTGTCTCTGAAGCCTGCCTGGTTAGTCACCACACCATATTAACATCTTAAAATTATACCTTAGAAGGTTGTTTGTGAAAAATACAGAAGGATAGGTAGGGCAAGCATCTAACCCTGTGCTTGGCACATAATAAACACTAATAATTTTAATATTTTTCTTTATTTCATTTGTTTCTTATTTTACAAATGACTTGGTTAAGGAGATGCTTCAACTGAATGATATTAAATGATCAGGAACATAAGGCTGTCCCTAGAACAGCTGACATTTATGAGTCCCCTGGACCTCATGAAGCGCTGACATCAACCTTGGGCTGTGGGAAGGGGTGAAGGAGAGGAGGGCAGCTCTCATCTATAAGTGCCCAATGCATAGATCCTAGGCATTCACAGACAGTCAGTGCCTAGTGGCGGCTTGGCTCACCAAGGGAAGCCTGGTGAGGAGACCCCCAAAGCTTTGGAAGTCTTTGGAGGTGCCTTAACCTCTTGATGGCATTTTTTTTCAGGCTGTCATAAAAGTGTGTTCACATTTCCCTCGTTTTAGGGGGACACAGGGAGAGGTAGCCAAATCAGATCCTGTTGGTCAGGACCAGCGATACTTTGAGATTAGAATGTGTGATATCAGAGAGGGATGGAGGAGGTCGTTTAAAGTGAGCTGAGTTCATCAAATTTTTGCAGGAATAACCAGTTTTTTTTTTCCTTTCCTGGATGGGAGAGATATCAAACCCTGTAGGACAGGGTTATGGGCCGGATTTCATGGGCAGGTTTCAGGGACTGTGTGAAGTCCTTTAATTATATACACAGAATTGTGAGTGAACATGTATGTGTTTACATGTATTTTCCCAGAGAGAGAGTCCCGGTGTTTATCAAACTCTCAAAATGTTCTGTTACTTAAAACAGAAAAAAGAAAAATCCTTAGTGGTAGGGAGAGAATATGAAAGAGAAAGGGAGAGATTCAGAGTAAGAGACAGAAGATCAAGATCATCTCACTATAGTTATATAAGAAGTTGCTAGGAAACCATTCATTGACTGTGAATTATAAACATTTTCTTCTTAACTCAAAATAGATAGACCTCATATCAGTCTGATCATGAGAACACAACTGTTTATGAGCTGGGAAGGACTGGGGCTGTGTGTGTTTTTTGTGTGTGCACTTGTGTGTGTGTGCGCGCACACACACACGTGTAGGGAGGTAGGGATGGGATAGAAAGGAAGGAAGGAAGGTGGGTGGAACAGAGCTCGCCAGGGAATGCAGAGATTAGGTATGTGGGTTTCTTCTATAGAGCCTTAAGAAGGAGCAGAAGCTTTCCTGCAGCTAGCCTTCAGTGGATACCCCATAATTATGATCCTGGATGGCAGTGATGGTGGCCACAAAGTGACAGAACCTGTCCTTAGTGACCCAATGAATACTTGAGGATTTCTGCTATCCTTCAAATCTGCAAACCTCACAGAAGACTCATGTCTCCTGAAAGGGAAAACAGAAGTGAAAAAGGCTGCTTAGCTGTTTAACCTCTGCTTCTCCAGTGGAGTGCTTTTAACTCTGGGGGCCTCATTCTGGGAGTGGCTTTGGCCTGTCTCAGGTAGGTTATAGAGACAAGTGACCAGACTTCCTGGATGTTCAGGGCATCCTGATTTCACATTCTTGATTCATTGGTTAGAGTTTTCTAGCTTGGCTCCATCCCTTTGAGGGTCTGTCCCCTTCTGGAAGATTTCCAGAAGTCTGGACCCATCCCCTGACTCTCCAAAAAAAACAAAACAAAACAAAAAAAAACCTCAGAGAACATGAGGGATGAGGGCTGAGGACTGAAGGCTTCAGCATCTGACTCTGCCCTACTACCTAGTGGGGTCTTACTCATTTCTTTCCTCTCTGTTGAAGACCTTTTTGCCAGTTCCCTGTCCTTGCCTCTTCTAAGTCATTCATTCATTCATTCATTCATTCAAAGACATTTATGAAGGCCTAGCATGTGCCAAGCACCAGTGCTATTAATAGATGCTGAGTGTTCCCAGGGGAACAGCATAAGATGTAACCTCTGCTATCATAGCCCGACACCCACAGCTTAGTGGATGTTACACACAAGTGAACAAGCAGCTAAAAGACAGATGCTGGGTGCTCTGATGGGGGATGCAAAGGGAAGAGGGCCCCTAACTCAGCCTGAAGGTGCATTAGATAATATCTTTAGAAGGGAAGATATCCCTTATGGGTTGTGAAGGATGAGAAAGAATTTTCCAGGCAAACGAAGGCTGGGAGAATGGGCTGGGGAAGTCCATTGCAGATAGAAAAAGCACAATGTACAAAGGTAGGGAAACAAAAACCAGGGTACTGGGTTTAGGTAACTGCCTGTAGTTCAGAGGGAAGGTTAGATGCAAGAGCTTGTGGGCTATGAGGCTGGGGGAAGTCACAGGGCTTTTCCATGGCCAGGTGCTTGGCCTTTTATACCAAGGGGATAGGAACCAGTTAAGGTTCTTATCAGGGTCAGATTGCACTTAAAAATCTTCTTCTGGCTTCAGTGGCAAGAGTGGATTGGAGAATGGACAAGATGGGAGGCCACGAGACTAGCTGGGAGGCTGTCACAATACAAATAGAAATGAGGGCGACTGAGAGGATGCAGTAGCAGTTTTTATTAATGTGGTGCCCTGTCACTAGGTCCGTAAAAATTACTGACTTCATTCCAGTGGAGATGACCTTACATCAATTAAAAATGACCCTCTTTGTCCAATATACAGCACACTTTTGCTTTGCTTTCTGCATTATTTGTAATGGCTTTGATACCACGGCTTTCTCTTTGTTCCTGTCTGTCTGTATGTCTGAGGACACAGGGGCTCTGGGTTGAAGAATGTTATCTAGCAGGTTGGTAACTAGAGGTCAAATCAGCTTTCACCAAGTAAAACATGAGGAATTTGTGGGAAAAAAGCAAGGCTGGATAACCCCTACATACTTCAATGATACGATGTGGCAAAAAAAAAAAAAAAAAAAATGCTTATACACAAAAAGGCTGTGACAACTTCTAAGTCAAAGAGTGTTCCAGCTTCAATTGTAAACCTAACATGCCCACAGGTAGGTCAGGGTCCTAGGAGTATGTAAGAGGCACCCTAGCAGTAGGAATCAAAGAAAAAAGCCAGGAGAGAGATGGAGATGGAATAATGACCATGATAGTTTGATTTTTACTGGCTCTGCTTATGATTTTCCCTGGAGTTAGAAGCTGTGGTGTCAAACTGAGATCATGAATCCATTCTCCCGCCTGCTTTTGCTGAGACATTGCAAATCAGTTGGTCAGATGTTCATCCGTCTTTTTATATTTAACCATTTTAGGCTATTTTCTTCTAGGTGAATCTCTTATAATCAGTATGTAATTAAACATTGTTTTCCTTTCTTATACACTCAAAGTCTATGACTTTTAATAGGATTAACACATTTTATTTATACAACTTATGTTTTTGGTATCACACATGTGATTTTATTTTATGCTTTCTGATTTTTTATGTATTCCTATTTCTTTCTCCCTCATTTTTTCCAGGTTATATAGATGATTTTGTTTACTACTTATCTTCAGCAGTAACTTGAAAGCTAAGAATTCTGTTTTATATTCTACTGTGGTCTAGTTGTCTTCATCTAGTTGTCTTTGAGATTATAAAAGATGTATTGAAACCTATATTTCTCTAATTATCAGAATTGAGGGCCAAATGATAATTTTTAATCTCCCAGTATGTGAAGATTTAGTTTACCTTTCATCTTATCATCATCAATCATCATCATCATTATATTTTTTTTTTTGTAAAACCATGTAAATTTTACTTTTCAGTGTAGTTTGGGGCTTTGAATTAAAATGTGTGTAATGGTTATTCATAAGTACCTTAACATATTTAACCAGTTTCCATGTTCACACCCAATCTTTTATTCCATGACAGTTCTACTCTCCCATCCATGTTGTAGCAGCACCCACACCCACTCTCTTTGCCTGCTCTCTTTTTACTGTAAATGTACTGTTCTAAATCCAATCACTCAAGAAAATCTGCAGAAATTCTCCCTCTTTCTCCCATATTACTGTATTAGTCCATTTTCATGCTGCTGACAAAGACTGGGAAGAAAAAGAGGTTGAATGGACTTACAGTTCCACATGGCTCAGGAGGCCTCACAATCATGATGGAAGGCAAGAAAAAGCAAGTCACATTTTACATGGATGGCAGCAGGCAAAGAGAGAGCTTGTGCAGGGAAACTCCCATTTTTAAAACCATTAGAACTTATGAGACTCATTCACTATCATGAGAACAGCAGAGGAAAGACCTGCCCCCATAATTCAATCACCTCCCACTGGGTTCTTCCCGTGACACCTGAAAATTGTGAGAGTTACAATTCAAGATGAGATTTGGGTGGGGACACAACCAAACCGTATCAATTAGCAATCTTTGCTTATTACTAGATTAAACCCACAAACATACACATATGTTGTTATCCTTACCATCGTGAAAACTAACAAACTTCTTGAGACTCTGCTTCCCCAAAGCCATTCTATTCTTTGCTTCCCTTTGAAACAAAATTCTCTCCTTTTCTTCCACTCTCTCATAAGCCCACTCCAATTGGGCTTCTGCTACTGTGGTCCCCAAGCCTAACCTGAGACCTTATCCCATGGTAAATTCTCAGTCCTTATCTTACTTGCCCTATCAGTTGCATATACAAAGCTAATAACTTTCTCCTTGATTTACTACCCTTGGCTTTCAGGGTACCACACCCTCTTGGTTTTACTCTTATCTCTCTGGCCACTCCTCTGTTTCCTTTGCTGATTTTTCCTCTGTTGTTGTGGGACAGCCTTAATAATTGGACTTGGTCTTCTTCTCTATTACCCCCATTCCCTTGATAATCCCACCCAGCCTCATGGATGGATTTAAATTTCATTCATATGCTGAAAACTCTGAAATTCACGTTTCCATCCCAGATCTCTCATCTGAACTCCAGACTCACACATCTAACTGCATACTCAACATCTCCACTTGTATGTCTAATGGATTTTTCAAACTTAACATGTCAAAAAATGAACTTCTAATTTTCATCCTGAGCCTGTTCCCCTCAAGGTTTTCCCCAGCTTAGTCAATTGATATAAATTCCATCCTTCTGGTTAGTTAGGCCAAAAACTTTATTTTTTAAGTCAAGATCTCACTCTGTCGGCCAGGCTGGAGTGCAGTGACATACCTCAAACTCCTCACTGCAGCCTCAAACTCCTGGGCTTAAGTGACCCTCCTGCCTCAGCCTCCTGAGTAGCAAGGGCTACAGGCATGTGCAACTGTGACCAGCTAACTCTTTAACTGTTTTTGTAGAGACAGGGTCTTGCTATGTTGCCCAGGCTGATTGCAACCTCCTGGCCTCAAAGCAATCTTCCCTCCTTGGTGTCTCAAAGTGCTGGGATTTATAGGTGTGAGCTACTGTGCCCAGCCAAGGCCGAAAATTTGGATACATCCTTGATTCTTCTCTCATACACCATAAGCAATCCATCTGGAAATCCTATTGACTCTATTTTCAAATATATCGGGAATATGTCCATTTTCCCCACTCTGCTATTTCCATCTTGGCTTGAGCTGCTGTCTTCATTCAAAGAGGTTACTGCCTAGTCTCGTAAACTTTATCCTGCTTCCATCTTTGACCCCCATCATCTAGCCACAATACAGTACCCAGAGTGACCCGTTTAGAGTCAGTGTATACCCATACTAGGAATATGTCATAAAACTAATATTTGTTCTACCAAAAATCACAGCAGTAAAATTTATGAATCAGGGAACTGATCCTTTTAATATTAAGTGAAAGTACCATATTACCATGAAGTAATTTTCAGTTAATTTACAGAATTTTCAGCTCTACTCAGAGCTGTCAATACATGAGTTCATTTTATTCTTCATCTTTGAATAATGGCCTCTGATTTGTGTCTAGCTCAGATCTACCTTTCATTTTTAAAAGCCAGTGTTCAGGAAATAAGTTCAGAACACTCAAAGAATTATCAGTTACATTGAAATTTCATTCTGAGCTCAAAATGTATTTTGAGATTTCCTTCTGGAAACCTGAATTGGTGAGCCCTACAGCCCCTGCTCATTTTGAGAATTAATATTTTATAATATTTATAATATTTTAAAAGAAAATTATTCTGATTTAAAATATAACTTCTAAAGGTTTGTATTATTCTTTTTATAATTTAAAAATATTTGACAAATAAAAAGCAATACTGTATATTGAAGACATACAAGGTGATGCTTTGATATATGAATACATTGTGTGATGATTACCACATTTAAGACATCTATCACCACCCATCATTACTGTGTGTGTGTGCGTGTGTGTGTGTATGTGTGTGATGAGGATGACACTTAAAAATCTGCTCTCTTATCAAATTTCAAGTAAAAAACACATTATTATTATTATTATTATTTTATTTTTTGAGACAGAGTTTTTCTCTGTTGCCTAGGCTGGAGTGCAGTGGCATGATATCTGCTCATTGCAACCTCCGCCTCCTGGGTTCAAGCAATTCTCCTGCCTCAGCCTCCTGAGTAGTTGGGATTACAGGTGCACGCCACCATGCCCAGCTAATTTTTTGTACTTTTAATAGAGATGGGGTTTCACCCTATTGGCCAGACTGGTCTCAAACTCCTGAACTCAGGTGATCTGCCCACCTTGGCCTCCCAAAGTTTTGGGATTACAGGCGTGAGCCACTGTGCCCAGCAAAAACACAGTATTATTAACAATAGTTGCCATGCTGTACATTAGATCCCAGAACTTATTCATCTTATAATTGGAACATTGTGTCCTTTGACCAACATCTCCCCATCTCCCTTCCTGGGTTCAAATCTTACCTTTAACAATGACAAAATCGGTAATTTTAGGTAAATTTATTACCTGCTCTGGGCCTCAGTTTCCTTATCTGTAAAATGGAGATAATGTCACATGCCTCATATGTTTGCTGTGTAAATTAAATGAGATGCATGCAAGTACTTTTTTACATGCAAGTAATTTTTTAAGAAGAGTCAATCAGATCATGCCACACGTCTCCTAAATCCCTAGGAGCTCCTGTTTCCTGCTGAGAAAAAGTCAAAAGCCTTACAAGGGCCTCTAAGGCCTCGTGGTATGGCCTCTCCTCACCCTGTGTCGCCATCTCCTCCCTTGCTCACTCCAACCACCCTGGACACACCCTCCACCCCTGGGGCTTTGCATGGGCTGTTCCCTCTGCCTGACACACCATTTCCCCAGATACCCACAAGCTTGCTTCCTCACCTTCAAATCTTTCCTCAAATGCCACCATCTCAGTCCAGCCTGCCCTAAATACCCTAATGCAAGTTACAAACTGCAACTTCACAACCCAGCACTTCTCATCCCCTACCTGCTCTATTTCTGTGACCCCCCACTCCTTTTCTTTTCACAGCACAGATGACCTTTTAATTTGCTAAATAACTTCCTTATTCATCTTGCTTGTTTGTTGTCTATTTCTCCCTGCTAAGCTCCATGGGGCAGAGCTCTGTATGTGCTTTGTTTCACTCTCATATCCCAAGTACCTAGGACAGTGCCTGGCACATAGTAGGTGCTGAATCCATGCCTGAAGAAGCAACAGTTTTCTTTTTCTTTGCACCTTTGTCTTCATCTCAGTTCATCTGCTTCTTCTGTTCTCTTGTGATGATAAGGATGCCAAGCAGATACATGTCTTTTAAACACTTTGTGTGCCTTGTAGAGAATTATTATCAGTGCTGTTTTACTTTTAGTCTTCAAAAGATTGCTCTGTCCTTTAAGCTGCAGAATCTTTTCATAAATGTATAGTTTTTCTTTCTGTTTGCTGACCCTTCCGTGAAGAGCTTTAGGTCTATCCTAGCCTCAAGTTTGCCAGTAGAGAGGGCTGGAGAAATTAGCATCTTTAGTGCCACTTAGTGTCCACCAGGATAACAGGAGGCCCCTCCTCTGGGATGTAAGCCCAAAGCTCAGGTGTGCCCTTCAAGTGTAGGTATGCCTGAGCAACGTGGTCTTCTGCTCCTACTGATGTGTTCTCTGAATTAGGGCATTTTTAATGTAATCTTTGAAAACCAAAGGCCCTGAGAAATTCCTCCCACCTCCTTCACCCTTCTTCCTGCTTGCACTCCTTTCAGAACTGTTTTCTTTGCAACACACCCAAATATCTAGAGATAGTGCCATGTTAATGCTGGGAATAGTATTTCTAGAATGATCTGCAGATGGAGGAGCTGATGGGGTGAAGAGAGGATCAGGGATCTAGCTATCTCAAAAGGCAGTTTCTGTGTAGTTTGGAGAGACAGTGTGAATGAGTCAGTGAGTTGGCTTTGAGGGTTCTGGTGCTCTGGTTCAAGGTGGAGCATGAGAGACAAGACTCCAGAATGTGCTTTCCAGTGGACCCCCTCCCACAAAGAAGTCAGCAGAACTTCTTCTAATTTAATCTTTGCTTTTCTTTTGTTTGCTCTGTTGAAGATGTTTTTCTCCTCTGATGCATCTCCATTTAAATGGGATTTAAATCGGAGGTTTGGAGGAGGCATATATGGGAAGTTGCAATTGCTGTTGTAGTAACTCTTACCTTACTCCACTATTCCATGAGTCATCCTTACTTAATTCCCTTTGCATTCCAATAACCCATTTGATTGACATACTGGATATTTTACAATCTCCTGTCTTTTCCTTGTCACAGACCCTGCTATCTCCGTTGAACTATGGCGCAATTCCCCTCAATCACTTTTTCTTGGCTACTGATTCTTCAAGGCTTAACTCAAGTGCCATTTCCCTTCTGGAAGCCTTTCTGATCTTACTAGTCAGTGTGTAATCATTATTTTTCAACAAGTATCTATTGAGTGCCTACTATGTGCCAAGTTCTGTGATAGGTGCTGGAGATGAAATGGAGAGAGAAACACACCTATTTCCCACTCATGGTTGAGTGCTGGGGGTAGAAATGAATAACATCATCATAATTAAGTGGGGGCTGAGGATAGGGTGGGCTTCTTCCCCCGACCCAGTGTTTCTTTCATGTGGGAGGAGCTCTGCCACTGTAAGGCTACTGGACATTCTCTACCTCTTCCCTCATTCCTTCCAGGTGAAAAGAAGTAAATTTTTCACTAGTAAACTTGGGAAAAGGAACTGGGAATCAGTGTCACAAACCCTTCTTCCCCTTTTCTCTGTTATATAATCCACTTTGCAGGAAACACACATTCTGCTTAGCTTCTCCAAAAATTGAATTTTACACAGCTAGTTCCCAGTGTGGAGCCAGTGACAACCCAACACTGTTTGCAACTAACCAAGTGGGTAAGTTGGTCTGATTCTGGGATTTCTTATGAAGAAGTTTACTTGGCCATAGACCTTTCTCTAATGTTAGCTCCTTTTAAAATTTTCTCTCTCAATTGATTCAGAAGCAGGGAAAAAGGGTGGCATGAGTTGGGCTTTCTCAAACCTCAATGGTAGTATGGAAAGTAAAAATTTAAACGGACCTCCACTCCCTTCACTATGTCTTGTGGTGCCTTTCTCAAATCTCTTTTAATGATATTTATTAGACTGCTGTAATAATATTCATATATGTCTACTCCTCTAGAGGGTTAGTCTCTGCCTCTGACTGTGCAATTTGTGCACTGGACAGTGTTCCTGGCCTACAGGGCAAGTGGGAGCTAATATCTGACCAGTGCTGTGTTTCTTAGTAGTTGTGTCTTTGCCTGGCATTGTGTCAGTTTAGTGGGCAAGGCATCTTTTTGTAATTTGCACAAAAGTTTCTTATGTGCCAGCAAAGCCCTATATCCTTGTATTGATGAATAAATAAGTGTTTGTTCCTTAGATGGGCAGCACTATTGCCTTATTTAACTGTAATCATACAGAAGGGAGGAATCACAACCATTTAACTCATTTTTCATCATCTCTTATTAAGTACAATAAGCCAATACACCAGGCACAACCCAGGCAGAATTGTGGAGGGAGTATATCTGCTTTCCCACGCCATTTCCTTAGCATCCTTTATTATTGTTGTTATTGTTACTATCATTATTATTTGCAGTTAAGAGCAATAGAAAAAAAACAATGGACTGAATTCAAGAAACCTAAAATCTGAACCTTAGTTTTACTATATCTAAATGGAAGTCCTGTAGATCTCAATGGATTGTGGTAAAGATAAAGTAACATAATATATGCAAAAAAGTATTGCACACCATACATTTATGCAGATGTTAGGGGCTATTACTATCATTCCTTGATTGCTTAAATTATATGCAGGAGCATTTACCAGCTCAGTTAGTGTGTAAGCCTCACACTGACAATGTTGATTCTAATGGGAACAGTGTAACACACTTATTTCTGGAAAATACCTAGAGTCATCTCTCTGAATTATTCATTTTCCGACTGTGTGTGTGGTTGTTTTCAGATTTTGTGATATAATTTGGAGGTTCTAAACCTACATGCCAAAAGGCATTCTCCTTAGCATCTGGACTTCTTTCTCTGCATATGTTTCCTTCTCCTTCTGTTGCTTAGGGGTTGTTTACAGGGATGATTTCAAACAGATTCCACTTGATGAAGCCATTCTTCTCATTAATGGGATTACACCCCAGTTCACAGTTTTTTCTAACCAAGGGTATGCTAGCAGAGCAGCATTCTTACAGTGTCTGTTAATTTGAAGGTCCTTATGGGAGTGTTATCTGATGATTTTGTAGAAAAGGGCAGAAAGCCAGGGCTATCCTGGATAGATATACTAGAAGGTAGAGGTTGACAGCATCAACATTAATTCTTTGTATTTTCCCAATAATCTTCCTTACCGTAGGTCCCAAGAAATATGTAGTGCAGAACATGGAGAGTAGAAGAGGTATTTATTCCACCTGCAAAGGCAAAGGCAAAGTCAAAACAGGAATCGCAGACAGTCTAATGGCTAACGACATGAATACCAGGAGGGAGTTGGAGATATCCAACCATTGGAATTAGTAGGCTTGGGTTCAAATCCCAGCTCTACCACTTACTTTGCATTAGCCTAGTTTTCTTGTCTGCAAAATGTGGCTAAGAGTACTCACTCCACAGCACTTGCAGAAAGGAATACATTTTGCAAGTAGATTAGATTAAATAAGGAATAAGAATAGGAATAAGAATTAAATAAGTAAGATTAAATAAGAAATACATTCTTAGAAAAATGCCTAGCAAACTCATCACCCATGATATGGTCACTGTGTTTATAATTATTATATCAGTAATAATGTATTAACCAATAGTTTTGGGATACTATAAAAATAGATAATGCAGTCATGGTGGTTAAGAACTTGGGAAGCTAGTTGAACTGAGTTCAAAACCCAGCTCTGCTATTTACAAGCTGTGTGAACTTGGACAAGTAGCTCAACCTCCCTAGGCCTTGGTTTCTTCCTCCATAAAATAGGAATAAAATCAGTATCTACTTCACATGCTTATAAGAGACCTAAATTTTATGAGAAAGCAAAGTATCTTTGGTTGGCCTTTTTTTTTCCCTTCTGTGCTTTGAATATATCATTCCACTCTCTCCTGGTCTGCAAGGTTTCTGCTGAGAGATCCACTGATAGCTGTACTGGGGCTCCCTTAAATGTGATATGTTCTTATCTCTTGCTGCTTTCAGTATTCTTTCTTTATCTTTGATTTTTGATAATTTGGTTATCTTGTTTTTTGGTGAACTCCTCTTTGGGTTGAATTTGATTGGGGATCCCTGAGCTTCCTGTACCTGGATATTGTCATTTCCCTCAGATTTGGGGAACTGTCAGCCATTATTTTCTTTCCTTTGTTAAAATTTTTATTATTTTATTTTATTTTTCCATTAGTTATTGAGGTACAGGTGGTATTTGGTTACATGAGTAAGTTCTTTAGTGGCGATTTGTGAGATTTTGGTGCACCCATCACTTGAGAAGTATACACTGCACCATATTTGTAGTCTTTTATCCCTCGCCCCCTCCCACTCTTCCCCCCAAGTCCCCAAAGTCCATTGTATCATTCTTATGCCTTTGCATCCTCATAGCTTCCCTCCCACATACCAGTGAGAACATACGATGTTTGGTTTTCCATTACTGAGTTACTTCACTTAGAATAATAGTCTCCAATCTCATCCAGGTCACTGCAAATGCTTTCTGGGCCTTTTCCTCTCTCTCTCTTCTTTCAAAAATTCTGTTATGTGAAAGTTGGTTCCTTTGATGGTGTCCAATAATTCCTGTAGGACTTCTTTATTCTTTTTCTTTTTGCTCCTCTGATATAACAATTTCAAATGTCCTACATTTAAACTCACTGATTCTTCTGTTTGATCAAATCTGTTGTTGACACTTTCTATTAATTTTTTTAGTTCAGTTATTCTTTTACTTATCTCTAGAATTTCTATTTGTTTCTATTTCTTTGTCAAACTTCTCATTGTATTCATTAATTGTTTTTGAAGTTTTATTTAATTTTCTATTTATATTATCTTGAATTTTCCTGAACTTCTTTAAAAGGAATATTCTGAATTTTTTGTCAGTGATTGCATACATCTCCATTTCTTCAGCGTCCATTATTGGAGCTTTATTAATTTCTTTTGATGTTGTCATATTTCCCTGATTTTCCATAATCGTTGTGTTCTTGCATTGGTGCCTGTTCATCTGAGGATATAACCACTTCTTCTGTCATTTTCAGGTGTTCTTTGGTGGTGATAGACCTTTACTATTTAATCTAGCCTTGGATTCTAGATGGCCAGCTGGTAGTGATCCCATATAGACAGACTTTGGTGTCAGGTTCTATAGTTGAGCTGTGCCATTTCTTGTGCTCTAAAGTTATATGGCACTGCTGGCTGTCCTCTGCGGTCTGTTGAGACCACTGTCTGGACTCTGTAGTCAGGCGGAGCTGCTGGCTGGGCTCTGTGGTCATCTCTAACTGGGCAGGATTGCTGGTTGCCTTCTTTGGCTGGGTGGTACTGTTGTTTGTAATCTGTAGTTGGTCAGGGCTGCGTGCTGGGCTCTGAGGCTGGGTGAGATTTCTGCGGTTGTTGCTTGGCCACATGGGGTGGCCAGGGCCAGAGGCTATGTCCACAGATATGTGTAGGCTTGGGTTTGCCTCCCAGCCTAACATAGCCTCAGGCAGAGCACTGAGGCTTGGTGGAGTCACTGCTCAGCTGCTGGGGTTGTGTGGGGTCAGATGTTCCATATGTGGGTAAATGCTGACTTGCACTTGCTTCTCAGCCTGAAGAGGGATTAAGGAGAGCTGGGGCTTGGTTGGATCACAGCTCAGCCTCTGGGTTGTGCAGGGCCAGATGCTCCCTCCATGGGTAAATACTGACCTGCACTTGCCACCCAGCCTGGAGAAGGCTTAAGGAGAGTATCAAGTTTGGGTGGGGAAGCTGGCTAGGGACTTGAGCTTGCGGAGCTGTAGGCAGTGCTTCCTGCAGAGCTATGCTGTTGGGTAGTCTCTTTTATGTGGCTCCACTGTTGGCTGGAATACAGAGCCATTGCCAAGATCTGGGTTCTTGTCACTATAGGCCCCACTACTATTTTGTTTTTTAACTGGTAATGTAGCTCTGCTGGTACACCCAATGTTTCCCATGGGATGAAACAGGGATGAGCCTCCTGCAGGGGGTCCAAAATGGTAGGAAAGTTGAATGTCCACCATGGGCCCAGGGGAATCCTGTGTGTGGTGCAATGCCTGCTTGGGGGAGGGTTGATGAGGTCAAATAGAAACCATCACTCTTACCCTTCAAATGAGGTGTTCCTCAGTTCTGCAGTCCCAAAGGGTGTCTTAGCCTCACTCCAGAGTTCTGAGATATTCATGAAGGTTTTGTTTTCTATGGATAGTTACTAGCTGGATTTCTGTGGATGTGTGTGTGTGTGGGTAGAGCCAGAGAACTCCTATCCTGCCATCATATTCACTCACAAACCTTCACAGTCCCCTCTGTGGGGGCGTGCATATCTGTTTGTCCCCATTGTATTTGTATAGTTAGATATTTCACTTCTTCATCCATGATCTAATCTGCTCAGAGAGATTCACTCAACCATCTATCCACTGAATAAATATTCACGGAATGCCTACTATGTTCCAGGCACTGTCCTGCACAATAGGAATACAGTGGTGAATAATCAACCCCAAAAGGTAAGGTTTCTCCCCCATGGAGCTTGTCTTCTAGTGGGAGAGCCAGGAGATACGTATAAAACATGTACTATAGTGTCTGGCACTTATAAAATGATGCATTATGAAGAAAGCGAATTGAGCATCTTGGCTCTTGCTATGACACAAAGAATATTTTATTCTTGGTTTTATCCCTCCACATCCAGAGCAGCAAGTGACTGACCTCTTTGTTCAAGTAACTGCTCTCTTTTCACATTTTAGTCTCTGAATCAATAGTGTATGCCTAAAAGACATCACAGTAATCAGCACTGAGTATCTCTGGTTCTCCTATGAAGCACAGAGGCTGACACAGCCAGGAACTGAATGAGAGGGCAATAAGAGGTGAGACCTAATAGAATAGCTAGACTTTTCCATAACATAGAAGAAAATAATTAGGGATGCTCAATTTGACCCAAATCTTGGTCAAAACGTATGGCTTCAGTTGGTAGTAGCTGGCAGGGAACAGCTGATTTTGCCCTGACTGGTCCCTTTCGGTTAAAGCAGGAAGACATTTAGTTAGCCTGATTCATTGAACTATTTAACATCCACTAGATATTCTTTATTTTACCATTATTTATGACTTGCTGAGTCCTGGCAGTAAGTTCCCTAAGAAATAAGATGCAGGCGGAAGGCATGGCTGGGGCTGAGGAAGTTCCAAGGTAGGGAAGAGAGAAACCAAAGCCTCTTCAGCTCTCACGAGGCAGATGGACTGAGAAGGTGGTGACATCTCCAAGATGTGAGCTCGGCTTATTCTTGTTCCCTGGATTCCTTCCACACCTCCGACTCTTTCTCTGCTTCCTGTTCCCTTCCCTCCCTCTTCTCGGGGATACACCTCCCCCTGGCAGGCTGGCCTTGGTGGTATCCAGTGAAGCACGCGTTCAACCCACAGCCCAGTTATCTCTGGGATTTGGTTTACAAGCCCTGGCATCACATTTTATTTTTATAAATGTCGAGAGGAAAGAGAGATTGAAGAAGGAGGCGTGAGGAGGAAGGAGAGATGCACACACCGAGGCCCAATTACTCCCAAGAAGAGGAGCAGATGTTTCTCACGTTACATTTTCCACTTCTGGAATGGCTGTGACATGGGGTATCATCCCTGGCGCCCCCAGGGCTCGAGGTGGGGGGTCTGACCAGAAGCCCGAGGTGAGCCAGCAGTCCTCCCCAACTCGGCTCTGGTCACGCACGGGGCCCCGAGGAGCCCACACGCTGTTTACATTCCCTTCCAGGGATCCACTGGGAAGGAGCGTTCTGATTGCCAAACATCCTCATGTTGCCTCCAGAAGCCTTTGCTTGGATGCCATCCCGGCTGACCCCAGCCCATCCCAGGGCTGACCCCGTGCCCAGGGCAGCCTTTCAAACCTTTCCATCCTCACCCTCTTCCCCCGACTGCCCCCGAACCAGCATCTTTGCTCAGCTGCCCTTTGAACTTGCTTAATTCCCACACAGATTCTGACTAGCGGCCCTGGGAGCTCAGTGAGACCCTCCTAAGTCGTCGTGTGCACACGCAGGGCTACAGACTAAACACTGAGTCACTACTCACTTGTTGCTCTCCCCGAAGCTCTGGTTTCAGAGGGAGGACCTGAGGGCTTTACTGAGAGAAATAGTTTCCCCCTTTTCTTGCTGGGTGGTTTTAAGGTGCGGCAGCGGCAAGATTGCTGGGAAAGTTGTGGGTGGGCCTAGGGCCAAGTACAATGAAGGTATCACTGGGTCAGCATTTGGTTTGAGAGCCTACCCTGGCCCCTCCCTCCCCCTCCACCTCCAGACTCCCACCCTACTCCCGCCAGGAAGGGTGGCTTCTAACATTACCACCACTCTATGCTTAACAAAAGAAGTGGCAGTCATGCCGGCTGATCCTCTCCACAGCCCTGTAGGGGAAGCGAGAAGAGGTTCTCCCATTCTGCAGATGAAGAAATGAAATTCCAAGGGGACAGAAGACTAGTAACTGAGCTCTGGCTAAGACAGCACTGGAGACTGTCTTAGCCCAGTGCTGTCATCCCTGCAGGCGGCTGCAGGAAACAGCTGGATTGTATAATGAGAAAAGAGGGACTGGAGAATTTAATGTTGCATTGTTAAGAAACTGGCCTCCCACAGTGAAATGATCAAGGTGCGGCTCATAGGCCAACTAGCCATTTGTTCAGTGGCTGCACTGATCCAAACACTGCAATTTTCCATGGGCCGGGAAGGGTGCAGCAAGATCTGTGAGCTCTTAAGAACTTGACCAAGTAGCCAGGAGCCTGAATATTTGTTTAGCTTGCTAAGCAGGGACTGACTTATCCTGAGCAGTCTGTGGACTTGAATGCTTCATGTGGTTGTCTGAAGGTTTGGGTTTGTCCGTTCATGAATGGGAGGGCAGTCTGGTCATTTTGTATCTTAGAGAGACAGTTTAAGGGTCATGACCAGTCACCATGAAGGCGTTTCCAAGAGGGAATCCACATTGAAGTCGAGGACCAGCAAATCCTATTTCCTTCAAGTGTCAGTATTTCATATCACCCTGTTTCTCTTTTGTCTGTTCCTTGTTGATAGCTCTATTGATGGATAGAAGGAGGCTGTGGTGAGGGAGTGAGGGATGTTTGGCATGAGCGCCAGGTGTGTGATGTCAGCAAGAGGGCAGGTTGTGGAACCTTTTATTGAGATGGGTCAGGAGGATATTTGATGGTGGTGCTCTGGGTCAATCATGACATTACTTTGGAACATGTTTAGTTGGAAGAAGTTGGAGTGAAGAAGGAGAGGAAGATGAGAGAAGCAGTTTATATTTTAGCATGCCATACATTTCTGGCACATTTTTAAAACATAAAACCCCAAAGCTGGAGGATTCTCTTCCATCCACATTTCAAATCTTAGGAAAGCATCCAGTTAATACCACTGACCCTCCAACTTACCCTCCAACTCAGTCTGTCTCATAAAACCATTTCCCAGGGAGAAGGTAATAAAGGGAGAGTCTGATTGAGGTTCCTCTCAGTGCAATATTCTTGTATATTTTCCCCCATGACCTGCACATCCATAGAAATGGAACTGAAACAAAAGTTTCACAAATCTATGTTTACCCTTATTGCCTACAATGAATTCTGCTATGTTCTATTTCATTGTATTTTATGTCACTTACAAAATGTACTAGTTGACCCATTAATAGCATGATCTGAAAAACTCTGCTAGAGAAATCTTTGTAAATGGTCTCAACAGCTTCTCATAAAATGGATGCACTTTTAGTCTTGTGGCCCAAACCCTACAGACAATGTCAGTAATAGCCAGGTGCTCACTGTTGTCTACTGAACAGGGAGTGGGAAGATGGCAAAAATTTCAAATCCTCAAACAGATTATTACCAAAAAAATGACTACACAATAAAGATCCATGAGGTGACATGGGGGAATATCAGAAGAGAAATGAGATAACCAATTTAGCTTCATTTGTTCTGCCCCCTGGCCTTTGTTCATGCTGTTTCTTTCTCCTGAAACACTTCCCAGCTGCTCCATCCAAAGTCTGACAGTCTCTCAAGGCTCACCTCTTCCAGGAAGTCTTCCCTGACTGACCTTCCCTGCTCAGGGCTTTTAAAAAATGCTTGACCCTACCACTCATTTCACATGTCATCATGCCTGGCCAGCTGAGTCTGAACCCCTTAATGTTATAGTTTGTAGTTGATCTCTTTTAGAGAGTTTGCCTGGCTTTATATACTACCTGGACACTGTGTTTGTGAAGTAGTCTCCTGCCCCTGGGTCCCAGCTGAGTGAACTAGGGGTGGGCACCTGACCAAAGCTGGGCCAATCACAGTCTTTCGCTGGGAACCTGGAATGAGAAAGAAGAGAAGAGAGTGAGGGTATAAAAGAGAGAGAGGGGGGGAGAGAGAGAGAGAGAGAAGAAGAAGAAGGAGAAGAAAAAAGAAGAAGAAGAAGAAGAAGAAGAAGAAGAGGAAGAGGAAGAGGAAGAAGAAGAAGAAGAAGAAGAAGAAGAAGAGAGATAACTTTGACTATGTTCCTAAGGACTTTCTTATTCTCAGTTCTAGAATGATCTGAAGTCCCTGCACTCTTGCTCTTGGGCCCTGTGTCTTTAGAGTCTATTCCTGAGTTGACCCTATGTCCTGTTGCCTGGCCAGTCCTGGTCCATGCCAATCATCGGGGTATGACTATTTCTAGTGCCCCATTCCCTCAAAGTGCATTAGCTTGAAGGTACAGTCACCTCAGCCTACACTAACTGGAGTTGGTGCTGTTACTTCCAATTGCACATTTATGTGGGTGCCTGTAGCTTATAAAGAAATCTTACACACATCAGCTCATTCTTTTTCCAAGGGAATTATTTTCCCCTTAGAATTCCTGTCTTTATTTGTGCCCCCACGAGCTCCCTGTCATCTAAGCCAGAGACTGGGGAGTTAGTGTCAATGCTTCCTTCTCCATTCTTCATGAATCCACTTATTCATTCCTTAAAAACTGAGTGCCTACCATGGACCAAATGCTGTGCTAGTAGCTGGGTATGGTACAGTGAATGAACAGTCTTGTCTTCTTTGAATTTGCACTGTAGCTCAATAAACACCCACAAATTCAGTCACAGGTCTGATAAGTGTGGTGAAGGAAAGAAACAACTCTCTAAGAGAGGAACATGAAGGTGGATATGGGGCAGGGTCACCTTGTTTCGGATGCTCCAGGAAGGCCTCTCAGAGGAAACAGTATTTGAGCTGAGGTTTGAAGTGTCTGAAGGAGCCAGTTAATGAAGGGATTTCAGTAACAAGTGTTGAAGGGAGTCAGTTTACATTTTAGGATGATCACTCTAAAATGTTTGTGGAGGATGGATTGTAAGAGACAAAAATGGAAGAATGGAGACCAGTTGGGAGGCTGTTACAGTTGTGTAGACAAGTGTTGATGGTGGCTTTCATGAGGAATAGTGGGGGCAAATGGAAATGGACAGATTGGGGAAATATTTTGGGGGTACACATCAATGGAATTTGGCAATAAATTAAATGTGGTAGAGGGAAGGGGCTGTGGTGAGGGAGAGAGGGGTGTTTGGCATGAACACCAGGTATATGATATCAGCAAGAGGGCAAGTTGGGGAACCGTTTATTGAGATGGGGAAGAGAAGGTCAGGAGGATATTTGATGGTGGTTCTCTGGGTCAATCATGACATGACTTTGGAACACGTTTAGTTGGAAGTGTCTGTGAAAATTCCATAAGGCTATTTCAGCTTCATGGGCATGTGCAGGGCCCTGGGCTCAGAAGCTCCCTATACTTGGTTTAATGCCTTGCTGCTGCCATCTTGAAATTCTTGATAATTTGATCTTTGAACTCACATTTTATAAGTGAAGTTTGGTTGGACAATGGCACATGTGTGTGAGCAGAAGACATACCTAATTTGCCTGTCTGCCGTTGCTTGCCACCCCATTTGCATATAGTATTTGTGATGTACCCTGAGCACAAATTCTGGGAGACTCATGAGGCATGAGTTCAGTGAGGCTCAAGTGAGTATAAGGTATGTGTGTTATGTCTGTGGTGGATAACTGGGGACACTGACAACCCCAAGGGCCACGCTTTCCATTCAAACCAGAGCTTGCTTTGAACAAGAAAAAGAAGGCAATGGTGTTCTAGAAAACATGAACCCCAAGGAATCTTCTCATATCCTTTCTTATGCTGAAAATGAAGGTATAGAATGAAAAAGAAACAGAGGGAAATCCATAGTTACTTTTCCTTTCATTCCTTCTTTACTCATCCCTAAACTGAAGGTGGAGAGTATTGGTAGAATGTGTGGATATTAACAAATGAGGCTGAGCGCAGTGGCTCATGCCTGTAATCCCAGCACTTTGGGAGGGATAAAAAAAATTAGCCTGGCATGGTGGTATGTGCCTGTAGTCCTCAGCTACTCAGCAGACTGAGGCATGAGAATTGTTGGAGCCCTGGAGGTAGAGGTAGCAGTGAGCCAAGATCTCACCTTTGCACTCCAGCCTGGGTGGCAGAGTGAGACTCTGTCTAAAACAAAGCAAAACAAAAAAAGTAGTTGTTTTTATTTCACTTTTTTTTGTACTTGTATTTATTGTGTATATATATTTTTTGTATTTTTAGTAGAGATGGGGTTTTGCCATGTTGGCCAGGCTAGCCTCAAACACTTGGCCTCAAGTGATCTACCCGCCTCAGCCTCTCAAAGTGCTGGGATTACAGGTGTGAGCCACCACGGGTAACACTATGTTGCTTTTATGCACCATTTCTATTGTTCTGGTATGAATGAAATACACATGCGTGTAAGAGCTAGGAAATAAGAATTGCATAATTGTATCATTCTGGGGATTCAGCATGTGAGTTAAATGCTCTTAATACTTGCCCTTAAAACTGTCAGTGCACAGTATAAAGGTGAATGGTAAAATGTATGCTAATAATGTAAAATTTTAACTTTACTGAGAATGACGTTAAATAGCAAATAAAAAGTATCATGAAAAGTTGCAAGAGAGACTGTGGAAGGAAAAGCTTTATATTTTAATATCTCTAGTGGCTCTTTCCCTGTGTTTTTTGAACAAATAGTTCCAAATTTTCATTTTACACTGGGTCCTTCAGATTATGGAGCTGGCCCTGGGTAGTTGGTCAAGGAAATGGTCCAGCAGTTGTGTTGTGTCTGCCAATTAAATATCTGTTCTGTCTGTCCTCTGAGTCTTATTAGCCTGAATTACTATGGTCTTTGGATGGTCTTGCTTTCTTTCATATCATTTAATTCTACCACTCAGTGAAGCCCCTTCCCAGTCCCCCATTCTTTAAGGAGGGTTGAAATGTCCCCCAAAAAGAAAAAAAAGCAGTATAGAGATACATCCAGGGAAGATCTTAAGAGGGAGAACTACTATAGGACCAAGGAGAGACAAGAGACATAGGGGACAGGGCAAAGGGAGGACCCATAGGGGACACTTTCTGGAGACCTAGAGGTTATGTCCAAAGCCCAAGAAATGAGACCTTGTCCTTTGTGTAGTGAGAGGAGACAAGTCCTAGTCAACATCTGGTTTTGAGGAAGAACAACCCACAAAATGCTACCTTCCTAGAAAAATTATAAAGTAAATTTTCTCTCCACATTGTCTTCTCAAAAGGTGAGCAGAGAGATACTCTATAGGGCTGTGCCACCCAGTGTCCATGTGAGGGGCTCATATCAAGACTTTGGGACCTTAGTACAATGTCTGGCTTCTCCTGAACCCATCCTACTCTAGGCCTGGTCAGCAGCCTAACCCTCGTGAATGCCACCATCTGCCCTGTGAACGCCACCATCTTCCCCCAGACTACAGCTATCAGCCATGTAGTGCCAAAGAGCAAAGGGAAATCCCTCTGTGAGTCTCCTAGAGTGTGAAGAACACTGTGGAGGCAGAAGTAGCATCAATGTAGGAGTCTCTGTGAGGGCCGTGCAAGTGCCCAGTTCTGGGACCTGGAGAAAGATTACATTTCCCAGCCTCCTTTGCAGTTGTAGTGTGGCCCTGTGACTGGATTCTGGCCAGTGGAATGTGAGTAGGAGTGATCTAATGATGTAGATGAGTCTAATGATGTCTGATGCTGAGTGGAAAGTCAGACTTATGCAATGTTGCATAAGCTCACCAGGCAGTTATCTTATAAATGCTTCCTTGGGAGATGTCAGGGGAGATGGCTGTGGAGAGTGATACATCTAGCAGGGGCAAGATGGACATTTCGCAGGAGCATTCTTAAGGACAGATAAGATATTTGTGGTAAATGGTTACAGTAATGGCCTCAGATGAATCCCTCCTTTTGGTATCTGTGCCCTTGTGTGTGGTCTCCTCCCGCATTGACTTGGGACTTGGCTGTGTGACTTGCTTTGGCCAATGGGCTGTCAACAATCATAATACAATCAGAGGCTGGGGAAGTGCTTTTCCCTGGGGCTTACTGTCATGGAACACAGGCTTCCGAGCCATCCCAGCTGAGCCCAGTCCACAGCAACCAGGTAACTGCGCTGTGTGAGAGAGCCCAGGTGAAACCAGCAGAAGAACCACCTGGCCAGCCCACAGAGCTGTGGAAAATAAAATTGTTTGAAACCACTAAGCTCTGGGACAGATCACTGATACAATATCTTATTCATGTTTGTTTTCCCTAGAGCCAACTATGCTGCCTAGCACATAATCTGCCTTCAACACATTTTCATTGAGATAAACTTTATCACCCCAACAACCCTATCAGATAAATATTACTATCAGTTTCTATTTATTTTTAATTATAGGAGCCACAGAAACTCTTACTCATCTCAAGCCTGTGTGCTGAGGGGAACCACCTGATTATCCTCATTCTTACAGAGGATGTAATCAAGGCCCAGGGAGATGCCACAACTTACATAAGGTCACCACAGCTGACTTTTTTTTTTTTTTGAGACAGGGTCTCACTCTGTCACCAGGCTGGAGTGCAGTGGCATGATCATGGCTCACTGCAGCCTTAACCTCCTGGGCTCAAGTGATCCCCCTGCCTCAGCCTTCTAAGTAGTTGAGGCCACAGGCGTGCATCTCCATGCCAGCTAACTTTTTTTTTAAATAGAAAAGAGGGTCTCCCTATGTTGCCCAGGCTGGTCTCAAACTCCTGGGCTGAAGCAATCCTCCTGCCTTGGCCTCCCAAAGGGCTGGGATTATAGGCATTAGCCACCACACCCAACAAACCACAGCAGACTTTGATCACCTAAATTATGTGTCCCTCCTCTATTCTTGGGGGTGGGGAGGGGACAGAGTCTCACTCTGTCGCCCAGGCTGGAGTGAAGTGGCATGATCTTGGCTGAATGCAACCTCCACTTCCTGGGTTCAAGTGATTCTCCTGCCTCAGCCTCTCCAGTACTTGGAATTACAGGCACCTGCCACCACACCTGGCTAATTTTTGTATTTTTAGTAGAGATGTGGTTTTACCATGTTGGCCAGGCTGGTCACGAACTGTACCTCTTCTTATCTTCGCTATTTATTGAGTGCTTACAGTGTGACTACCACCAAGCACTTTATGTATATTGTAGCACTTTTTTTCCTTACAAAAACCACATGAAGTGGGCACTATTATCATCTCATTTTACAGATAGGCAAACTGAGGATCAAGAAGGATCTGTGCCTGGCCACCCAGAGCTGAGCTGTAATCCCAGGTCTGTCCAACTCTTTACTCATGCTCTTCACTTGATGCGACATCACAGACACGTGAGGCTTAGGTTCTAAAATCAGTGCATGGAGCAAAATTCACACACGATGAAAAGTATCCTTGAAAATCTCGTAAGTCTCCTTTAAAGTAAAGTGCGTATCATTTTATTTAGTAATAGATATGTAAAAATGTGTAATATATTTCAGGGCTCTATCACATTGAAAAAATGGATTTCAACACAAGAATCACACTGTGGCATAGTCTGGCTGGATGCTCACAAATTCCATTTGTTTTCTTCTGGGACTCACAGAAAGATTTCCTTTCCTTTTGCAGTTAAACTGGGGCTGGGTGACTGGGCTCTGGCCAATGGAATATGGATAGGAATGATCAAAGTCACTTCTAGGCTTGTCCTTAAATACTTCCGTGATCCTATAGTTCAGAAGCTGGCAAACTATGACCCACTGCCTGTTTTTGTAAATAAAGTTTTATTGTAACATTGTCACGCTCATTGATTTACATACAGCCTATGGCTGTTTTCATGTGCAATAGCAGAGTAGTAGTTGTGACAGTGATGGCATGAACTACCAAGCCTAAATTATTTACTACAAGATGGTCAACCCCTCCTCCAGTACTCTTGTGGTGGATGCTTTGATGGTCACCTGGGTCTCCCTTTAGTGATGAAAAAGTTATTTCCTCATTTGTAGGGAGTGCTGCTGGAAGATGGTCCTCTTCTGCATCCAATGACTTATCAACATAAAGGTTTAATGGCATCATCACCTGGCTCTGACTCAGAACAACTGTGAAAGGCCACCTAGCTCCATAGTTCCCAGAGAGCTGGAAGAAACCATTTTGGGGGATTGCGTGGCAACTCAACCTTTCCCTCTACCCAGTTTTGCATCCTTATCTCCCTTCCACAAGCATTAATCCCCAAAGAACTCCCTAATGAAAGTCCTGCACTCTGACCTCCATCTCAAAGTCTGCTTCTGGGGAATCTGATGAGCGGCAGCTCTCATCCCCTTCCAGGGTGTTTGATAGGGCAGTGTCGCAGATGGAAGGTCTTGGGTCCTCTGAGTACTGCTCAGAGCACAGCCACCAAGAAGAGCCTCTGAATTCACTTCACAGTGTAAGAGGGGGCAGACTATCAGCTTTTATTGTGTTATGCCACTTAGATTTTGGCATTGTTTGTTCCAACAGCTAGTTCTACTTATTTTGATAAACACAGTCATGTGGGGGATAACAATGTCTGGGTCAACAACAAACCGCATGTATGATGATTGTCCCATAAGATTATAATACCGTATTTTTGCAGTACCTTTTCTATGTTTAAATATGTTTAGATACACAAATACTTCTCATTGTGTACAATTGCCTACAGCATTTGGTACCGTCACATGCTATACAGATTAGCAGCCTGGGAGCAATAGGCTAGACCATACAGCCTAGGTATGTAGTAGGCTCTACCATCTAGGTTTGTGTAAGTGCACTCTATCATATATGCATGGCGATGAGTGTGCCAAACGCCCCATTTCTCAGAATGTATCCCCATCATTAAACAACACGACAGTATACTCAGCCAGGCAAGCTACTGATGCAGCGAGAGGCTTGCAGGAACCGAGACTTAACCGTGAGAACCACAGATTCACACACACCATCTCATACTCACTATAGCATCTGCCCTGTGAGTGGGATGGAAGTTCAGGTCACTCAGTCCATGCCCATTATATTGTTCTCTTTCAGTCTGTTTTGTTTTCTGTCTCTCTCAGCACATGGAGCAGAATTCTCTTGTCAAATATAGGCATGATGTGATTGCACCTCTATCCCTGTTTGAGCCCTGACCATCAAAGTAACTTCGAGCAACTTGCATTCTGCAATGGTTGAAGAATGTAGTGTGTGGACGTCTGAGAGGAGGATAAGTGGGGCATCAAATCAAGCCCAGATGTCAGTCTCCCCAACTCCAGCTGTTGGTTGGGACAGAACTCAGAGGAAGAGCCCTCAGTGGGGGTTCCTAGGAGCTGAACAACCCTACTGCTGGCTACCCGCTGGGCGTGGCTGCACTTGTGTCAGCCCCAGTGTAAGAGCATCTGCAGAGGCAGCTGAAGCCCAGCAAGGTCTTTTGTCCCCCACTCCCTCAAAGTCATCCTAGGACACAGGTGTGCATCCCTCACAGCTGACCGACTGAAGATGAATCAGCTTCCCTGAAAGACGTGCCCCACAGGAGTGTGTCAGCTGAAACTCATCTGAAGGAGCCTGATTCCCTCCCTGACCACAGCTAATGAAAATGTTTGGCTCGCCTGGAGAAGAATCTGTGTTATTCTTTAAAGGAACAATGCTAACCACAGATGTACAGCATCTGGCATGTGGCAGATGTTTCCCTGAGTGAGAGGAACAGCAACTGGACCAGCCAGTTCATGAGATACCTTTGGGTCTAGGCATGTATTTTCCTGATTTCAGCTCTGGATTTTGCTTCTCAAAAGTTCAGGGGAAGTCCAAATGCCTCTTCCTATCACATGATATTTTCATAATATGCTCCCTGGCCTCTTATCTTCTATGATTCTCAATGTATATGCTTGAGAAAAAGACCCATACCCTTGTCCCTAGGTCCTTGCTCTTGCTGTTCTCCATGTTTGTTCCGCCATTTCTCTTTTTTATGAGTCAATTTGTTAGGGCTCTTTCCACCGCAAATGAAAGAAACCCAATTTGGACTGGCTTTAAGCAAAAAGCAAAACCGCAAAAAGCAATCCCCAAGCTACAGTTATTGAGTAAAATGTAACTTAAAAATCCAGGACCATTTGACATCAAAGTCAGGTATTGCTGGATTCAGGGATTCCAGTGATTTTTCTAGGACCTGGTTTTGTCCATTTCTCCATGTCTAGACTATGTTTTCTTCCTTATTGGCTTCAGTTTCAGGCAGGCACTGGATGATCTGTCCCTGGCTGCTTCAGGCTACCAGGTTAGCAACTTTATAGAAAGAGATTGCTTCTTTTGCAATAGTCCTGGGGATGGGACTGATTAGGCCATCTTGGGACACAAACATGTTCATCCATGAGCTAATCACAGTAGTCAAGGGGATGAGATTCCCATGATTTTCCATGCCTGGGTTCCCTGCTCATTCTTAGGGCCATGCAATGGGGTCTTTCCCCAAAGGGTATCAGGATCCTATTATGAGAATGAGGGTGAATGGATGTGGCACAAGAAGAATCAACAGATATAATTCATAGTCTGCTTCTCAAGGTCAAGTTCATCTTAGGCCTTTCTGTAACTCTGACCTTCCCATGGAGGTTTTCCTGGTGACCTCAGTCCATGTCCCCTTCTCTGTTCACTGTAGCACTTCATTGATGAATGTAGGATTGTACATACCTCCTCTGCCTTGCTGGTTGTGTCTGGAGGGACTTCCTGGGCAGTAGAGGACATGGAGTGGGATGTGGTTAGAATATGAAAGGCAAAAGTCACCTTGTATTTCCTTTCTTCATTTGAAACACAGTGAAATAAAATGGAAACAAGAAAGCTTTGAATTGGGAAAAAAAATTCAACAGTTAACAGGCAGTTTAGGGTAGGGAAGAAATGGGTCTTGGTAGCAAGGACTGGTGGGTGATACCGCATGTGTATGACTGCTTCTCCACCTCAGGCTCCCCAGTAGCTGCCTCCGCCTTCAGGTAGAATGCCAAGGTTTGCATACTTTGGGGCCAGCTGGGTGCTTATTTCGTCTGTGCAAATCATTGAGCGTTTGGTGGCCAGTGCTTTCTGCCTTATATTTCTCTCACACAACACTGTGTGGCTGGCACTTTGCTGAGTGCCTAATAATTACTCAACAAGTTTTTGTTGAGGGAAATCGTGTTGTGCCTGCCAGCACTCAAGCCGGCAGTCAAGAGGTCTGGGTTGTAATCAAGCCTCTTGACCTTGACCAGGCTAAGTAGCTGTGCAGAAAAGCACTGAGCAGGATACCAGCTATTTTTATCTAGTGTTTCTAGATCACAATAGTTACATTCCGGTTCACTTGCAGTGACCCTGTGACATAACCCAAATGCTGCAGGGTAAGGCTGTCGAGGTCAAATCTAAAGCAAAAATTGGGTATAATCGAAATGTCCCTGGAACCTCCTATAAATCATCCATAAAGTAGAGTTTAAAAAGTTTTCGGATTACAGCCAAATGCAGTAATACTTGTAAATTATGTGGGATGGATATAGTAACACATTGCATATTATTTAGTGAGAGCATATATTCTACAGTGCAATATTGAAGTATACCTTTATGGGTTCAGTACAAGATTCTCACAAACAGGAAGTTAGAGAAGAGCAACTCCGCATATCTGGCTTTGGTATTACTCTGGGGCACAGATGCCTGGAGTGGATTATCAAGCAACATCTTCAGTACTAATTAAATCATTATTTTAAATTGTTATTTTTCTTTCTCTCTCTTTGCTTTTTACTGAATGCAAATGAATGGATTTATGTAAATTAACTGTGCAATGAATTTTCCCTAGTCTTATTCAATTAAAAATGTTGATTATAGATTCAGAAGGTGCCAGGCACTGGGCTGGGTGTGGGGACTTCAGCAATGAATAGAATGGGCGTGGTTTCTGGCCTAACGGAACTTAATAGTCTTTTCAAATTGTTTTACAAATGAAGAAACTGAAGTTCGATAGAGGTAACTGCCAAATATTACACAGCCATTGAAGAGCAGGGCTGGAATTTGAATCCAGATCTTCTGACTTTAACTCTGAACTTTTCCCAGCTACTCTCTGCTGGCTTCCATGGTAAGTCAAGTCACTTCCAAAGTCAAGGCCAGAGGCCTGGAGTTCATTACTAAAGAAAAAGGCCGCTGGGACTGGCCATTTGCCTTGGCACTGGGATTTGGAATTGAGTTCATATTTGCTGTTGAATCGTTCCCTTCAGTAATGGGATAGCTTGGAATGGAATGGTAACGAGAGCCCTGTTTGCTCCAGAGGGCCCACTCCCTGTCCTGCCCACCAGCCATAGTGGTTGACCACCCTCTTTAAGCCCTCTATTGATTACAAAGAGTCAATTTCTTTCTGATGCAAATGGCTGAGCTCAGGGCAGTTAGAGCTGAGCCATGGCCCCTCAAATTACTGCCTTCCGGACTAAATATGTCAGGCAGCCTTCCCGAGGGTCCTTGTCATGGACAAAGAGACTGGTTCCGGGCTTGCATCTCCCTGCTTTGGTATCTGATGTGTGTACATTCCTTCCTCATGTGTACCCGCAAGTGGCCCAAGAACCAGGGTGCCCCCCTCTCCAAAGAGCCCCAGCTCTCTGTGAGCCTCTCAGGCCCCATCCTTGGAGGAGGAGGCTGCCAGCAAGACCCATCCAGAGCTTGCGGTTTGCCCTGGCCCTCAATGTGCTGACCCAGCCCACCACAGGGTGGTGGCGCCAGGCCTGGGCTCCTCCTCAACTGGGCAGAGCCATCTGGATGAGTTAAAGAATCATCTTCATCTTGAAAACAGTGGCAACTCCTGTCCTGTGACCCTGAGCCAGGGCAGATTTTGCATCGTCTGCTCTGTTTCATTAAGGACAAGTTTTCAGGGAGCAGATGCTTGAGTTAGAATTGATTCCTTTCTATTGCTCCTGTCAGAAAGACAGAAATAAAACATTTAATCTAAGGAAAGTTGGCTTCTCACACAGACTTGTGGATTTGCCCTTTGGAGAAATGTCACTAATGGCATTTTAATCATGCTTTATGTGCCTGGAGACCAGTAATGAGAAGAACTTCTTATTTACCAAAGCAACTGCTAGCCCCTTAATGATGGGCTAAGTATCAGCTACTGGCAGGATATGTAGTGGGGAAGTGCTGTGTAATTACCAGGCAAATTCATCATTATTT
This sequence comes from Homo sapiens, assembly GCF_000001405.40. NCBI lineage: Eukaryota > Metazoa > Chordata > Mammalia > Primates > Hominidae > Homo > Homo sapiens. The sequence continues at coordinate 105,980,238 of NC_000012.12, read as the reverse complement.
CTGTCTTATAAACCAGAATATGTGTTAAATAATACTTTAGGGCCACTGAAGGTAATTATGGAGCCCCATCTCTGTAAGAACATGTAATTATCTTACGGTTGCCCTGTGTTTACTGAGCAAATCTATGCAATTATTATCTAAAGCCCAAATCCTGCCCTCAGAGCCACAAAAGTGCACCCAAGGGCAGGTCTGCCGCATGTGCACCGGGTCACAAAGGACTGGGGCCTCCACTTCCCAAATTTCAGCTTTGCCTTCATCCCTGGACTCAAAAAGCCACAAGTGAGGCTTTGTGAAATGGGTTGTTTCTGTTTTTGCATCTCCCTGCCCCAATCCATCTCAGCCCCTGCACTGGCCTCCCAGTTTTGCGTGCTTAATAGATCCATGGGTCCCCACCACTTGGCATGCTGAGACCTCAGCATCTGGTGACAGTGGGTTCAGCTCAACAGTTCAAGCCTTTTTTAAGGCTCACCTTGTGTCAGGAATGGGGCTGGGCTCTGAAGACAAGGAACTGAACAGGACATGGCCCCTGCTTTAGAGCGCCCAGGTGGGAGGGGTGGACAGGTGTAAGGCATGGTAGGTTTGGCATGGCAGAGACTGCATAGGGTCAAAGTCAAGAGCATGGCCTCTAGAGCCAGATTGCCTGGGCTTCAGATTCACTTATGCAAAATGGGGTTATCAAAGGGCTTTCATCATAGACCATTTTGTGTTACGTTCAGCCAGTGCTTAGAATGGTCAGTGCTTAGAACTCAGCTGATGCAAGTGGCTGAGCCCAGGGCAGTTAGAGCCATGGGCCCTTAAATTACTGCCTTCAGGACTAAATATGTCAGGCAGCTTTCCTGAGGGCCCTTGTCAAAGACAAGGGGCTGATGATTCTGGGCTTGCATCTCCCTAGTTCAGTATCTGATGAGTGTGGCACAGCCAGGTTATGTGGTACACAGTTTGCTATTATTATAATGTGGTAAACATGGGTAGAAAGCCCATCCAAACTGTTCAGCCCTCAAAGGCCACCATGAGATAAAACCTTCCCTGCTCCTGCCCAAGAGAAGCCTTCTCTTTCTGCTCCGAGCTGACGGAGCACCTCATCCCAGAAGTCTCTTAGGCTGTTAGCCTTTTCTAGCAGGCACTGTGTTAACTGATGTTGATCTCTGACCTCCCTTATGGAGCTGTTTGAGTTCTGGGTCTGAGCTTTATTCATCTTTATGTCCCTAACACCAAGCGTAGGGCCAGAGGCACAGTAGGCACCCATGACATGTTTGTTGAATGAATAGCAGTCACTCAATAAACACTCCTTAAAAAAAAGGGATCCTTTCGAAGGCCTATTTGACCACGTGGCCAAGGCAGTGAGCCAAAACCACAGATTTTACTTTGTTTTCACTAATGTGGGTACATGTGGGGGAATTGGGTTTTGAAAGGCTTGCAGAAGAGATTTCTTTACCACTCAGATGGGTGAACAAAAAGCTAATTAATTAAAAACAAAGAAAGGCCCTAAGCAGTAGGCTTCTTTCTGCTCACTTGGTATTGATGGGTTGACATTTGACCATGAGGTTGGGTCTCTGAGCAGGACCCCAGATTCTTTTTTCCAGCAACCCCAGGCCTGAGCTGGCCCTGGTGAGCTATGGAGCTGAAAGCAGTATTGTTAATGGCTTTTGTACAGGAGGTCTTCCAGCTGGTCCCGGGTCACCACACTTCACTGTTTGTATGTGTGTTCTTAAGCTGGGGCCCTTAGTATTAGCAAAAGATTAGATTTTTCTTTCTTCATCACCAACTGTTCCTCTCCCACCCGCTTCCCCCACATCCTCCATCCTTTTCATTCCTGCAGTCTCAGAATCTCTCTTGGTGAATGTTAATGAGGCTGAACACAGGCTGGGAGGTCAGTGCCCTGTGCTTCTTCTGGAAGGCGTCCTGTCTCTGGTAGATTCTCAAATTTGATAATAGAAACAAGAACTAAATAGATATATTTACCATTTCAAATAACTTTCCCACACCTTTTATCTTTTAGTCTGACCAAGAAGACTATGTGGCAGGCATTTCTATTAGTCCCATTTTATAGTTAAGAAATGTAAGGCTCAGGGTGGTAAGTGATGTGTGCATTACACAACCAGGGGATGCTAGAAGAGCATTTTCTACCTTCTAACTCTGTTCTTTCTACTACACCACACTGCCTGTGATGCTCTGAAAGACACAGAAAAGCCTACCTATTAGCTATTAGGCTAAGGACATTTTAAATGAAATGCAGTTCCAGTTGTAAGCACACATTGTCATGGCATTTTAGAACTTTGTGAATGATAGCATCTGGTCATTTCTTGGGTTTGACAGTAGGCTACATGAGGGTGAGCTGGAGGTCAGTAAGAAGCACATTAACACAAAAGCTAAATGTCTACAAAGTGATTCACCCAACTCCAGTCCATTCCACTCAACCAAAGAACATTCCGAGGCTAGTATGTGCTCAGCTGGGCTGCTCCAGGCTGAGGAGAGGAGCTGCAAAAAATATGATTTCCATGCTCCTAAAAGAGCTTTCAGTCTTGTTGGAGAAGCAAGATGAACAATACCTGACAGAAAGAATCATATCCAATGAGTGCTTTAGAAAATATTGCCAAGGCACTGAGAAAGAAATGAGGATGGAAGTAGGCATAGAAGGATGGTCAATATTGGCATGGGGACAAAGTTGTGGCTTGACCAACTAGCAAGAAACTCAAACTTACAGAGCCCTGTGTTTATGTAAACTGTGATATGGATAATAATGACAACCATACGCAAATAAAAATGAACATTTATTAAGTGCTTACTCTATGTCAGGACCTAAGAGTTTTGCGTATACTAACTCACATAATCGGCATGCTAGCCCTGTCTTGTAGATATTCTTTTTATTCCTTTAATGAATGATGAAATAAAGGCTCAGAGAAGTTAAATTGAATACCCAGCTAGTATGCATTGGAACACAGGGAATTTGGCTCCAGAGCTCAAGTTCTTAAACACTGTCTGTCTGATAGTTTGGAATAAGCATGAGTGGTTCACATGAAGTAAAGTCTGCTGTACGCTAGACTCATTCATTTTACATTGTTCATTCATGTGCTGTTGCTTTAAATGTATGTTGCCCAGAGATAAGCCGGGGACCTTATGATCTTTGATGTATTTGCATGGCATCAAAATCAACGCGAAACACAGCTTAACAACCAACAATTTTTTTTTTTTTTTTTTTTGAAATGGAGTCTTGCTCTGTCGCCCAGGCTGGAGTGCAATGGTGCGATCTCGGCTTATTGCAACCTCCACCTCCCGGGTTCAAGCGATTTTCCTGCATTAGCATCCTGAGTAGCTGGGATTACAGGGGCCCACCACCCCCGGCTAATTTTTGTATTTTTAGTAGAGACTGGGTTTTGCCATGTTGGTCAGGCAGGCCTCAAACTCCTGACCTCAGGTGACCCACTCACCTCGGCTCCCCAAAGTGCTGGGACTACAGACCTGAGCTACCGCGCCCAGCCAACAACCAACATTTCTTAAAAGCTATTTCAATCCTCTACTTGCATCTCTTAAAGATATTACAGGAAATTCAGTTTGTAAATTTCAGTAAATTTCTTAAAATCCTCTTTTACCATTTCCATCACTTTAGATGCCTCCTTAATTTTGCAGCTGTCCCCAAACCCTTTTTTAAATTTACTTGTTCTCAGCTTTCTACCGAAACCTCTGCTAAAACCCAAGCCACACAGCTCTTGGCTTTTCCCTCCTTCTTCCCATCCTTTGGGGTCTCTGCTTTCCTTTTCTTCCTAATAGCTCTTTCTCTAACAGCAAATAAAAACATGTATTTGCTCCTATTTCTTATTTTCTTACCCCACTGATTATCCTGACCCACCTAGTAATTTCCAGGAACTCAACTGAAAGACTGAAAATATATCTTAGAAAAGAAGGAGAAGATGACAAATGGCCATAGTTAGAATTTTCCTGATGAAGGAGGGGTTGTAGAATGAGGGGGAATGGGAGCATTTCACTGCATTTTCTTTGTCTCTTTTCCCATCACAAGTGTGTTGACTCCAAAGCCTATTGCTATGTTCTGGGGATAAGGAGATGAGTAAGAAATGGCCCCTGCCTTCAAAGCAAAGCTCATTCAGTGGGGGAAACCAACAAATAAAGAGACAAATACCACACTGCGGCTGGGCGCAGCGGCTCACGCCTGTAATCTCAGCACTTTGGAAGGCCAAGGCAGGTGGATCGCTTGAGGTCAGGAGTTTAAGACCAGCCTGGCCAACATGGTGAAACTCTGTCTCTACTAAAAATACAAAAATTAGCTAGGCGTGGTGGTGCGCACCTGTAGTCCCAGCTACTAGGAAAGTTGAGATGGGAGAATTGCTTGAATCCAGGAGGTGGAGTTTGCAGTGAGCCCAGATTACACCACTGTACTCCAGACTGAGTGACAGAGTAAGACTCCATTTCAGACAAAAACAAGAACACCACACTGTACTTCACACTAAAAGTAAACACAAGGGCTATAGATGCACACAGAAAGGGCCAGGGAAGGCTTTGTGGAGAAAGAGATGCCGATTATTGAAGCTAATGGACCAACACAACAAGACTAAAATTTGGATTCCCTTAGAAGGAAGCCTGGCATTTTTCCGGAGGAATGAGCAACAACATGGATTTTTTCACTTTTCCCAGAAGGAGAGCATAAGTAGTGCTCAACACACATTTGATAAATGAATGAAAATGGCTTAGTGGTTAGGAGTTTGCCTAATGCCCCACAGCCCTGATCTTAAGTCCTCTACTGTTCAAAATAGAATCTTGAATCTGCTTCTTGCTGGAAGCTTTCCCAGATCACCCTGTCTCACAGTGATCCTCTCTGAACCCAATGGTGACACCTACATTCTTAAGCCTCCTCTCCATTTTGTACTAGGTACATCTTGTCTTATACTATGACTTAATCTGAATGGGTTTGTTTCTACTTTTGCCCCTTAGGCTGTGAGCTCTTTAAGGAGAGGGGTCATGGCTGGTCCATCTCTGCCTCACCCCATTTGGGTATGTGGTGGGTGCTTTATCAGAACTCCCCAAGTGAGAAAGGACTGTAGATACCATCTAGTCAAACTTCTTCATTTGCAGATGAGGAGATGGAAGTCCAGAGAGTGGGTGACCCTGAATTACATCTCTAACCCTTTGTGACAGGTCAGGAGCTGAGTTGAGACCAGAGCCAACTGGCCAATACTCTTTTCACTATGGTGGTCTCGTGGCTGACTCCGGTGGGAGAGACGGGCTGACTTTCACGTAGAATTTACCAAAGGGTGATGAAGGCTGTAGCTGGTTACCCCAATTTCTCAGTTCCCTATTTCAGTTCTAGAAAATGGATGGAGGCTGGAGTCATTAAGTCTTCATCTCAGGGCTAATGAAGAACTTTAGGGGCAAAAACAAGAATTAGAACCTGGTCTGTCTGTACCAATGTAGCTCCAGATCCTGAAAGAATGCATTATGGTTGTTCTCAACTATGATGTGTTGAATGTTAATACAGCATTCCTACAACACCTCTGTTTGTGTGCTCTTCACTTTTGCTTCACAATACTCCTATTTTTCTCTTTTAACAGATGAGAAAACTGAGACTTAGAAAGCAAAGACAACTTGCACAGGTCTCACAGCTATAAACTGGCAGAGCTAGGATTCATACTCAAGTTGGTCTGAGTCTAAAGTCCAGGCCCTTTCCTCTAACTCCCAGCCTTGTGCACCTGTGAGAATCATTAGCATGGCACATTGAGGTTTGTCTGCTTATACGTTTGCCACTCCACAACCCCACACTTGGCATTGTCATTATGAGCTGGGTCAGTTGTGTGTGGTGTGGTCTAGAGAATTATTCTGAGAAGGTGTGAACTAAAAAGCAGAGTTATGAGTGGAGGATGGCGATGGGAAGGGGATGGACTATGGTTTTACCTTGACTTTCCATAAATTGTGTGCTCCTCTACTTTGGTTGGGTCTACTATTGATTGTCCAACTTCTCTTGTCCTTCAAGAATTGGCCAAAGCTCACCTTCTGGCAGAGCGTCTCTTACCCCCCACCCCAGGTTGCTATGCATCTTCAACCTGAGCTCTTGTAGTAGTTCTGCTCACAGCTCTTTTGGCCTTGGGCTCTTGGTGTTGTGATCTGTGACTTTCTTGTTTGCTCCTCCTGCTATCTGAAGAGCTTCTTGAAGGTAGATATTGTTATGTTTATCTGTCCATCTCTAGTGCCTAGACAGTACCTGGCATGAAAAAGTGGATGCTTCATAAATGGTTAAATGAATGAATGAATCCAGCTGTAAAGCATCCTCCTCTTTTTGTTCTCCACACCCCCACCAATTTTTCCCCCATGGCTGTAAATGGCAGAGATGTGGGAGGGGACCAAGAGTCAAGGTGGGTATCTGCATGTGTATGTGAAGATATGCATATGTGTGGCTATCCATGTGTGCACCTTAGATAAATCTGTCCTTATAAAGGTAGCTCAAGACACCATGTAGTATCAAGTCAACTCTCAGCCCAACCTGATTGATTTACCTTCTGAATATTTATTGTCTATACCACCGTCAGCACACAGCATGCCCTAGCTTCTATTTTTATTTTTATTTGTTTATTTTTATTGTTATTTTTTTGAGATGGAGTCTCCCTCTGTTGCCCAGGCAGGAGCACAGTGGCATGATCTCAGCTCACTGCAACCTCCACCTCCCAAGTTCAAGTGATTCTCCTGCCTCAGCCTCCCAAGTAGCTGGGACTACAGGTGTGTACCACCACACCCAGGTAATTTTTTTGTATTTTTAGTAGAGATGGCAGATTCACCATATGGTCAGGCTGGTCTTGAACTCCTGACCTCAAATGATCCACCTAACTTGGCCTCCCAAAGTGCTGGGATTGGAAGCATAAGCCATTGTGCCCAGCCCCTTCTATTATTATTATTATTTTTTATTGTACCTCATTTTGGAGAGGAGATGGTACAATTGTGCTTACAAAGAAAGATTTGAAATAAAGTGCCCAATGCAGGTTGCCAGACTCCTGATACATCTTGTTCATCCTTAACCTTTCCTGATCCTCCTCAATGCACTTGTTGGAACAAATTTAAGGTTTGTGTTGAGCTTTGATTTCAGCTCTGAGTTCGGATTGCTCCAGCTCTCCCACATAGCATGGACTCCCCATGAGAAACACAAATATTCATTGTGCCAGAAAACCACAGTTTTTTTTTCTTGCTTCACACCAGGTAGGGTTAATCATGGCTCAGCCAATACATCTTGCTTAACAGCGATTCTAGGGAAAGATGAGGCAGGAGCACCAGAAAGCAAGGCCTTCTTTGTTAGAACTTACCATTCTGTAACAAAATGACTTGGTTGCAAATGTGGCTCTCTCTGTAGACAGCGAACTCCTCAGGCCCAGGGAGTATTCTTTTTTGTTTTGTATCTCTCATGTCTAGCATAGTGCAGGTGTTAGAGGGGTAGCTTTGGATGCTGTGACTTGATGTAGAGCTAAGCAGGAATGGTGGTACCAATAATAGAAGTGATAATCACCAATATCATCATCATTATAAAATAAGGACAGCTTAGTGATCTCTTATCTAGTGCCCAGCATGATTTTAAGCACTCTGGACTTATTGACCCTTGCATATTAGTTTACTATGGCTGCTGGAATAAATTACTACCACTTCATAGCTTAAAACAACACAAATGTATTATCTTACAGTTCTGTAGGTCAGAAATCCAACATGGGTCTTGCTAAAATCAAGGTGTAAGGCTGTGGGCTGTGTTCCTTTCTAGGCTCTAGAGGAGAATTCATTCCTTTGGCTTTCTAGCTTCTAGAGGCTGCCCATATTCCTTGGCTCATGGCCCTTTCCTCCATCTTTGAAGCTAACAATGTTGCATCGCTCTGACCATTCTTCCCTAGTTATAGTTCCCTCTCACCACACTCTCTTATCTACCTCTTCCACTTTTAAGAACACTTGTAAATCCATTGGGCCCACTGGATAATCCAGGATAATCTCCCAACTTTAAAGTCAATTGATGAGCAACCTTAATTCCTGAATTAAGGAAACATTGAATTTTTTTGCCATATAGTGTAACATAGTCCCAGGTTCTGGGCATTACATGGACCTTCTTGGGTGGCTGTTATTCTGCCTACCACACCCTGAAAGTGGGGATTGTTATTACTCCTGTTTTATCAATGAGGAGGCTGAGGTACGTAGAGATGAAGTAACTTGCCAAACAGCTAATTGGTGGTAAAATTGTAAAATGGAATTTGAACACAAATGGTCTCAGACCACAATACAATACCGAGTCTTGGTAGCAGTAGAACAATTTTTACATAGTGCTTACTATGTGTCAAGTCCTATGCTAAACTTTTGTCTTTACCTAAAAGTGAGAAGCCTGAAAAAAGACCCAAATAACATGACCATCATCAATTGAGCATCTACTATGTGCCAGCCACTGTGGTGGGTGCAATACCTGTGTTATTTCATTATACTTCATCTTATTAGAGTATGGAGTGAGTGCTATCATTATCTCCATTTACCAATGTAAAAACTGAGGCTCCGAGAGATTGAGAGTTCTTTTTTGTGAGATTTTTTCATTGTCCAGGTTACTGAGACCCCAAATTAGGGTGATGTTCGTGAGTAGGAAAAGGGGATAGGAAAGAAATGCTTTAGAGATAAAACCAACAGGACTCAGTGATTCTAGGATCCAGACTCATACCAATGTGCCCACCTGACATCTCCACTTGACCATTTCCCAGGCCTTCCAAACCTAACACACGCAAACTCAAACTCTCGATCTTTCCCTTCACATTCTCCCCTCACCCCCAAGCCTCTACCATCTCGGTAATGGGTGCTGTCATGTCCCAATGGCTTAAGCCTGGTTTTCATTTCAGCTTCCCCCTTCCATTATTCTCCTATATTTTAAATAGTTAATATTCGCCTATTTTCAAATCCTATTGACTCTGTGTCTAAAATACATCTCAGCATTTTCCTACCACTCCATAACTTCACTGCTGATACCTCAGCCCAAGACCCCATCCTCCCCCACCTGGATGATGGCGATGAACTCTGACTAGCCCCCTCACTTTCACACTTGCCCCGTCCAATTCCTCCACAACACAGCCAGAATCATCATCTTGCAGTGCAAGTCTGATCCTGCAGCTCACCTTCTGAACATCCTCCAAGGGCTCCTTGTTGCCCAGAACTCTTTACCATGCTGCAAGCCCTGGCAGGTCTGCCCACCTTCCTCACACCTTTCTCCTTCTTACATTCCTTGAACTAAAAGCTTGAACAGCCTTGGCAGCAAAGCAGGCATGAAGGCACTTGTCAGCATAGAAGCCAAATTTGTCTTGTACTTGCATTACTGATTTGTTTTTGGGGCAAAGAATCAGGCCCACCAAGAGAGGGGCATCACTACTGAATGTGATTCAATTTAAGCAGATGGCTGATGTGAATGGAGGAATTCTTATCATCAACATGATCACCATCGCCATAATCATCATACTCATCATCGCCATCACCATCCTCCCCATTGTCACCACCACCATCACCATCATGTTTGTATGCTGCTACTCTGCCTGGTGCTCTGCTAAGCACTCCTCATGCTTTCTCTCACTTAATTATCCCAACAGTCCTGTGAGATAATATTCTTGTTATTTCTGTCTCACAGATGAGAAAACTGAGGCATAGAAAGAGTAAGTGACTTGCTTTAGATCATGCAGCTGCTGGCAGAAACCAGACTTGAATCTAGCTTTCTTGGATTCCAAGCTCATGAGAGAACAGTCATATAGTAAAAGCCAGGGGGGTCAGGGAGGACCACATCACTGAACTGATCTTTGAACCAGGATTTGAATACTGCGTTGAAGTTTTTCAGTGACTGGGCTAGGGGAGGTGGTGAATGAGGAAGACATTTCCCTAGAGGGAATAGTATAAGCAAAGGAATAGAGGCATAAAACTCATGAGGTGTTTAGGCAAGAGTGATGCCGAAGGGGTTAGTTGGATGGAGGAGGAAACGAGCAAGTGATGAAAAATAAACTGAAATGATAAGTTAGAACAATGTATTATTTTAATTTTTAAATTTAAATAAAGAAAAAAACTTTGCAGGGGGGACGTATATTTCTGTAAGTTTTGACAAATTAAGTCATGTAACCACCATCACATTTAGGATACAGAAGAATTCTATCATCTCCTTAAATTCCTTCCTGCTGCCCCACTATGGGCAAACCTCTTGATCTCATCCCCTAACCTGTAGTCCCTGAACCACTGATGCACTGTCCAACCCTGTAGTTTTCCCTTTTAAAGTGTCATAGAAATGGAATCAGACAACTTTTTGAGTCTAGCTTTCTTCACTTAGCATGATGCATTTGAGATTCATCTATGTTGTATGTATCAATAGTTCATTCCCTTTAATTGCTGACTTGTAACCCAACATGCAGATTTATTTGTTTATCCATCCACCAGTTGAAAGACATCTGACTTGTTTCCAGTTTCTAGTAATTATGAATAAAATTAGTATAAACACTACTGTAAACATTTACATACAGGTTTTCATGTAGATATATATTTGTTGGGCGGGGGGGCGGTGTAAATGCCTAGGAGTGGGTTTGTGTCATATGGTAAGTGCACGCCAAACTGTTTTTCCAAAGTGGTTGCACCATTTTATATTCCAACTAGCAGTTTATAAGAGTTGCAGTTGCTCTGCATTCTTGTCAGTACTTGGAATTGTCAGGCTGTCTTTAAAAAAAAAATACTAGCCACTTTAATAGGTATGTATTGGTATTTCACTGTGGTTTTAATTGACATTTCTCTAATGACTAATGATGCTGAGCATCTTTTTGTGTGCTTATTTGTCATATACATATATATGTACATCTTCTCTGATGAAGTGTCGGCGTAAATTTTTTGCCCATTTTTTACTGAGTTGTTTGTTCTCCTACTGTTGAGTTTTGAGAGTTTTTAATATATTCTGCCTCCCAGTCCATTATTAGATGTATAATTTCCAGATATTCTTCTCCCAGTCTTTAGTTTATCTTTTCATTCTTTTAACAGTGTAAAAGTTTTACTTTTGATTAAGTAAGTCCATTTTACCATGCTTTTGTGTCATTTCTAAGAACTCTGCCTAATCTTAAGTCACAAAGATTTTCTTCTAAAGGTTTTATTATTTTACATTTTCCACTTGGGTATGTAACTCATTTTGAGTTAATTTTTGTATAAAGTGTGAGATATATATATATATAGGTTGAAGTCCACTTTCTTTTGCACATGAACATCCAATTTTTCCAGCACCATTTCTTGAAAGGACTATCCTTTCTCTATTAAATAGCCTTTGCACCTTTGCCAGAAATCAATTGACCATATTTGGGTGGGTCTATTTCTGGATTCTTCATTCTGTTCCATTGATTTATGTGTCACACTTTTTGCCAATACCACTTTTTGCCAATCAAGATCACAATGTCTTGATTATTGTAGCTGTATAGGAAGTCTTAAAATCAGGTAGTGTGGACTCCCCTACTTTGTTCTTCTTATTTAAAATTATTTTGTCTGTTCTAGCTTCTTTGCCTTTCTATAAAGATTTTTAGAATCAGCTTTTTGTCATCTCAAAAAAGCCTGCCAGGATTTTAATCTCTAGTGTGTTGAATCAATTTGAGGAGAATGACATATTAATAAGATCAAGTGTTCTAATCCATGAATGCAGCGTATCTCTCCATTTACTGAGAGTTCTTTTTCTCTTATCAGTGTATTTTAGCTTTTAGCATATAGGTCTTGCAATATTTTGTTAGATTTATACCTAAGTATCTTATTATTTTTGGTGTTATTATATAGGGTTCTGTTTATTTAATTTCAATTCCTAGTTGTTTATTACCAGTATTCAGAAATAAGATTGATTTTTTTAAGTATTAACTTTGTACGCTTCAGATTTGTTAAGCTCACTCCTTATTTTCAGTAGCATTTTTGCAGATTCCTTGGGGTTTCCTATGTGAATAATCACATACTTTGAGATGAGAAAGTTTGATTTCTGCTATATGCCTCACAGTTTTTTTCTTTGCTTTATTGCACTGGCTAGGACTTCCAGTAGGAGGAAAAGGAATGATTAGAGCAGACATTTTCACCCTTGTTTTGCTCCCAATCTGACAGGCTAAGAATTCAGTCTTTCACCATTGAATATAATGTTAGCTGTTTTTTTTTTTTTTTTTCCCTGTAGATGCCCTTTATTAGGTTAAGGAAGTTCTCTTCTATTCTTAGTTTACTGAGAGTTTTGATCATGATGTTAAATGTTTCAAATGCTTTATTTGAATGTATTGAGATAATCACATGATTTTTTTTCTTTAATCTGTTAATATGGCAAATAACATTGATTTTTTATTGTTGAGCCAGCCTTGCATTTTCAGGACAAAATCCACTTGATTGTACCATCCTTTTTCTGTACTGCTGTATTTGATTTTTTAGTATTTGTGGAGGATTTTTGCATTTATAAGGGGTATTGGCAGCTAGATTTTCAGATGTTTATGAGAATAAAGTTAAAGGCAGCAAGATAGAAGATTAAGCTATTTGAATGGAATTATAACAGTAATAAAAATAATGCTCAACACTTATTAAGTGCTTCCTATATGTCAGGCACTATTCTAAGCACTTTAAATGTATTCATTTATCTCATTATCATAACAGTGCTATGAGGTAAGTACTATTATTATCCCCATTTTACAAAAATAGAAGTGGAGTCAGACAACTTCAGAGTCTGTGCCAAATATTTATTTATATAAATGATATGACCCACTTCTTTTCAGAGCGCAAGTGTAATCAAATCTCCTGCATTCTTCCAGTGAACAATTGTTCATATCCCCGTTAGTAGAAGTTCTGTATCGTTTTCTTGAAGATTCCTCCCTCTTTGCCCTCATCCAAATGATCTGAGGTCCCTGGAGGCTTTATAAGTTCAAAGTGTTTTGCCTTGCCTCCAAATCCTGAGCGAGGAATAAACTAGAAAGTTGAATCTGGTTCCTAGGACTGCTGTTTCTGTGGCTTCCCAGTGAGATATCTGTGGAATGTTGGTCCCACATAACCTAGAGAAGAATGTCCTATGCCTCTGGGATGAGGGTGCTGGCCTTGGGGGGGTCTCTGTGGGGCTTGCTTGGGCTCAGATATTATTCTGAAGGCCACCATTTGGACAGGATGTCCAGGTCTGGAGGGATTACTGGGCTCAGCCACATGTTACGCAGGGCCAGGCCATTTTCTTTGACTTCTTAGGCCAGAGACCTAGTCATCAGTAACAAAATCTTTAGATTTTTGCATTAAAATATTTCTTGTTTCTTTCGGAAAAAAAGTGAAGATGTGGTCCACTTATGCCTACATTCTTCTGCAACAACAGTCAGCGGAAGCTGAGCGAGCATTCAGTGGGCAGGGTCTCTGGTACATCCCACTTCCTGCCACTTACAGTGTTCTTGTGACTGCTTAGTCCCTGAATGCATTTGTGCTTTCAATTTGTGCCATAGGCCTTTGCACTGGGCTTGGATTCTGCGTATATTTGTTAAAGTAATATTTATCGAGTGCCAAATGCTTATCAGGTACTGCCCACTGTGAATGCAGAAGTGAGCAAAATAGACAATAATCCTGACTTCCAGGACCTTACATTTTGTTTGGGGGGACATAGCCAGTAAGCCAAATAAGCACGTTATATAATTCTTTATGTAACTGTATAATTCTAAATGTAATTTAATAAAGTGCTGGGGAGAAAAATAAAAGCAGGGATGGTAGACTGGAAATGTCAGGCAAGGCAGGGTTGAAAGTGTCACAGGTTGTTAGTGATGGCTTCAGGAAGAGGATGACATTTGAGCAAAGAACTAATCCATTTGCATATTGGAGAAAAGAACATGCCAAGCAGAGGGAACAGAGAGGCACAAGGCCCCGAGTCTGGAGCACGTTTGCCAGTTTGAGGGTTAGCAAAGAGACATTGTGGTTCCAGCAAAGTGGGCAAAGAAGAGTAGGAATAGGAGAGGAGGTGAAACAGTTGGCGGGATCCAGTTTATAGCGGACCTCTTTGGGTTTTGGAGGCAACATATTCTTCATTTGAGTGTGTTATTCCAGCCCATTTACTGAGCGACCTGCAAAGCTGCTAGTTTTGAGTGGGACCCAGAACAAGAGAAGGCTCTGCGACAGGTCCAGGCCACTGTGCAGGCTGCTGTGCTGCTTGGTCCATACGATCCAGTAGATCCATTGGTCCTTGAAGTGTCAGTGGCAGATAGGGATGCTGTTTGGAGCCTTTGGAAGGCCTTTGTAAGTGAATTGCAACACAGGCCTTTAGGGTTTTAGAGCAAGGCATTGTTATTACCCACAGATAACTGCTCTCCTTTTGAGAAACAGCTCTTGGCTTGCTATACAGTCTTAATAGAGATCAAATACTTAACTAAGGGCCACCTGCATTTATAATCACCTCAAGTTATCATGCAACCTGAGCTACGCATCATGAACTGGATATTATCTGAGCCACCTAGCCACAAAGTTTGGTGTGCACAGCAGCATTCCATTATCAAATGGAACTGGTATTTATATGATTGGATATGAACAGGTCCTGAAGGCACAGATAAGTTACATGAAGAAGTGGCCCAAATGCCCATGGTCCCCACTCCTGCTCCACTGCCTTTTCTCTCCCAGCGTGTACCTATGGCCTTGTGGGAAGTTTCCTACAGTTGTTGACAGAGGAAGAGAAGCTTGGGGGGTGTTTACAGATGGTTCTTTATGATATGCAGGCATCCTCTGAAAGGGGACAGCTGTACTACTATAGCTCCTTTCTGGGACATCCCTGAAGGACACCGGTAAAGGGAAGTCCTTCCAGTGGGCAGAGCTTCAAGAAGTTCACCTGGCCATCTACTTTGCTTGGAAAGAGAAATGGCCAGATGTATCATTATATACTGATTCATGGGCTGTGGCCAATAATTTGGCTGAATGATCAGCAATTTTGAAGGCATATGATAGAAAAATTGATAAGAAGAAAATTTGGGGAAGAGGACAGACCCCTCTGAATGGGCAAAAAATGTGAAGACATTTGTGTTCAACATAAATGCTCACCAAAGGTTGACCTCAGCAGAGGAGAGCTTCGATAATCAAGAGGATAGAATGACCCATTCTGTGATAGTAGTTGGCTTCCTGCTTTCGGATCAGACTCAGACTGGAGCTTACACCCTTAGCTCTCCTAGTTCTTGGGCCTTAGAACTTGGACTGGAACTAGACCATTGGCTCTCCTGGTTCTCAAGCTTGCTGACTGCAGATTGTGGGACTTCTCAGACTTCATAACTGTGTGAGTCAATTCCTTATAATAAATCTCTCTCTCCATATATGTATATACATATATATATATACATATACACACACACATATATATGTCTCTATATATATACCTGTCTCTCTCTATATATATCTCTCTACATATATAAAGTATATACACACAATATAATTATACATATATGCACAGTGTGTATATATATACAACACAATGCTATATGTATGTGTATATATCCTATTGTTTTAGTTTCTCTGTAGACCCCAGACTATTAATACAGACAGAGTAGAAGGAGATGGAGTAAAACAGTTGGTGGGGGTCCAGCTCATTTAGAACCTTGTTGGTTGTTGTGAGAACTCCAGCCTTTACTCTGAGTGAGAAGGGGGGAATAAGAGAGTTGTGAGCAGAGAAGTGACTGGAGTGGACTTGAGTTTTAAAGTTGTAAAAGCGTCACTCTTACTGCTGTCTTGAGAATAGAGTGTTGGAGTCCAGGGGTTGAACACGGGGACCAATTCAAAGGCAATTGCAATAATTCAGAGAAGACTTGAGGGGTTACCCAAACCAGGGTGATAAGGGTAAAAGCAGTAAAACGTGGTTCGGTTCTAGATAGATTTTGAGACTTTGAGGGATCTTGGTGACTTTTTCTTTTCCGTAGTCCTTGGTGAGGGCCACTCTAACATATTATTGACTTTGAATTTTATGGAAAAGGAGTTAGAGGTCTCAGGACCTTTCCTTCCAGGAGACTTCTGGGTTTTTGTGCAATATAATCAGCACCTACTCCAGAGCTCTGGTGCCAAGAGAAGCAGAGGCACCACAAAGCTTTGGAAAAGCACAGAAAACAACAGCCACAAATGCTTCTGTTTCACCTTTTCTATGGTCAGGGCAAAAGCCTATGGGTCTTGCACATGTAAAGAGAGGCCACTCGAGTAATATGTTCTCAGAACCCAAAATAAAAGTTTGTTCCAAAGTGACTTCCTCTCTTCCTCTAGATAGAGAAAAGGATGGTATCACTCATAAAATTCACTCATAGGTACCCTATTATTTATAGATCTTTCCAAAAAGGAAGATTGCAAGGAACACTTTTGCCTGTTATAAAATAGCAGAGTGGGCTGCAAATAGCGGAGTTGGCTGGCATCTAAATTGAGTTTGATGAAATAAGGAAGTATAGGAAAATTCTCATCCATGGGGTCCAGAGGGTCTAAGCCCAGAGCTAGGAGCTGAGTGGCTGAAGATATCATGTGAGGACAGCTTCCTCTGGTGTAAATGTGTATTTCTTATGCAGTGCGCTTACTGTATGATTCTGGATATTCTGTTTCCACATTAACAGATCCCTTCCAACTTTAAAATTCTGTAGACTCTAGGGTTCTACAATTGACTTTTGCATGCTAAATAAAATATTTCATGTGTGATGGACTGTTATATAATTAGGACTGTTATGAATTACCATTTTTTCTCATACTTCATTTTTCTTCTTATTATCTCATATTTTCTTTTCAGCAGCATATTTTATCCCCATTCTCTACAGGGGCTATTCCAAATCATTACTATTCTCTCCTGCCTTTTAAAACCAATTTACCCCGTTATATTCTGCAGATAGCTTCAGTTCTGACTTCTGTGAAAAAAAATAAAGGACATTAGTTATGAAATTCATTATCTTCTCTCCTCAAAAATATACCTGTTTCTTCTCCCAGCCTTCTCGCCTTCCCTTTTGTCTCAGAAGTATCTTAGAAGGAGGTGAGGATGCAAGGACCAAACACTTTGTACCATTTTTTCCTTCCTTGCCTGTAATGATCATCCACTTCCTTTGTGGATATCATTATAGGTAAGGAAGGAAAAATCATTCCACTTCCTCTGTTTCTCTAAAGAGAAAGGGAACTGCCTCTCCTACCATTCTATAAACAGGCCCAAATATTCCCCAATCCTCTAAAATCTTCCCCAACTTTGCCTTTCTCTCCAACCACTGCCTCCCATCTCTCTTCACCTGCTGAGCCTCTGGAAGGCCTTCCATCCTTGCCTTTACTTCTCCTCTGTGTCCCAATCACTCTTCACCCAATTGAAACCCCTCAAATGTCCCCTATGACCTCCCAAGTGCTAAATTCTATGATTCTGTCCCAGTCTTCACTCTTGACCCCTTGCCAGTTCAAAGTGAGGACCATGGACCATTCAGTACATTGCCTGGCAGCTGTTACAAATGCAGAATCTTGGGTCCCATTCCAGAATGATTGAATTAAAGTCTGCGTTTTAACAAGATCTCCAAGTAATTCATGAGGACATGGATGCCCAGTCTCTCTGAGGCATTTGACACACGCATTGCAGCCTTCCATCTTCCCATCATACCACTTTCCCTTACTGCTTCTACTACTTCTTTGGCTATTCTTTCTTGACCTCCTTCCCTTGCTCTTCTTTCTCTAATAGAAATAATAAATATGAATCTTCCCAAGGGTTCTGCCCTTTCTGCTCCTCTAGCAATTTCTGTATTTTCTGGGAAGCTTTTTTCTCCCAGACTTTCAGCTACCATGAAATGCTGATGACTCACACATTTCTATCTTCTCTCTTCAGAGATTCAGGCTTCTATTTCCAACTACTTTCCAATTTTGGGTCTATTCTGCAATGCTTCAAATACAAGACATCCCAACCAGAACTCATTCTTTTCCCCACCCCTACCCTTTCTTCTCCTCCTGGGTTGTCTTGATGAGATCATTATCCATTACCCATTAATCCCCTTCACAAATGCTAGAGACCTAGGGTATTTGGTTCTTTCCACTCACTTCCATGTCCAATTAGTCACCAAACCTTGTCCCTTCAACCTCAGACATATCAATCTAGTACCGTCCCCCTTCTCCATTGCTTCTCCTGCCAATGCTGGGATTTAGGTCCTTGCCATCAACAACTTGAACCATTCAATCTCCACCCTGACACTGGTGCTTGGTTCCAAAAAGGCACATCAAGTGGTTATCCTCATTGCTTTTACAGCTCTCCAGGGTTCTGCCTAACACAGGATCAAGTCCAAGCTTGTTATCTTGGCATTCCAAGTGCTCCATGATCTACATCCTGTCTATTTTCCTAGCAAAGTTTTTTTTTGTTTGTTTTTTGTTTTTTTTTGAGATGGAGTCTCACTCTGTTACCCAGGCTGGAGTGCAATGGTGCAATCTCAGCTCACTGTAACCTCCACCTCTGGGGTTCAAGCAATTCTCCTGCCTCAGCCTCCCTAGTAGCTGGGATTACAGGCACGTGCCACCATGCCGGGCTAATTTTTGTATTTTTAGTAGAGACGGGGTTTCACCATATTGGCCAGGCTGGTCTCAAACTCCTGACCTCAGGTGATCCACCCACCTTGGCCTCCCAAAGTGCCGGGATTACAGGCGTGAGCCACTGTGCCTGGCCCCTAGCAAAGTTTTTTCTGTCCTCTACATCTCAGAAATACTAAATTTCTCAGATATTCGTATATACTTTGTATGTTTTTCCTCTTCTCTCCATGCTCTTCAAGACATCCTCCTCTCCAGAATATCCTTGCCTATATTCTTATTCTTCTTACCCTTCAATATTCTAATATTCCCACCCCTGTGAAGTATTGCTTGAGTTCTGAGTAGAAATAACTGCTCAGACTTCTGTGCTCCAGTGAAAGCTCTGTTCCTATTGCATATGTTGCATTTAACAGGGCATTACACTATAGTTGGTGCCAAACTTCCTGCCCTTACAGAACTCTGTAGGTCTTGTTAGGGCAATGGCTATGTCTGATTCATTTCTGTGTCCAGTGTCTGGTATTGTGCCTGCATGCAATACAAACTCTGTAAATGTCAAGTTGCACTGAATAATCATTTGCACCTAGTTCTGTTGTGCATACTATGCTTAAAGATAAAAATACAAATATTCCTGTCTGTTCATTTATTTATGTGGCATATCAGATGACTAACTTGGTGTCCCCACATTATTCTGTGTGAGTGGAGACTTGAAGTTTATAGAGAACATTTTCTATCTTAGAGAAGCACTATGTGATTCCATTAGTAGTAATGAATACTTGGGAGATTTTTCCCCACATGCCTCTGCACCAGGGTGTTTGACCCAAATGAACCACTTTACTGCTCTCAAAGCTATGCTTCTCTCCAACTGCATGCCTAACATAGCACAAGAGGTTGCTTCCGGTAGTCTTGACACCAACTATGAGCACCTCCTATGTGGCAAAGTGTAGCCTTGTGGTTAAAACCTTGAAGGTCAAATTAACCTAGGTTCAAATTCCTGCTTGTCTAATTCCTGCTTATTACAGACCAAATTACTTAAGCTCTCTGCATCTCAATTTCTTCACCTGTAAAATGGAAGTTATAATACTATCTACCTAATAGGCTTGTTATGAAGTTATCTCAGATTGACCACATTTAGTGGCCAGCACATCCTGAGAGCTCAGTAAATGTTGACATGGTTAGTAGAGGAAATTGTTAATGATGACGGGGAAGTTGATGATAATCAAACTGTGTACTCAGGCTTGACTCTGTGCTTAGCAGAGCCCAGCAGGTACTAGTGAAGTCTGGCTCTGTGTACTCACTTGCAGAGGCCAAGGTGGACCACACACGTTCCCTGGCAATCATCCTGACCTGCCTGACTTCTCAAGAATGAGGAAGCAAAACAAAGACAAAACAACCCACTCACTCCAAAATGCTTCTCCTTTAAGAACAAACAACAATAATAAAACCTCCATTCCCCAGCCTCACATGTCATGAATAGCTTTCAAAGACAGTAACAGTATTGTTTTCTCATACGTTTTCCTTTGGAAGAAAATTCTAACCTAAAGTCTTAACTGTAGGAGTTTGGTCTAGGGCTGCTGCAGATGGTAGTGTCTACTCTCCTTGTTTGAAGCATGTGTGTGGCTCCCTACAGCCCTTGTGATGGAATCCAAACTTCTTCCATGTTCTGCAAGGCTCTTGTGACATGACTCCTTCCTTACCTCCTTGGCCTCAGTTTACTCCTCATCGTCAATGTAGCGTAGTGTTTAAAAGCTCGGAATTTGGAGTCAGACTGCTTGGATTCAGCAGGCAGTGTGAATACCATCTACACATTTCCTAGCTGTTTGATTTGGGGCAAGTTATTGTTGGAAGAAAACCCTTGGGCTTTCTAAAGTGCCCAGATCTTCTGTTCTCTATGAAGTTGGAGCCAGTTGAGTCTTAACACGTTAATTCATCAGCTTTATTACTAATAAAGTTTGATGGAACCTGCAGGCAAAATCAGGTTTACCAAGCCTAGACATCTGGATCCATCCATGGGGTGAATCTTACCCAGGTGTTCAAAGCTGGTAAAGAACCGCAGGAGTCCTCCTATGGTAGCAGTTGGCTTACCAGATAGAGGGGAATGTGTGTGTGTTTGGGAGCTGGGGGTAGGAGTAGAGGCAGGCTACTCTGAAAATGTCAATAGCCTAGAAATGAATGAAATTCATGCACTCCCAACTTTTATCAGCCTCCCTAATTAGATATGATGATATTGGGATTTATAATAATAAATGTGTATCTATTTGGTCTTCATCCCTATTTCTTGGTACATACTCCTAAAACCCTTAGAGTTCTGGAAAGTGACAACTTTTTGCATGTTAATGAGGTGACTAGTAGCTGGGAGCTCCTGGATAGCCTCAGGATGTGGAGGTCCAGTTGCCAGGGGAACCAACCAGATGATTAGAAGGTCAGAATTTTCAGCCCCACCCCCCCAACCTCTGGGGAAGGGAGAGGAGCTAAAGGTTGAGTCAATCACCAATGGCCAATGATTCAATCAATCATGCCTATATAATGAGGCCTCTATAACCACTCAAAAGAACACCATTAGAAAGCTTCCGGACAGCTGAATGTGTGGAGGATCCTGGAGGCTGGTGTGCCCAGAGAGGGCATGGAAGCTTCCCCACTTCCCACACACTTTGCTTTATACATGGCTTCTATCTGGCTGTTCCTGATTTTTATTTATTTATTTATTTTTGAGACAGAGTCTTGCTCTGTTGCCCAGGCTGGAGATGCATTGGCATGATCTTGGCTCACTGCAACCTCCGCCTCCCAGGCTCAAGATATTTTCCCATCTTAGACCCCCAGTAGCTGGGACTACAGGCACAAACCACCACACCCAGCTACTTTTTGTGTTTTTTAGTAGAGCTGGGGTTTTGCCATGTTTCTCAGGCTGGTCTCAAACTCCTGAGCTCAAGTAATCCACCCGCCTCGGCCTCCCAAAGTGCTGAGATTACAGCCATGAGCACCTTGTTCATTCCAGGCTATTCCTAATTTGTATCCTTTTATAAGAAACCAGTGATCTAATAAGCAACTGTTTTCTTGAATCCTGTACGCTGTTCTAGCAATAGTCAAACATGAGGAAGGGTTACCAGGAACCTCCAATTTATAGCCAATTGGTCAGAAGCACAGGTAACAGCTTGGACTTACGATTGATGTCTGAAGTTGGTAGGGGAGTTAGCAGTGGAATGTATTCAAGTCCTGTGGCACCAAAGTATGTTAGTAGCAGTGAATCGTATGGGTCTGCAGCAACCTCCATTCTTGCCTCCTCATAAGAAAGAATCCGATGAAGGGGCATAAGGCAAAGGGAGAGACCAAGGCAAGTTTTAGAACAGGAGTGAAAGTTTATTTAAAAGCTTTAGAGTGGGAATGAAAAGAAGTAAAGTACACTTGAAAGAGGGCCAAGTGGGCAACTTGAAAGATCAAGTGCACAATATGACCTTTGACATGGGGTTTTATATGTTGGCATGCTTCTGGGGTCTTGCATCCCTTCTCCCCTGATTCTTCCCTTGGGGTGGGCTGTCTGCATGTGCAGTGGCTGCCAGCACTTTGGAGGGGCCGCAGGAGCAGTGTGTTTACTGGAGTTGTACACATGCTCACTTGAGGCATTCTTCCCTTACCAGTCTAATGTTCCTATAAGGTCATATACCAGTTAAACGCTGCCATTTTGCCCATTAATGCTCATGTGTGAGCCCAATCGCCCACCTCCTGAGATCTTATCAGGAAGCTGCTGGTCATCAGTTTCAGGTGTTTCTATCTACTAGAAGATTGCCTTTTCCTGGCACTGGCTGAGACCAATTATTATTTTAGAGAGACAGTTAACAGCTGCCTGACCATCACCTGATGGTTGCTGACATTCCTGGTGTGGTGGCTGAGTGGGGACTAGCTACCTACTGTAACAGGGGGAGGCAGTTTTGTGGGACTGAGCCCTTAACCTGTGAGATCTGATGTCAAATTGAGTTAAATTCTAGGACATCCAGTTGGTGTCCACAGAGAGTTGGTAAATTGGTTGGTGTGGGAAAAACCCACGTATCTGTTGTCAGAGTGAAGTATTGAGAGCGGTGTGAATGTAGAAGGAAAACCAATCTGTTTTTCCTTATTTAGATATGTCGTCTTGAGAGGAGGAAATGAGAGGTGGAAGGACAGGTAGAAGCTTCTTCTCAATCCTTCCAAGAAGCCTGAAGTCTCCCTGAGTACACAGACAGAAAGTCAGGGACAGAAAAGAGGAGTTTCCACTTAATCTTTCAATCCTGGTTTCCTTATCTGTAAACTGGAAGTAATAAGACTAACTGTCTCTTGGTATAGTTGAGAGGATTACAAGGATAATATTCTTATTTTCCCAGGTGGCCTAAAGACACCATCAGCTGTATTGGATTTAGAGCCTCTTCTTGTGAAAATTGCTAGTATTTCCAGTCCTTCAGTTCTTTCTTCTACACCTGGCAGTGTCCTGGGGGTGGAGTGAGGTGGCTCACGTTTCTCTGGATGGGAATTAAAGCTTTTCTGTGGCTGCCACTGTGGGCAGCCATCACTTGACACTCAGTGACTGTGACACTTCTGATGATGTTAAACTTGCAACTGTGACAGAAATAGAGGATGATTTTCTTCTCCCAGCCTGCTTGGTCCTAGAGATATAGCTTGATCACTAGATACCAGGAGAATGGTCTGCCTCTTTTCCTTCATATGATACTCTCTTCTCCTAAAGAAACTTTAAGATATACCCTCTGGGCTGAGGTCAAAGAAGGTTTGTACAGTACCACTCAGTGTAGTATTTACATCATTCTCCCAACTCAGAGTGAAATCCACCCATTTCAACTCCTCCTTTTCTGGGATGAAAGTCTTGACTTCAGTGGGATATCCCCCAGGGGCTGAGAACAGTTTTTGTCCTGCTTAGCTCAAGAATCTCCATCCTGGTGTCAGTTCCATTGCATCACCCAGTAACTATTCCTCCAAGATCTGATTTCAGTCCTCAACTCCCCCAATTCCTTCTCCCAGGAATAATGGTAGATTCTCAGCCCATATTCCTGTGGCTGGGCTCTGCCCTGGGACTGCAGAGTGCCCCTGTAGGATCGACCTTGCAAATCAACCTTGGATCTGGTAGCTAAGCCCAATAATCAATTAAAATGCAGACCTGTGGGTATTTGGGAAGAATCTACTACAATCTGGGTTTTTCCTTTCTTTGAATTTTCATGGAAACCTGGCTCCAGTCGGGCTGCTTGAGGATCTGTCAGAGACTAGCTTCAGGACTTCAGGCAACCCATGTACTCTTTCTGAACCTAAGTTTAAGGGATCAATTAGCATAGAGGCAGGACAATTCTGTCAAATCAAATTGTCAGTTAAAAATTCCTGCTGAGAGTTCTTTGAAGTCCCTGGAAGTGGAATCTATCCTAGTCGGAGGGGTCACCAACTTCTATCAGGAGGGTAGGACAGTGGATAGTTAAGCTTGCAGATTCTGAGCTAGACTGCCTTGGTTGTAACTCTAGACAACCATTATTAGATGTGTGATCTTGGGCAATGCATAATTATTCTGCAATTTACTTCCTTTTCTGTAAAGTGGAGATGATAATAAGAGTATCTACAGCTCCCAGGGTTGTTGGTTGAAGTAAAGCATTTAGAATGGTATGTGACATGCAACAAACCTTCAAAAAATGTTAGCAGCTTCTAATATTATCGGTTCAGCCACAGGAAATACAGGGCAAAGATCATTGGAAATATGATATAACACCAACTCTTCTTCAACTGTATCATATAGAGTGTATTTTTTGGGGGAAGCATGTAAGTTTCTCTTCCTTATGATATTGTGAATAACAATAGTAATAATAGTGATAATGATAGCTAACATTTATTGAGTTCGTGCTGCGTTCCATCATTGGGCTAAGTACCTGGCATGAATTGATTATTTAACTTATGACATTCCTGTTAGGTAGTATTATTATTAGCTCAGTGTAATCTGCAGCAACTCATACTGTTCTTAAGTGGCAGAGCTTGGACACAAACTCAGGTTTGTCTGAAGCCAAAACTTACGCTCTTATCTCGGTCTAACAGTTATAACCCCAAACCCTCACTAGCACAGAGGGAGAGCAGGTACTGTTGGGGCAAAGTATGGGTCAAGAAACAGGCAGTCCTGGATGTAAAAAGCCAAAATGCAGCAAAGGCACACAGAAACCAAAGCATCATCTCAATTTCAGCATGTTCAGACTTGTCACCATCTAGGGCTAAGGAGCTATCTCATGGTAACTGGTTTTGTTCAAGTTTACAACTCTCACCAAAGTCTCGTTTGTAGAAGCCTCAGCTGGGGCCTTCTCTGAAACTTCCATTGCATCACCCAGCAATTGCATTCCTCCAACCCTGGCTGCCAGCTTTCTCTGCAGAGAAAGCTGCCTTCTCTTTTTCTTGAAGTGCACTGGACATAATCTGAAGGTGCTCCGGGATACTATCAATGTTGGCATCCAGATCCAGATATGAAAGTGTAGTAAGTGTTTCCTGGGTTTGGTATGTCACTGATAAGCTCCCTGTCTCTTGGTTTATAGGCACTGTCAACATTTGAGTTGACATCAGGAGAAGCTGAGGAGAGCCACTTCCTATGTTCATTGCTGACTGAGGAGCAAAGGGCAATGTGAGAAACAACTTAGGCCACCCTCCTCTGAGGAAAATTTCTTGTGTCATCTGGGCAGCCCAGGATTTCCTCTCTAGATTATCTCTACCAGCACAGGAGGTGTGGACCCCACCCTGCTGATACCATTGACAGGGTGCGGCAGAGGGGTTGAGGGGCCTGTGTTGTCAATCAAGAGCTATTTTAGCAGGGACTGCACTGGCTCAGCTGGAGGGACCCAGCCCTGTGCTAGCTAATGAACCTGAAGTCCTGGGTTTCGAGTCCCCTGGTGACTCACCTGGGGCTTATAATGCATTGAATAGTGTCCTCCCAAAATTCATGTCCATCCAGAACCTCAGGATGTCACCTTATTTGGAAATAAGGTGTTTATCGGTGTAATTTAGTTGAAAATCTCAAGTTGAAATCATCCTGAATTTAGGATGCGCTCTAAATCTAATAATTGGTGTAC
The DNA here is from genome assembly GCF_000001405.40 of Homo sapiens. Lineage (NCBI taxonomy): Eukaryota > Metazoa > Chordata > Mammalia > Primates > Hominidae > Homo > Homo sapiens. The sequence goes on along the minus strand of NC_000012.12, from coordinate 105,954,700 downwards.
TTAAATCTAATGATTGGTGTCCTTAAAAGAAGAGGACACAGAGAGACATGCAGAGAATAAAGAGATGTGAAGATGTAGGCAGAGATTGGAGTGACATTTCTGCAAGCCAAAGGACTCCAAGGATTGCCAGCAAACACAAAATCCACAATAGAGGCATGGGAGCCTCTGAGCCTCCAGAAGGAACCAACCTTGACGTCTTGACTCAGTCACCTGTTCTCCTGAACTGTGGGAGAATAAACTTCTGGTGTTCTAAGCTGCTCAGTTTGTGGTGATTTGTTACAGCAGGTCTCAAAAGTGAATATGGTGTGTATTCATCCGTTCTCACACTGCTATAAAGAAATACCTGAGGCTGGGTAATTTATAAAGAAAAGAGGTTTCATTGGCTCATGGTTCTGCAGGCTGTACAGGAAGCATGGCAACATCTGCTTCTGGGGAGGCCTCAGGGAACTTTTACTCACGGTGGAAGGCAAAATCGGAGCAGATTCTCTCTCTTGGTCCTGCTCCTGCCATGTAAGATGCTTGCTCTGGCCTTGCCTTCCACCATGGGTGAAACACTTTTAAACAACTAGATCTCATGAGAACTCACTCACTGTGCAGTACCAAGCAGGGAATGGTGCTAAACCATCCATGAGAACTCTGCCCTTATGTTCCAGTCACCTCCCACCAGGCCCCTCCTCCAACACTGGGGATTACAACTGGACATGAGATTTGGGTGGGGACACAGATCCAAACTATATCATGGGGCTTATATTGGGGAATGATGTAAATTCAAGATTCTCACCACGCACTGGAGTGCTCCAGAAACACATTCCCCAAGACACAGGAGAAAGTGAGGGTGGATCAGAACATGCTCTTCCCTGTTGCAGAACAAGTTGCAGCACGGCCCAGTCATTGTAAAGATACTGCTTGCTGAATCAGCTTTGTATGCTAGGGGATGCTCAAAGAAGCAGCAGCACAGGTGCCTGAGACCCTTACTGAGTCTCTTCCTTTCTCTGGTCCTCTCTTGTTCATTTACAAGCTGGAGGAATGAGGCAAAATCAGTGGCCCTATGCTGTGTTCAGTGAAGACCTAGGGGTATCAGAGAGGTGCCTCAGGAAGTGCTATGGAGGTAGGCAAAGAAGAAGCTGAGCTGGGGTGCTCCAGGCCCCAGCTCTTCATCTTTTATCTGATTTATATATTGGCCTTCCATACAAGAAGGTTTTACTGGTAACAGTGTTTGAAAATTACTGGGCCGGCACATCTCCAAGGCTCGTGGCTGTAGGCCTTTGAACATGAATACAAGTGGCTGTGTAAAGGCTCTGATCAGCATAGATGCGAGTCTCTCTTCTGTTCAATAGAGTAAAAGCCACTTTGCAATGCTCAGCTTTAGGGATGCTAGTCTCAGGATCAAGAGAGGAGGGTGATTCGTGGTTCAGAAAGTGATGCCTCTGAGTCTTCCATTGGCCTCCAAATTAATAGTCAACATTTCCTGGATCCCTTAGTAATTAATTAAAACAAAATGGGGTCAAGAGCCCTGCTATACCCCTTTCCATCCTCTGTCATCTCCTGAGCTCCTTTGAATGAGACTCTGTGTCTTGTGTTCAGGCAACCTGAGGGCCAGAGCCCAAAATGGAATCAGAGTAGAAACGGTCTATGCCAAGTGGCCATCACCACACATGCATGTAAGCTTTTATCAAACAGTTCTGGAGTTCCAACTCTTTAGTAGATACCAGGGTATATAAGATAGAATAAGATAGGATCCTTCATCCCAAAGAGCTCACAGTCTAGTAGAAGAGACAGGTCATAAACAAGTTAGTGCATCCACGTATGATAGGTGCTAGGAGAAGGGTGGATTCCAGGTAGGTACAGTTGTCCCTTGGTCTCTGCAGAGCACTGGCTTCAGGACCCCTGAGGATGCCAAAATCTGTGGATGCTCAAGTCCCTGATATAAAATGACTTTGTATTTGCTTATCACCTACATACATTCTCTCATATACTTTAAACCATCTCTAGATTACTTATAATACCTAATACAATGTAAATGCTATGTAAGTAGTTGTTATACTATATTGTTTTTATTTGTTTTATTCTTTTTAAAAATATTTTCTATCTGCAGTTGTTGAATCCACAGACACGGAGCATGTAGATATAGAGGTTCGAATGTATTGCAAAGTAAAAAGTGGGCACAGCTGGCAGAGTGGACAGTGAGTGCTTGGGCTTCAGAGTCAGCCTGCTTCATTTGAATCCTGCCTCTTACTAGCTCTGGAACTTTGGGCAAGTAACTCCAGTTTTCAAAGCCTTGGTTGCATCATTTATAAAATGGAGAAAACAGTGATAACTATGATATGTGCTAATGCATGTAAAGTGTTTAGTGCACCGCATGACAGTTACCTAGCGTGCAGTAAATGCCAGTTGTTATAATTATTACTATTACTGCTTAGGGTGGAGGCCATGGGAGTGTTTGGAGAGGAGAGGGTACTTGGGCTGGGTCATGAAGGATGAATTGAGGTTGGCTTTGCAGAACTTGGCAAGAGTCCAGGGCCACCATGTCGCACAGCTCCAAGAGGCATCATTCCCATTTCTGTCTCTGTGAATGGCACCTCCTGGAGTTGTTCAGTTCACAGCTACCACGGCAATGTGTAGTGGCTTTGGAGTCAGGATGTTCCCCCAGCAGGAGGAAGGTGCTAGAAGAGTTGTCTTCTCAGAGAGACTGCTGGTTTCCCCCTGCCTAGCTGTGGCTGTAGGGAACAACATGCTTAAGGTTGCCAGAGAGATGGGATCACAACAGCTACAGCAAATGGACAGACAGCACCTTTGGATAATGCAATTTTGAGAGCTGCAATTCACTGTGGGAACAAGACATACCAGTCTTGTCCTCATGACCCAGCCTTGGGTGACCCAACCATCCAGCCACCTTTAATGTATGCCATCGAAGTGAAGCTTAATTTAAGACAGGGCTTATATTAAATTCCACATGGAGTTTGTATCTCCAGAAAGTTCAAGAGGCTTCTTAGGTCATGTGATAATCTTGGCCTCTGCCTCACTGGGGCCAGATCCAGGTGGGGTGCTTTGATATCCTTCTAGCTACCATGCTATCATGAGGAATAGGGTACCTCTCCCTGACCCATCAGGCTGTATAAATTGGGCTTTGGGTTAGAAATGGGGCCCACGTCTCTGCCTGCTGTGGCTATCCCTGCTGCTGTTCAGAATTCCCTGATTCTGGGCTCTTGTTGCCCAGGATAGACTCTTGTCTGATTGGATCCTAGCTACCACTGTGCTCCTCTCTGAGCTAGTCAGTTTTGTTGAATTCACTCTCCTGTCCTTTTTAGGAATGCTGTCAAGATTGAGTAGGTCACCAGTTACTTGTTTTTAAATCCTGAGGCCAACCAATATTAGCTGTGTGACCTTGCCTACATTGCTTAAACTGTTTGAGCTTCAGTTTCTGTATGTGTAAAATGGAGACGATAGTAGCATTGACCTTGTAAGGATGTTGTAAGGATTGAATGGGATTTAATGACTATGAAGTGCTTAGTGCATGCATTAAAGACATTGTTATTTTCTTCATGTTGGGATTCTGCAGGGGGCACTAACAGATTCTTCTCGGAAGGCTGCTCTGATCGTGCCTCTGAATCTCTGCCCCCACATTGCCCTGAACATCTGGGCACCTGAGACATACCGGAGGCCTCCCTGACAGCAGGTGCTGAGCCCTCTCTACTTGTCCCAAATACGGTGCACCCAAACACCTCATGTGTCATTAAATTTTGGTTGAAACAGGTTTCTTTTTTCACTTTTGTTGATTTCCTCTAGAAACTTTATTTTTCTTAAAGTGTTTGGATCATTCAAGAATAAAAAATTTGATCCTGAAGCCTGAAAAGTATTTGTGGCTGTTTTGGCCTTGTTCTCTGGACCGTTGACTCAGAAGGTGGGGATTCTAGCATCAGTCACTCCACTTTCACCTCCTCTGAATGGATGTGTATGCTCATGCCAGTTTCCTGCAATGTAGAAACATTAGACATTAACTTTTCCAGGTCCATGTTGGTGCGTGCAAGGGGGAGTTGATGAGTTGAGTTGCTAGGAAATCCATCTCTGATGCAGATAGAAATAGTTCAGGAGACAATGTTCGGACAGAACATCCTTCATCCTGACAATCCCTGTTGCTCCCGAGGGCCCCTCTGGCATGTTGGAGAGGGGCCCAGGGAGCCAGAGAGAAGGCATCGGTCACTCTTCTTTGTTAAATTTCACATTTTAATTTTCTTTAATAGTATTATCTTTGTAAAATGGCACATGATAATGATTAAAACAAGTCACACAACACAGCAAAGTGCAAAGAAGAAAACTAAAGGTGATTCCCAATCTCATCACATAGAAATAACCACCTTTGACCCCTGTAATCATAATTTCATCCTCTCTCCACACATAGATAAAGCAATAGAGAGAAAAATATAGGAATGTTCCATGGATGTCTTTATTAAAACAAAATATTAAATTACATAGTCTGTTATTTCACAGAAGGAAAGGAAACAGAGAATTACTAAAATTTCAAATAAATATTTATGATACAACTGGTGATAAGTTCCCAAAAGAGCCTACTGAAGCTAAAACATAAAGATTATTAAACAAATGAATATGTTGGGGTTGCAGATTTTTTTTAAGTTTTAAATTTAGGCTTATCTATAAATTCCCTAACATGGCACTCTAAGAAATTATAACTTTTTCACTTCACCTACATATTCGATGTCTCAATTTTTATGTTATATGATTATTTTTTACATATTAAGTGGCAATCATTGCAGCTATATAGCTTTAGTTTTATATTCTGATATATTAATGTTCACCACCTATTCTTTTAAAACATTTTTAATCTGTTTTTCTGAGTTCTTTATTTTGATTCATCTTTTGGTTGGCTGGATTTAATAAGTCTTTTTTATTTATTTCAAAGGGCTCATTAGTGCTACATCTCTGATTTGTGTGGTGTGTGTGTTTGTGTGTTTGTTATAATTTGCCTGTTGCCTTTGAATCTGAAGTACAACTTCCTTGGTCATAAAATTCTTGGGTCATCATTTCTTTTCTCAGAATTTGTCATCTCTAAGTTATACTGTTAAGATGCTTGATATCAGTCTGAGTGTTACCTTTGAAGGGAACTGGTTTTTCTGCTTTTGTATCCATGGGATTGTGCAGCAGTGAAGGTGGGTGTGAATGATGGTGGAGGAAGTGGTGGGATGGTAGAGGTAAGGATAAGGTGGTGGAGGTAGTGGTGAGGTGGTAGAGGTAGAGGTGGGGCAATTGAGATATGTCTTACCCCATTCCTACTGCTATAACAAAACACCTGAGGCTGGGTAATTTATAAAGAAGAGAGGTTTATTTCTCACAGTTCTGGAGGCTGGGAAGTCCAAGATCAAGGCTCTGGCAGATTCTATGCCTGTGAGGGCCCAGTCTGTGCTTTCAAGATGGTGCCTCATGGCCTTCCCCACCAGAGAGGATGCATGCTGTGTCCTCACATGTCTAAGGGACAGAAAGGCAAAAAAGGGTGTAACTAGTTCCCTCCAGCCCTTTTGTAAGGTTGCTAATCCCATCCATGAGGGCAAGTCCTCGTGGCCTAATCACCTCCTAAGTGCCCTGCCTCTTAATAGTGTTGCACTGGGGATTAAATTTTCAATATATGAATTTTGGGAGGACACAGATATTCAAGCCACAGCAAGGTAGGGGTGAGGCAGTGCAGTGAGGGGAGGGGTGGTGGAAGCAGGAGTGGGACAGTGATGGAAAGATGGGTGAGTGCTGAAGAAGGGAGAAATGGAGTGGCAGGAAGGGGAGAAAGAGCGACCCAATGGGAGATGGTGCTGAGTTGCCTTCTTTATAATTTTGCAGCCCCATTAAGAAGAAATAGAATCAGTTCTGTGGCAAATGAGGATTTTAATGAAAGCCGAGAACATGATTACTTTACCTTGTAGAGAAAATAGCCTTCCTTTTTAGACCAATTTTATAAGAAGACCTCAGGAGAAACAGTACATTTCTATAAGTGACTTTATTAAGAGGAAACTTTCTGCAGTGTGGCAATGGCAGCCTTGCCATTTTTCATGTTTCAAGTGTCGAGTTTCACTTTTCCTGCTAGCAGAGAGGCCTTCAGCTTAGATACCTCCAATTTATTTCTGTTTGGCTTTGCAGGCCATTAAGCAATGGATTTGGCCACAGACTCGCCCTTCCTAATGATGTTTTTCTTGGGCTAATATAAAAAACCAGTTGGCAATTGCCAAGTAACCACAGGATGACAGCTTGGAGGAAGGACACAAAGGGTCCAGGTATGTAACAAATGGCAAAAAGAAGTCAGCACGTGATTTAGGCAACGCTGAACCCACAGAGTGGGCAAGGTACCCCTAAAAACATGTCTGTAAATCATTCGTTTGGAGGGGCTAACACAGCTGGAGCCACTGTGGCTCTGGAAAGCCACCATCACTGCCCTTGAAAGACAAATGGAAAAAATAAACCCTTGAGTGCCAGGCTCCTCCATCCTTCAATGCCTAATTGGTTATCCTGGCACAAAAGACTTTTACAATGTCACAAAGCCAAGTTCTATGATGATAGGACAGTGGAAAAGAAAACACTACCAGCGTCAGTGCCCAAAAAGCCACCATGCGAAATGAGGGAGGGACATATTTGAAGTCTGAGTTGTGTTCTAATTTTTCCACCTTGAACAGAGAATGCTCTGAAGGAACTTACCATTTAAATAAAGCACGCTGAAAGTTCTTGAAATCTGGGCGTGGTGGCTCACGTCTGTAATCCCAACATTTTGGGAGGCTGAGGTGGGTGGATCACCTGAGTCCAGGAGTTCAAGACCAGCCTGGCCAACATGGTGAAACCCTGTCTCTACAAAAATACAAAGATTAGCCAGGCATGATGGCAGGTGTCTGTAATCCCAGCTACTTGGGAGGCTGAGACAGGAGAATTGCTGGAGCCTGGGAGGCGGAGGTTACAGTGAGCCGAGATCTCGCCATAGCACTACAGCCTAGGTGACAGAGCAAGACTCTGTTGAGACTCTGTCTCAAACAAAACAAAACAAAAGCTCTTGAAATGTTAATGACAGCTACCATTTCTTGAGTATGCACTCTATGCCTTGCATGGTTCAAAGTGCTGTATGCCCACATTATCTTACTGGAGCCTAAAATCTATAAGAAGACAATACTATTATGATCCCTATGTCCAGGATACTTGTCACCTTGTCTCGGACACACAGAAGTATCTCTAGTTCGAGTGGACAAAAGACTTCCTCGGATGTTGTGTTCAGGCCCCTGCTTGTAACTGAGGATCTCGTGCACTACCCCTGCTGTAGCTGAGTGGATATTTTGGAAACCCGGAATCTAGTTTGGCTCATTCTTTCATCTGGCTCATAGTGATGAGGAAGGGTTGGTGAAAATTCAAGTTGAAAGTGTCAGCTCAGATCCTGGGCTATCTCCATCCTTATCCACCTGTGAATGTACCTCATGATAGTCCTTTCTTTCTGGCACATTGCATCCTCCTCAATCCTGCATCCTCACTCTCTTGACAACTTGAGGCTTGGAAGACTTCAGGTCATCAAAGGAGATAAACTTCTCTCCCCACTGATTTTCATATCCATACAGAAAGAGGGTGAGGTGTTTGCTCTTGATGGTAGCCTTGTCTTTGGAAAGCAGCATGCTCAGTTCACCCTAATTGTTGGTTTGCTGGGACTATAGGAAGGACATTGCTCTCCTCTACCAGATGAGACAAGAAGTCCGAGGCTTAGAGAAGAAAAGATTTGCTCAACTGAATACATTTAAAATGTGAAAGAGCTGGAATTTGAACCCAGACTCCCAAACCCCAGCTCTTAACCACCATGACAGGCATGGCAGCAAATCTAAGAAGCTGTTCCAGAAATAACCAGTAGTCATTCTCTTCAGATCTGTCCAAACCTGATTTCTCTGCCAGCAAAGATAAGCCTGGACTGCTGAGTTTTCACTGTCACGCCTCCTCACATATGAAGGCCTGAGTCCTCCCAGCCTGGCCTGCCTCCCAGTGACAAGTTAGGCTCAGACAGCAGGCTCTGTGCCCATCTGTCTCACTTCCCTCACTGTCCAGAGACCCCTCTCCTTCCTCTCTACTTCCTCCCTTCTACCCCCACTCCCCATCAATATTATCTCTTTTGGATGCAGACCTGCCTTTGAAGTAAACCAGGAGATTTCTTTGAGCGGGGGGTGGGGAGTGGGGGGTTGGGAAAAGTGTCTGGAGAGGTTGGTGAGGAGAAAAAGATGGGAAAGGGGCCTTCATCTTTTTCTTTCAACTCTGACCCGCTGATCAAAGCTCTGGCGGAACAGCAGTATTGAAAGGATCTGGTTGTAAAGACAGGATGGGTGTCAGTCCCCAGGACGGTATTATATGCTTGGAAAGGGATGAGAAATCAATTCATAAAGTAGATGAAAAATAAATAAATTAATTAATAAACCAGTCACAAGCAGGAGGGGAAAAAAAAAAAGCCCTACCATTTGCCCAGTTTCCAAGGAGCTCTTTGATAATACAGTGACTCTAGGCCATACACATTGGTCACATTATTTATCACTGGAGCATGAATGTCCTAACCACATCCAAGGGTTTTCACTGGGCTCCTTAAATCATCCAGGACCACAATGAAATGCAAATAGCCTCATGGAGAATTGGGAACAAAGAAAAGGCAGTTCTGGCCTCCAGCCTCCTCCCTCAAATCTGGAGTCAGCCCCAGGGCCCTAGTGGGGGCTTTTTTTGTTCACTCTGCCAGTCATTTTGTGTTGCTTTGTGTGGCTGGGACGACTGAGTTGGTCTATGGATTGGGTTCCTGGGACCTTTTTGTTGTTGTTGTTGCTTGTTCTTGAATATTGTTGAACCTGATCATAAGGAATGGAGTGCACCTGCAAGTAAGTTACTTTCCCCTAGAAACACCTTAAAGTATTTCTGTCTTTTCTTCATAGAATGATAGAAGTAGAAAAATACAGGATGATATTTGTACAGTTTTGGTTCGGAGTAAGTTAAATACAGAGAGGAAAGAATAAGACTGTTTTGGGCAGTGGGCTGGAGGTCTAGTTTCTCCTCTTGCTGGACTAACTCTGCCTTTCTGGGTGAGTGATGAAACCTCTCTGGTTTTCTGTTGCTTCATATATAAAATGGGGCTACCCATCATGCCCACTTTCTTTACCTCCTGTACCCCAACTTCCCCAGTCATGTGGTCTGAGTGAGACTGACATTCTTCCTAGCTTCAAGAATAGACTCTGACTTGGGCCAATCAGCATGCAGCCCTCTTTATAAACATCCTGATTGGTTCAGATATGGGCACATGATCTAAGCCAATCCAATCCAAGGAAATCTTAGGACTATTGTTGGAAATGCTGAGACACAGTGTCTTATTTCTGTTGGATGTGAATGAAGGATCATGTAGCTGTGGAGCTGTTTTCAGTCATTTTGACACCATGAGGGGAAAGACTACTTGAGAATGGAACCAACATCAAAGAAAATGGACTAATAATAAGCTAAGGAAAAAAAAAAAAAAAGGGACAGAGGGAAACCAGGTCCTGATCTCAAAATACAGTCCTGGATTAAGCTTTGCTGGAAGCTTCTACCATCCTTGGGCCATTCAGTTACATGAGCTAATGAATTCCCTTTATTGTTCTAGTTTGATTTTCCAAACGCTAATCGTCTAGGATTGGTCTGAGTGTCAGGGAACAGACCTTTTGACCTTTGGAGTTTCTTCTAGAAGAGAAAGGAAAAA